>NC_000017.11:25062356-25373579 GCF_000001405.40 Homo sapiens | reverse complement strand
CTCCCGTTTCCAACGAAATCTTCAAAGAGGTCGAAATATCCACTTGCAGATTCCACAGAAAGAGTGATTGGAAACTGCTGTTTGAAAAGGAACCTTCAACTCTGTGAGTTGAATGCAATCATCACAAAGAAGTTTCTGACAATGCTTCTATCTAGCTTTTACGGGAAGATAATTCCTTTTCCACCCCAGGCCTCAAAGCTCCCCAAATGTCCACTTGCACATTCTGGAAAAAGAGTGTTTCAAAGCTTCTCTCTCGAAAGGAAAGTTCAACTCTGTGAGTTGAATGCAAGCATCACAAAGAAGTTTCTGAGAATGCTACTGTCTAGCTTTTATATGAAGCTATTTCCTTTACTACCATAGGCCTCAAAGCGGTCCATATCTCCACTTGCAGATTCTACACAAAGAGAGTTTCCAAACTGCTCTGTCAAAGGAAATGTTCAACTCTGTGACTTGAATGCAATCATCACAAAGTAGTTTCTGAGAATGCTTCTGTTTAGTTCTGTGCGGTTTATCCCGTTTCCAACGAAATCCTCAGAGAGGCCCAAATATCCACTTGCAGATTCTACAAATAGTGTGTTTCGAAACTGCTCCATCCAAAGGAATGTTCAGCTCTGTGAGTTAAACTCAGTCGTCACCAAGAGTTTTCTGTGAATGCTTCTGTTTTAGTTCTGTGCGGTTTATCCCGTTTCCAACGAAATCCTCAGAGAGGTCCAAATATCTACTTGCAGTTTCTACAGAAAGACCGTTTCAAACCTGAACTATCAAAGAAAGGTTCAACACTGTGAGTTGAATGCAAACATCACGAAGAAAGTTCAGAGAATGCTTCTGTTTAGTTCTGTGCGGTTTATCCCGTTTCCAACGAAATCCTCAGAGAGGACCAAATATCCACTTGCAGTTTCTACAAGAAGAGTGTTTCAAAGCTGAACTATCAAAGAAAGGTTCAGCACTGTGAGTTGAATGCAAACATCACGAAGAGGGTTCTGAGAATGCTTCTGTCTTCTTTCTATAGGAAGTTATTTCCTTTACTACGGTAGGCCTCAAAGAAGTGCAATTATCCCCTTGCAGTTTCTACAAAAAGAGTGTTTCACACCTGAACTATCAAAGAAAGGTTCCACACTGTGAGTTGAATGCAGACATCACGAAGAAGGTTCTGAGAATGCTTCTGTTTAGTCAGCTGAAATTATCCCGTTTCCAACGAATTCCTCAGAGAGGTCCACATATGCACTTGCAGATTCTGCAGAAAGTGTGTTTCTAAACTGCTACATCGCAAGGAATGTTCAGCTTCTGTGAGTTCCACTCAATCATCCCAAAGAATTTTCTGAGAAAGCTTCTGTCTAGATGTCGTGTGAAGTTATACCCGTTTCGAACGAAGGACACAGAGTGGTCCAAATATCCACTTGTAGATCCTGCAAAAAGAGTGTTTCAAACGTGAACTTTGAAAGGAAAGTTCAACTCCTGGGATTTGAATGCAAACATCACAAAGAAGATTCTGAGACTGCTTCTGTATAGTTTTTATGTGAAGATGATTCCGTTTCCAACGAAATCTTCAAAGAGGTCTACATGTCCCCTTGCAGATGCCACAGAAAGAGAGTTTCAAAACTACGCTCTCAAAAGGAGTGTTCAACTCCGTGAGTTGAATGCAGTCATCACAGAGAAGCTTCTGAGAATGCTTCTATCCTAGTATTTAGGTGAAGATATTTCCTTTTCCACCACAAACCACAAAGCCCTCCAAACGTCCACTTGCAGATTCTAGAAAAAGAGTGTTTCATAGCTGCTCTTTCCAAAGGAAAGTTCAACTCTGGGAGTTGAATACAAACATCACCAAAAAGTTCCTGAGAATGCATCTGTCTAGTTTTTCTATGAAGCTATTCCCTTTACTACCATAGGCCTCAAAGCGCTCCAAATCTCCACTTGCACATTCCACAACAAGAGTGTTTCCAAACTGCTCTATCAATAGGAATGTTCAACTCTGTGAGGTGAATGCAATCATCACAAAGCAGTTTCTGAGAATGCTTCCGTTTAGTTAGGTGCAGTTATCCCGTTTCCAACGAAATCCTCAGAGAGGTCCAAATATCCACTTGTAGATTCTACAAAAAGTGTGTCTCAAACCTGCTCCATCCAAAGGAATGTTCAGCTCTGTGATTTAAACTCAATCATCACAAAGTATTTTCTGAGAATGCTTCTGTCTAGATTTTATGCGAAGATATACCCGTTTCGAACGAAGGCCACAGAGTGGTCCAAATAGCCACTTGCAGATCCTACAAAAAGAGTGTTTCAAACCTGAACTATCAAAGGAAGGTTCAACTCTGGGATTTGAATGCAAACATCACCAAGAAGTTTCTGAGAATGCTTCTGTTTAGTTTTTATGTGAAGATATTCCCGTTTCCAAAGACATCTTCGGAGAGGTCCACATATCCACTTGCAGATTCCACAAAAAGAGAGTTTCAACACTGCTCTATCCATAGGAGGGTTCAACTCTGTGAGTTGAATGCAATCATCACAGAGAAGTTTCTGAGAAGGCTTCTCTCCAGTTTTTATGTGACCATAATTCGTTTTCCACCACAGGCCTGAAAGCGCTCCAAATGTCCACTTGCAGACACTACGAAAAGCATGTTTCAGAACTACTCTATGAAAAGCAACGTGAAACTCTGGGAGTTGAACACAAACATCACAGAGAAGTTTCTGAGAATGCTTCTGTTTTAGTTCTGTGCGTTTTATCCCGTTTCCAACGAAATCCTCAGAGAGGCCCAAATATCCACTTGCAGATTCCACAGAAAGAGTGATTGGAAACTGCTGTTTGAAAAGGAACCTTCAACTCTGTGAGTTGAATGCAATCATCACAAAGAAGTTTCTGACAATGCTTCTGTTTTAGTTCTGTGCGGTTTATCCCGTTTCCAACGAAATCCTCAGAGAGGACCAAACATCCACTTGCAGTTTCTACAAAAAGAGTGTTTCAAAGCTGCACTATCAAAGAAAGGTTCAGCACTGTGAGTTGAATGCAAACATCACGAAGAGGGCTCTGAGAATTCTTCTGTTTAGTTCTGTGCAGTTTATCCCGTTTCCAACGAAATCCTCAGAGAGGACCAAATATCCACTTGCAGTTTCTACAAGAAGAGTGTTTCAAAGCTGAACTATCAAAGAAAGGTTCAGCACTGTGAGTTGAATGCAAACATCACGAAGAGGGTTCTGAGAATGCTTCTGTCTTCTTTCTATAGGAAGTTATTTCCTTTACTACGGTAGGCCTCAAAGAAGTGCAATTATCCCCTTGCAGTCTCTACAAAAAGAGTGTTTCAAACCTGAACTATCAAAGAAAGGTTCCACACTGTGAGTTGAATGCAGACATCACGAAGAAGGTTCTGAGAATGCTTCTGTTTAGTCAGCTGAAATTATCCCGTTTCCAACGAATTCCTCAGAGAGGTCCAAATATGCACTTGCAGATTCTGCAGAAAGTGTGTTTCTAAACTGCTACATCGCAAGGAATGTTCAGCTCTGTGAGTTCCACTCAATCATCCCAAAGAATTTTCTGAGAAAGCTTCTGTCTAGCATGTCGTGTGAAGATATACCCGTTTCGAACGAAGGACACAGAGTGGTCCAAATATCCACTTGTAGATCCTGCAAAAAGAGTGTTTCAAACGTGAACTTTGAAAGGAAAGTTCAACTCTGGGATTTGAATGCAAACATCACAAAGAAGATTCTGAGACTGCTTCTGTATAGATTTTATGTGAAGATGATTCCGTTTCCAACGAAATCTTCAAAGAGGTCTACATGTCCCCTTGCAGATGCCACAGAAAGAGAGTTTCAAAACTGTGCTCTCAAAAGGAGTGTTCAACTCCCGTGAGTTGAATGCAGTCATCACAGAGAAGCTTCTGAGAATGCTTCTATCTAGTATTTAGGTGAAGATATTTCCTTTTCCACCACAAACCACAAAGCCCTCCAAACGTCCACTTGCAGATTCTAGAAAAAGAGTGTTTCATAGCTGCTCTTTCCAAAGGAAAGTTCAACTCTGGGAGTTGAATACAAACATCACCAAAAAGTTCCTGAGAATGCATCTGTCTAGTTTTTCTATGAAGCTATTCCCTTTACTACCATAGACCTCAAAGCGCTCCAAATCTCCACTTGCACATTCCACAACAAGAGTGTTTCCAAACTGCTCTATCAATAGGAATGTTCAACTCTGTGAGGTGAATGCAATCATCACAAAGCAGTTTCTGAGAATGCTTCCGTTTAGTTAGGTGCAGTTATCCCGTTTCCAACGAAATCCTCAGAGAGGTCCAAATATCCACTTGTAGATTCTACAAAAAGTGTGTCTCAAACCTGCTCCATCCAAAGGAATGGTCAGCTCTGTGATTTAAACTCAATCATCACAAAGTATTTTCTGAGAATGCTTCTGTCTAGATTTTATGCGAAGATATACCCGTTTCGAACGAAGGCCACAGAGTGGTCCAAATAGCCACTTGCAGATCCTACAGAAAGAGTGTTTCAAACCTGAACTATCAAAGGAAGGTTCAACTCTGGGATTTGAATGCAAACATCACCAAGAAGTTTCTGAGAATGCTTCTGTTTAGTTTTTATGTGAAGATATTCCCGTTTCCAAAGACATCTTCGGAGAGGTCCACATATCCACTTGCAGATTCCACAAAAAGAGAGTTTCAACACTGCTCTATCCATAGGAGGGTTCAACTCTGTGAGTTGAATGCAATCATCACAGAGAAGTTTCTGAGAAGGCTTCTCTCCAGTTTTTATGTGACCATAATTCGTTTTCCACCACAGGCCTGAAAGCGCTCCAAATGTCCACTTGCAGACACTACGAAAAGCATGTTTCAGAACTACTCTATGAAAAGCAACGTGAAACTCTGGGAGTTGAACACAAACATCACAGAGAAGTTTCTGAGAATGCTTCTGTTTTAGTTCTGTGCGTTTTATCCCGTTTCCAACGAAATCCTCAGAGAGGCCCAAATATCCACTTGCAGATTCCACAGAAAGAGTGATTGGAAACTGCTGTTTGAAAAGGAACCTTCAACTCTGTGAGTTGAATGCAATCATCACAAAGAAGTTTCTGACAATGCTTCTATCTAGCTTTTACGGGAAGTTAATTCCTTTTCTACCACAGGCCTCAAAGCCCTCCAAATGTCCACTTGCAGATTCTGGAAAAAGAGTGTTTCAAAGCTTCTCTCTCGAAAGGAAAGTTCAACTCTGTGAGTTGAATGCAAGCATCACAAAGAAGTTTCTGAGAATGCTACTGTCTAGCTTTTATATGAAGCTATTTCCTTTACTACCATAGGCCTCAAAGCGGTCCATATCTCCACTTGCAGATTCTACAGAAAGAGAGTTTCCAAACTGCTCTGTCAAAGGGAATGTTCAACTCTGTGACTTGAATGCAATCATCACAAAGTAGTTTCTGAGAATGCTTCTGTTTAGTTCTGTGCGGTTTATCCCGTTTCCAACGAAATCCTCAGAGAGGCCCAAATATCCACTTGCACATTCTACAAATAGTGTGTTTCGAAACTGCTCCATCCAAAGGAATGTTCAGCTCTGTGAGTTAAACTCAGTCGTCACCAAGAGTTTTCTGTGAATGCTTCTGTTTTAGTTCTGTGCGGTTTATCCCGTTTCCAACGAAATCCTCAGAGAGGACCAAACATCCACTTGCAGTTTCTACAAAAAGAGTGTTTCAAAGCTGCACTATCAAAGAAAGGTTCAGCACTGTGAGTTGAATGCAAACATCACGAAGAGGGCTCTGAGAATTCTTCTGTTTAGTTCTGTGCGGTTTATCCCGTTTCCAACGAAATCCTCAGAGAGGACCAAATATCCACTTGCAGTTTCTACAAGAAGAGTGTTTCAAAGCTGAACTATCAAAGAAAGGTTCAGCACTGTGAGTTGAATGCAAACATCACGAAGAGGGTTCTGAGAATGCTTCTGTCTTCTTTCTATAGGAAGTTATTTCCTTTACTACGGTAGGCCTCAAAGAAGTGCAATTATCCCCTTGCAGTTTCTACAAAAAGAGTGTTTCAAACCTGAACTATCAAAGAAAGGTTCCACACTGTGAGTTGAATGCAGACATCACGAAGAAGGTTCTGAGAATGCTTCTGTTTAGTCAGCTGAAATTATCCCGTTTCCAACGAATTCCTCAGAGAGGTCCAAATATGCACTTGCAGATTCTGCAGAAAGTGTGTTTCTAAACTGCTACATCGCAAGGAATGTTCAGCTCTGTGAGTTCCACTCAATCATCCCAAAGAATTTTCTGAGAAAGCTTCTGTCTAGATGTCGTGTGAAGATATACCCGTTTCGAACGAAGGACACAGAGTGGTCCAAATATCCACTTGTAGATCCTGCAAAAAGAGTGTTTCAAACGTGAACTTTGAAAGGAAAGTTCAACTCTGGGATTTGAATGCAAACATCACAAAGAAGATTCTGAGACTGCTTCTGTATAGTTTTTATGTGAAGATGATTCCGTTTCCAACGAAATCTTCAAAGAGGTCTACATGTCCCCTTGCAGATGCCACAGAAAGAGAGTTTCAAAACTGCGCTCTCAAAAGGAGTGTTCAACTCCGTGAGTTGAATGCAGTCATCACAGAGAAGCTTCTGAGAATGCTTCTATCTAGTATTTAGGTGAAGATATTTCCTTTTCCACCACAAACCACAAAGCCCTCCAAACGTCCACTTGCAGATTCTAGAAAAAGAGTGTTTCATAGCTGCTCTTTCCAAAGGAAAGTTCAACTCTGGGAGTTGAATACAAACATCACCAAAAAGTTCCTGAGAATGCATCTGTCTAGTTTTTCTATGAAGCTATTCCCTTTACTACCATAGGCCTCAAAGCGCTCCAAATCTCCACTTGCACATTCCACAACAAGAGTGTTTCCAAACTGCTCTATCAATAGGAATGTTCAACTCTGTGAGGTGAATGCAATCATGACAAAGCAGTTTCTGAGAATGCTTCCGTTTAGTTAGGTGCAGTTATCCCGTTTCCAACGAAATCCTCAGAGAGGTCCAAATATCCACTTGTAGATTCTACAAAAAGTGTGTCTCAAACCTGCTCCATCCAAAGGAATGTTCAGCTCTGTGAGTTCAACTCAGTCATCACAAAGTATTTTCTGAGAATGCTTCTGTCTAGATTTTATGCGAAGATGTACCCGTTTCGAACGAAGGCCACAGAGTGGTCCAAATATCCACTTGCAGATCCTACAAAAAGAGTGTTGCAAACCTGAACTATGAAAGGAAGGTTCAACTCTGGGATTTGAATGCAAACATCACCAAGAAGTTTCTGAGAATGCTTCTGTTTAGTTTTTATGTGAAGATATTCCCGTTGCCAAAGACATCTTCGGAGAGGTCCACATATCCGCTTGCAGATTCCACAAAAAGAGAGTTTCAACACTGCTCTATCCATAGGAGGGTTCAACTCTGTGAGTTGAATGCAATCATCACAGAGAAGTTTCTGAGAAGGCTTCTCTCCAGTTTTTATGTGACCATAATTCGTTTTCCACCACAGGCCTGAAAGCGCTCCAAATGTCCACTTGCAGACACTACGAAAAGCATGTTTCAGAACTACTCTATGAGAAGCAATGTGAAACTCTGGGAGTTGAACACAAACATCACAGAGAAGTTTCTGAGAATGCTTCTGTTTAGCTTTTCTGTGAAGATTCTCCCGTTTCCAACGAAATCTTCAAAGAGGTCCAAATATCCACTTGCAGATTCCACAGAAAGAGTGATTGGAAACTGCTCTTTGAAAAGGAACCTTCAACTCTGTGACTTGAATGCAATCATCACAAAGAAGTTTCTGACAAAGCTTCTATCTAGCTTTTACGGGAAGATAATTCCTTTTCCACCACAGGCCTCAACGCCCTCCAAATGTCCACTTGCAGATTCTGGAAAAAGAGTGTTTCAAAGCTTCTCTCTCGAAAGGAAAGTTCAACTCTGTGAGTTGAATGCAAGCATCACAAAGAAGTTTCTGAGAATGCTACTGTCTAGCTTTTATATGAAGCTATTTCCTTTACTACCATAGGCCTCAAAGCGGTCCATATCTCCACTTGCAGATTCTACACAAAGAGAGTTTCCAAACTGCTCTGTCAAAGGGAATGTTCAACTCTGTGACTTGAATGCAATCATCACAAAGTAGTTTCTGAGAATGATTCTGTTTAGTTCTGTGCGGTTTATCCCGTTTCCAACGAAATCCTCAGAGAGGCCCACATATCCACTTGCACCTTCTAGAAATAGTGTGTTTCGAAACTGCTCCATCCAAAGGAATGTTCAGCTCTGTGAGTTAAACTCAGTCGTCACCAAGAGTTTTCTGTGAATGCTTCTGTTTTAGTTCTGTGCGGGTTATCCCGTTTCCAACGAAATCCTCAGAGAGGTCCAAATATCTACTTGCAGTTTCTACAGAAAGACCGTTTCAAACCTGAACTATCAAAGAAAGGTTCAACACTGTGAGTTGAATGCAAACATCACGAAGAAGGTTCTGAGAATGCTTCTGTTTAGTTCTGTGCGGTTTATCCCGTTTCCAACGAAATCCTCAGAGAGGACCAAATATCCACTTGCAGTTTCTACAAGAAGAGTGTTTCAAAGCTGCACTATCAAAGAAAGGTTCAGCACTGTGAGTTGAATGCAAACATCACGAAGAGGGCTCTGAGAATTCTTCTGTCTTCTTTCTATAGGAAGTTATTTCCTTTACTACGGTAGGCCTCAAAGAAGTGCAATTATCCCCTTGCAGTTTCTACAAAAAGAGTGTTTCAAACCTGAACTATCAAAGAAAGGTTCCACACTGTGAGTTGAATGCAGACATCACGAAGAAGGTTCTGAGAATGCTTCTGTTTAGTCAGCTGAAATTATCCCGTATCCAACGAATTCCTCAGAGAGGTCCAAATATGCACTTGCAGATTCTGCAGAAAGTGTGTTTCTAAACTGCTACATCGCAAGGAATGTTCAGCTCTGTGAGTTCCACTCAATCATCCCAAAGAATTTTCTGAGAAAGCTTCTGTCTAGATGTCGTGTGAAGATATACCCGTTTCGAACGAAGGACACAGAGTGGTCCAAATATCCACTTGTAGATCCTGCAAAAAGAGTGTTTCAAACGTGAACTTTGAAAGGAAAGTTCAACTCTGGGATTTGAATGCAAACATCACAAAGAAGATTCTGAGACTGCTTCTGTATAGTTTTGATGTGAAGATGATTCCGTTTCCAACGAAATCTTCAAAGAGGTCTACATGTCCCCTTGCAGATGCCACAGAAAGAGAGTTTCAAAACTGCGCTCTCAAAAGGAGTGTTCAACTCCGTGAGTTGAATGCAGTCATCACAGAGAAGCGTCTGAGAATGCTTCTATCTAGTATTTAGGTGAAGATATTTCCTTTTCCACCACAAACCACAAAGCCCTCCAAACGTCCACTTGCAGATTCTAGAAAAAGAGTGTTTCATAGCTGCTCTTTCCAAAGGAAAGTTCAACTCTGGGAGTTGAATACAAACATCACCAAAAAGTTCCTGAGAATGCATCCTGTCTAGTTTTTCTATGAAGCTATTCCCTTTACTACCATAGGCCTCAAAGCGCTCCAAATCTCCACTTGCACATTCCACAACAAGAGTGTTTCCAAACTGCTCTATCAATAGGAATGTTCAACTCTGTGAGGTGAATGCAATCATCACAAAGCAGTTTCTGAGAATGCTTCCGTTTAGTTAGGTGCAGTTATCCCGTTTCCAACGAAATCCTCAGAGAGGTCCAAATATCCACTTGTAGATTCTACAAAAAGTGTGTCTCAAACCTGCTCCATCCAAAGGAATGTTCAGCTCTGTGATTTAAACTCAATCATCACAAAGTATTTTCTGAGAATGCTTCTGTCTGATTTTATGCGAAGATATACCCGTTTCGAACGAAGGCCACAGAGTGGTCCAAATAGCCACTTGCAGATCCTACAAAAAGAGTGTTTCAAACCTGAACTATCAAAGGAAGGTTCAACTCTGGGATTTGAATGCAAACATCACCAAGAAGTTTCTGAGAATGCTTCTGTTTAGTTTTTATGTGAAGATATTCCCGTTTCCAAAGACATCTTCGGAGAGGTCCACATATCCACTTGCAGATTCGACAAAAAGAGAGTTTCAACACTGCTCTATCCATAGGAGGGTTCAACTCTGTGAGTTGAATGCAATCATCACAGAGAAGTTTCTGAGAAGGCTTTCTCTCCAGTTTTTATGTGACCATAATTCGTTTTCCACCACAGGCCTGAAAGCGCTCCAAATGTCCACTTGCAGACACTACGAAAAGCATGTTTCAGAACTACTCTATGAAAAGCAACGTGAAACTCTGGGAGTTGAACACAAACATCACAGAGAAGTTTCTGAGAATGCTTCTGTTTAGCTTTCCTGTGAAGATTCTCCCGTTTCCAACGAAATCTTCAAAGAGGTCCAAATATCCACTTGCAGATTCCACAGAAAGAGTGATTGGAAACTGCTCTTTGAAAAGGAACCTTCAACTCTGTGAGTTGAATGCAATCATCACAAAGAAGTTTCTGACAATGCTTCTATCTAGCTTTTACGGGAAGATAATTCCTTTTCCACCACAGGCCTCAAAGCCCTCCAAATGTCCACTTGCAGATTCTGGAAAAAGAGTGTTTCAAAGCTTCTCTCTCGAAAGGAAAGTTCAACTCTGTGAGTTGAATGCAAGCATCACAAAGAAGTTTCTGAGAATGCTACTGTCTAGCTTTTATATGAAGCTATTTCCTTTACTACCATAGGCCTCAAAGCGGTCCATATCTCCACTTGCAGATTCTACACAAAGAGAGTTTCCAAACTGCTCTGTCAAAGGGAATGTTCAACTCTGTGACTTGAATGCAATCATCACAAAGTAGTTTCTGAGAATGCTTCTGTTTAGTTCTGTGCGGTTTATCCCGTTTCCAACGAAATCCTCAGAGAGGCCTAAATATCCACTTGCACATTCTACAAATAGTGTGTTTCGAAACTGCTCCATCCAAAGGAATGTTCAGCTCTGTGAGTTAAACTCAGTCGTCACCAAGAGTTTTCTGTGAATGCTTCTGTTTTAGTTCTGTGCGGTTTATCCCGTTTCCAACGAAATCCTCAGAGAGGTCCAAATATCTACTTGCAGTTTCTACAGAAAGACCGTTTCAAACCTGAACTATCAAAGAAAGGTTCAACACTGTGAGTTGAATGCAAACATCACGAAGAAGGTTCTGAGAATGCTTCTGTTTTTGTTCTGTGCGGTTTATTCCGTTTCCAACGAAATCCTCAGAGAGGACCAAATATCCACTTGCAGTTTCTACAAAAAGAGTGTTTTAAAGCTGCACTATCAAAGAAAGGTTCAGCACTGTGAGTTGAATGCAAACATCACGAAGAGGGCTCTGAGAAATCTTCTGTTTAGTTCTGTGCGGTTTATCCCGTTTCCAACGAAATCCTCAGAGAGGACCAAATATCCACTTGCAGTTTCTACAAGAAGAGTGTTTCAAAGCTGAACTATCAAAGAAAGGTTCAGCACTGTGAGTTGAATGCAAACATCACGAAGAGGGTTCTGAGAAATCTTCTGTCTTCTTTCTATAGGAAGTTATTTCCTTTACTACGGTAGGCCTCAAAGAAGTGCAATTATCCCCTTGCAGTTTCTACAAAAAGAGTGTTTCAAACCTGAACTATCAAAGAAAGGTTCCACACTGTGAGTTGAATGCAGACATCACGAAGAAGGTTCTGAGAATGCTTCTGTTTAGTCAGCTGAAATTATCCCGTTTCCAACGAATTCCTCAGAGAGGTCCAAATATGCACTTGCAGATTCTGCAGAAAGTGTGTTTCTAAACTGCTACATCGCAAGGAATGTTCAGCTCTGTGAGTTCCACTCAATCATCCCAAAGAATTTTCTGAGAAAGCTTCTGTCTAGATGTCGTGTGAAGATATACCCGTTTCGAACGAAGGACACAGAGTGGTCCAAATATCCACTTGTAGATCCTGCAAAAAGAGTGTTTCAAACGTGAACTTTGAAAGGAAAGTTCAACTCTGGGATTTGAATGCAAACATCACAAAGAAGATTCTGAGACTGCTTCTGTATAGTTTTTATGTGAAGATGATTCCGTTTCCAACGAAATCTTCAAAGAGGTCTACATGTCCCCTTGCAGATGCCACAGAAAGAGAGTTTCAAAACTGCGCTCTCAAAAGGAGTGTTCAACTCCGTGAGTTGAATGCAGTCATCACAGAGAAGCTTCTGAGAATGCTTCTATCTAGTATTTAGGTGAAGATATTTCATTTTCCACCACAAACCACAAAGCCCTCCAAACGTCCACTTGCAGATTCTAGAAAAAGAGTGTTTCATAGCTGCTCTTTCCAAAGGAAAGTTCAACTCTGGGAGTTGAATACAAACATCACCAAAAAGTTCCTGAGAATGCATCTGTCTAGTTTTTCTATGAAGCTATTCCCTTTACTACCATAGGCCTCAAAGCGCTCCAAATCTCCACTTGCACATTCCACAAGAAGAGTGTTTCCAAACTGCTCTATCAATAGGAATGTTCAACTCTGTGAGGTGAATGCAATCATCACAAAGCAGTTTACTGAGAATGCTTCCGTTTAGTTAGGTGCAGTTATCCCGTTTCCAACGAAATCCTCAGAGAGGTCCAAATATCCACTTGTAGATTCTACAAAAAGTGTGTCTCAAACCTGCTCCATCCAAAGGAATGTTCAGCTCTGTGAGTTCAACTCAATCATCACAAAGTATTTTCTGAGAATGCTTCTGTCTAGATTTTATGCGAAGATATACCCGTTTCGAACGAAGGCCACAGAGTGGTCCAAATAGCCACTTGCAGATCCTACAGAAAGAGTGTTTCAAACCTGAACTATCAAAGGAAGGTTCAACTCTGGGATTTGAATGCAAACATCACCAAGAAGTTTCTGAGAATGCTTCTGTTTAGTTTTTATGTGAAGATATTCCCGTTTCCAAAGACATCTTCGGAGAGGTCCACATATCCACTTGCAGATTCCACAAAAAGAGAGTTTCAACACTGCTCTATCCATAGGGAGGGTTCAACTCTGTGAGTTGAATGCAATCATCACAGAGAAGTTTCTGAGAAGGCTTCTCTCCAGTTTTTATGTGACCATAATTCGTTTTCCACCACAGGCCTGAAAGCGCTCCAAATGTCCACTTGCAGACACTACGAAAAGCATGTTTCAGAACTACTCTATGAAAAGCAACGTGAAACTCTGGGAGTTGAACACAAACATCACAGAGAAGTTTCTGAGAATGCTTCTGTTTTAGTTCTGTGGGTTTTATCCCGTTTCCAACGAAATCCTCAGAGAGGCCCAAATATCCACTTGCAGATTCCACAGAAAGAGTGATTGGAAACTGCTGTTTGAAAAGGAACCTTCAACTCTGTGAGTTGAATGCAATCATCACAAAGAAGTTTCTGACAATGCTTCTGTTTTAGTTCTGTGCGGTTTATCCCGTTTCCAACGAAATCCTCAGAGAGGACCAAATATCCACTTGCAGTTTCTACAAAAAGAGTGTTTCAAAGCTGCACTATCAAAGAAAGGTTCAGCACTGTGAGTTGAATGCAAACATCACGAAGAGGGCTCTGAGAATTCTTCTGTTTAGTTCTGTGCGGTTTATCCCGTTTCCAACGAAATCCTCAGAGAGGACCAAATATCCACTTGCAGTTTCTACAAGAAGAGTGTTTCAAAGCTGAACTATCAAAGAAAGGTTCAGCACTGTGAGTTGAATGCAAACATCACGAAGAGGGTTCTGAGAATGCTTCTGTCTTCTTTCTATAGGAAGTTATTTCCTTTACTACGGTAGGCCTCAAAGAAGTGCAATTATCCCCTTGCAGTTTCTACAAAAAGAGTGTTTCAAACCTGAACTATCAAAGAAAGGTTCCACACTGTGAGTTGAATGCAGACATCACGAAGAAGGTTCTGAGAATGCTTCTGTTTAGTCAGCTGAAATTATCCCGTTTCCAACGAATTCCTCAGAGAGGTCCAAATATGCACTTGCAGATTCTGCAGAAAGTGTGTTTCTAAACTGCTACATCGCAAGGAATGTTCAGCTCTGTGAGTTCCACTCAATCATCCCAAAGAATTTTCTGAGAAAGCTTCTGTCTAGATGTCGTGTGAAGATATACCCGTTTCGAACGAAGGACACAGAGTGGTCCAAATATCCACTTGTAGATCCTGCAAAAAGAGTGTTTCAAACGTGAACTTTGAAAGGAAAGTTCAACTCTGGGATTTGAATGCAAACATCACAAAGAAGATTCTGAGACTGCTTCTGTATAGTTTTTATGTGAAGATGATTCCGTTTCCAACGAAATCTTCAAAGAGGTCTACATGTCCCCTTGCAGATGCCACAGAAAGAGAGTTTCAAAACTGCGCTCTCAAAAGGAGTGTTCAACTCCGTGAGTTGAATGCAGTCATCACAGAGAAGCTTCTGAGAATGCTTCTATCTAGTATTTAGGTGAAGATATTTCCTTTTCCACCACAAACCACAAAGCCCTCCAAACGTCCACTTGCAGATTCTAGAAAAAGAGTGTTTCATAGCTGCTCTTTCCAAAGGAAAGTTCAACTCTGGGAGTTGAATACAAACATCACCAAAAAGTTCCTGAGAATGCATCTGTCTAGTTTTTCTATGAAGCTATTCCCTTTACTACCATAGGCCTCAAAGCGCTCCAAATCTCCACTTGCACATTCCACAACAAGAGTGTTTCCAAACTGCTCTATCAATAGGAATGTTCAACTCTGTGAGGTGAATGCAATCATCACAAAGCAGTTTCTGAGAATGCTTCCGTTTAGTTAGGTGCAGTTATCGCGTTTCCAACGAAATCCTCAGAGAGGTCCAAATATCCACTTGTAGATTCTACAAAAAGTGTGTCTCAAACCTGCTCCATCCAAAGGAATGTTCAGCTCTGTGAGTTAAACTCAATCATCACAAAGTATTTTCTGAGAATGCTTCTGTCTAGATTTTATGTGAAGATGTACCCGTTTCGAACGAAGGCCACAGAGTGGTCCAAATATCCACTTGCAGATCCTACAAAAAGAGTGTTTCAAACCTGAACTATCACAGGAAGGTTCAACTCTGGGATTTGAATGCAAACATCACCAAGAAGTTTCTGAGAATGCTTCTGTTTAGTTTTTATGTGAAGATATTCCCGTTTCCAAAGACATCTTCGGAGAGGTCCACATATCCACTTGCAGATTCCACAAAAAGAGAGTTTCAACAATGCTCTATCCATAGGAGGGTTCAAATCTGTGAGTTGAATGCAATCATCACAGAGAAGTTTCTGAGAAGGCTTCTCTCCAGTTTTTATGGGACCATAATTCGTTTTCCACCACAGGCCTGAAAGCGCTCCAAATGTCCACTTGCAGACACTACGAAAAGCATGTTTCAGAACTACTCTATGAAAAGCAATGTGAAAATCTGGGAGTTGAACACAAACATCACAGAGAAGTTTCTGAGAATGCTTCTGTTTAGCTTTTCTGTGAAGATTCTCCCGTTTCCAACGAAATCTTCAAAGAGGTCCAAATATCCACTTGCAGATTCCACAGAAAGAGTGTTTGGAAACTGCTGTTTGTAAAGGAACCTTCATCTCTGTGAGTTGAATGCAATCGTCACAAAGAAGTTTCTGACAATGCTTCTGTCTAGCTTTTACGGGAAGATAATTCCTTTTCCACCACAGGCCTCAAAGCCCTCAAAATGTCCACTTGCAGATTCTGGAAAAAGAGTGTTTCAAAGCTTCTCTCTCGAAAGGAAAGTTCAACTCTGTGAGTTGAATGCAAGCATCACAAAGAAGTTTCTGAGAATGCTACTGTCTAGCTTTTATATGAAGCTATTTCCTTTACTGCCATAGTCCTCAAAGCGGTCCATATCTCCACTTGCAGATTCTACACAAAGAGAGTTTCCAAACTGCTCTGTCAAAGGGAATGTTCAACTCTGTGACTTGCATGCAATCATCACAAAGTAGTTTCTGAGAATGCTTCTGTTTAGTTCTGTGCGGTTTATCCCGTTTCCAACGAAATCCTCAGAGAGGCCCCAATATCCACTTGCACATTCTACAAATAGTGTGTTTCGAAACTGCTCCATCCAAAGAGATGTTCATCTCTGTGAGTTAAACTCAGTCGTCACCAAGAGTTTTCTGTGAATGCTTCTGTTTTAGTTCTGTGCGGTTTATCCCGTTTCCAACGAAATCCTCAGAGAGGTCCAAATATCTACTTGCAGTTTCTACAGAAAGACCGTTTCCAACCTGAACTATCAAAGAAAGGTTCAACACTGTGAGTTGAATGCAAACATCACGAAGAAGGTTCTGAGAATGCTTCTGTGTAGTTCTGTGCGGTTTATCCCGTTTCCAACGAAATCCTAAGAGAGGACCAAATATCCACTTGCAGTTTCTACAAGAAGAGTGTTTCAAAGCTGAACTATCAAAGAAAGTTTCAGCACTGTGAGTTGAATGCAAACATCACGAAGAGGGTTCTGAGAATGCTTCTGTCTTCTTTCTATAGGAAGTTATTTCCTTTACTACGGTAGGCCTCAAAGAAGTGCAATTATCCCCTTGCAGTTTCTACAAAAAGAGTGTTTCAAACCTGAACTATCAAAGAAAGGTTCCACACTGTGAGTTGAATGCAGACATCACGAAGAAGGTTCTGAGAATGCTTCTGTGTAGTCAGCTGAAATTATCCCGTTTCCAACGAATTCCTCACAGAGGTCCAAATATGCACTTGCAGATTCTGCAGAAAGTGTGTTTCTAAACTGCTACATCGCAAGGAATGCTCAGCTCTGTGAGTTCAACTCAATCATCCCAAAGAATTTTCTGAGAAAGCTTCTGTCTAGATGTCATGTGAAGATATACCCGTTTTGAACGAAGGACACAGAGTGGTCCAAATATCCACTTGTAGATCCTGCAAAAAGAGTGTTTCAAACGTGAACTTTGAAACGAAAGTTCAACTCTGGGATTTGAATGCAAACATCACAAAGAAGATTCTGAGACTGCTTCTGTATAGTTTTTATGTGAAGATGATTCCGTTTCCAACGAAATCTTCAAAGAGGTCTACATGTCCCCTTGCAGATGCCACAGAAAGAGAGTTTCAAAACTGCGCTCTCAAAAGGAGTGTTCAACTCCGTGAGTTGAATGCAGTCATCACAGAGAAGCTTCTGAGAATGCTTCTATCTAGTATTTAGGTGAAGATATTTCCTTTTCCACCACAAACCACAAAGCCCTCCAAACGTCCACTTGCAGATTCTAGAAAAAGAGTGTTTCATAGCTGCTCTTTCCAAAGGAAAGTTCAACTCTGGGAGTTGAATACAAACATCACCAAAAAGTTCCTGAGAATGCATCTGTCTAGTTTTTCTATGAAGCTATTCCCTTTACTACCACAGGCCTCAAAGCGCTCCAAATCTCCACTTGCACATTCCACAACAAGAGTGTTTCCAAACTGCTCTATCAATAGGAATGTTCAACTCTGTGAGGTGAATGCAATCATCACAAAGCAGTTTCTGAGAATGCTTCCGTTTAGTTAGGTGCAGTTATCCCGTTTCCAACGAAATCCTCAGAGAGGTCCAAATATCCACTTGTAGATTCTACAAAAAGTGTGTCTCAAACCTGCTCCATCCAAAGGAATGGTCAGCTCTGTGATTTAAACTCAATCATCACAAAGTATTTTCTGAGAATGCTTCTGTCTAGATTTTATGCGAAGATATACCCGTTTCGAACGAAGGCCACAGAGTGGTCCAAATAGCCACTTGCAGATCCTACAGAAAGAGTGTTTCAAACCTGAACTATCAAAGGAAGGTTCAACTCTGGGATTTGAATGCAAACATCACCAAGAAGTTTCTGAGAATGCTTCTGTTTAGTTTTTATGTGAAGATATTCCCGTTTCCAAAGACATCTTCGGAGAGGTCCACATATCCACTTGCAGATTCCACAAAAAGAGAGTTTCAACACTGCTCTATCCATAGGAGGGTTCAACTCTGTGAGTTGAATGCAATCATCACAGAGAAGTTTCTGAGAAGGCTTCTCTCCAGTTTTTATGTGACCATAATTCGTTTTCCACCACAGGCCTGAAAGCGCTCCAAATGTCCACTTGCAGACACTACGAAAAGCATGTTTCAGAACTACTCTATGAAAAGCAACGTGAAACTCTGGGAGTTGAACACAAACATCACAGAGAAGTTTCTGAGAATGCTTCTGTTTTAGTTCTGTGCGTTTTATCCCGTTTCCAACGAAATCCTCAGAGAGGCCCAAATATCCACTTGCAGATTCCACAGAAAGAGTGATTGGAAACTGCTGTTTGAAAAGGAACCTTCAACTCTGTGAGTTGAATGCAATCATCACAAAGAAGTTTCTGACAATGCTTCTGTTTTAGTTCTGTGCGGTTTATCCCGTTTCCAACGAAATCCTCAGAGAGGACCAAACATCCACTTGCAGTTTCTACAAAAAGAGTGTTTCAAAGCTGCACTATCAAAGAAAGGTTCAGCACTGTGAGTTGAATGCAAACATCACGAAGAGGGCTCTGAGAATTCTTCTGTTTAGTTCTGTGCGGTTTATCCCGTTTCCAACGAAATCCTCAGAGAGGACCAAATATCCACTTGCAGTTTCTACAAGAAGAGTGTTTCAAAGCTGAACTATCAAAGAAAGGTTCAGCACTGTGAGTTGAATGCAAACATCACGAAGAGGGTTCTGAGAATGCTTCTGTCTTCTTTCTATAGGAAGTTATTTCCTTTACTACGGTAGGCCTCAAAGAAGTGCAATTATCCCCTTGCAGTTTCTACAAAAAGAGTGTTTCAAACCTGAACTATCAAAGAAAGGTTCCACACTGTGAGTTGAATGCAGACATCACGAAGAAGGTTCTGAGAATGCTTCTGTTTAGTCAGCTGAAATTATCCCGTTTCCAACGAATTCCTCAGAGAGGTCCAAATATGCACTTGCAGATTCTGCAGAAAGTGTGTTTCTAAACTGCTACATCGCAAGGAATGTTCAGCTCTGTGAGTTCCACTCAATCATCCCAAAGAATTTTCTGAGAAAGCTTCTGTCTAGATGTCCTGTGAAGATATACCCGTTTCGAACGAAGGACACAGAGTGGTCCAAATATCCACTTGTAGATCCTGCAAAAAGAGTGTTTCAAACGTGAACTTTGAAAGGAAAGTTCAACTCTGGGATTTGAATGCAAACATCACAAAGAAGATTCTGAGACTGCTTCTGTATAGTTTTTATGTGAAGATGATTCCGTTTCCAACGAAATCTTCAAAGAGGTCTACATGTCCCCTTGCAGATGCCACAGAAAGAGAGTTTCAAAACTGCGCTCTCAAAAGGAGTGTTCAACTCCGTGAGTTGAATGCAGTCATCACAGAGAAGCTTCTGAGAATGCTTCTATCTAGTATTTAGGTGAAGATATTTCCTTTTCCACCACAAACCACAAAGCCCTCCAAACGTCCACTTGCAGATTCTAGAAAAAGAGTGTTTCATAGCTGCTCTTTCCAAAGGAAAGTTCAACTCTGGGAGTTGAATACAAACATCACCAAAAAGTTCCTGAGAATGCATCTGTCTAGTTTTTCTATGAAGCTATTCCCTTTACTACCATAGGCCTCAAAGCGCTCCAAATCTCCACTTGCACATTCCACAACAAGAGTGTTTCCAAACTGCTCTATCAATAGGAATGTTCAACTCTGTGAGGTGAATGCAATCATCACAAAGCAGTTTCTGAGAATGCTTCCGTTTAGTTAGGTGCAGTTATCCCGTTTCCAACGAAATCCTCAGAGAGGTCCAAATATCCACTTGTAGATTCTACAAAAGGTGTGTCTCAAACCTGCTCCATCCAAAGGAATGTTCAGCTCTGTGAGTTAAACTCAATCATCACAAAGTATTTTCTGAGAATGCTTCTGTCTAGATTTTATGCGAAGATATACCCATTTCGAACGAAGGCCACAGAGTGGTCCAAATAGCCACTTGCAGATCCTACAGAAAGAGTGTTTCAAACCTGAACTATCAAAGGAAGGTTCAACTCTGGGATTTGAATGCAAACATCACCAAGAAGTTTCTGAGAATGCTTCTGTTTAGTTTTTATGTGAAGATATTCCCGTTTCCAAAGACATCTTCGGAGAGGTCCACATATCCACTTGCAGATTCCACAAAAAGAGAGTTTCAACACTGCTCTATCCATAGGAGGGTTCAACTCTGTGAGTTGAATGCAATCATCACAGAGAAGTTTCTGAGAAGGCTTCTCTCCAGTTTTTATGTGACCATAATTCGTTTTCCACCACAGGCCGGAAAGCGCTCCAAATGACCACTTGCAGACACTACGAAAAGCATGTTTCAGAACTACTCTACGAGAAGCAATGTGAAACTCTGGGAGTTGAACACAAACATCACAGAGAAGTTTCTGAGAATGCTTCCGCTTAGTTAGGTGCAGTTATCCCGTTTCCAACGAAATCCTCAGAGAGGTCCAAACATCCACTTGCAGATTCCACAGAAAGAGTGTTTGGAAACTGCTGTTTGAAAAGCAACCTTCAACTCTGTCAGTTGAATGCAATCATCACAAAGACGTTTCTGACAATGCTTCTGTCTAGATTTTATGCGAAGATGTACCCGTTTCGAACGAAGGCCACAGAGTGGTCCAAATATCCACTTGCAGATCCTACAAAAAGAGTGTTTCAAACCTGAACTATCAAAGGAAGGTTCAACTCTGGGATTTGAATGCAAACATCACCAAGAAGTTTCTGAGAATGCTTCTGTTTAGTTTTTATGTGAAGATAGCCCCGTTTCCAAAGACATCTTCGGAGAGGTCCACATATCCACTTGCAGATTCCACAAAAAGAGAGTTTCAACACTGCTCTATCCATAGGACGGTTCAACTCTGTGAGTTGAATGCAATCATCACAGAGAAGTTTCTGAGAAGGCTTCTCTCCAGTTTTCATGTGACCATAATTCGTTTTCCACCACAGGCCTGAAAGCGCTCCAAATGTCCACTTGCAGACACTACGAAAAGCATGTTTCAGAACTACTCTATGAAAAGCAACGTGAAACTCTGGGAGTTGAACACAAACATCACAGAGAAGTTTCTGAGAATGCTTCTGTTTAGCTTTTCTGTGAAGATTCTCCCGTTTCCAACGAAATCTTCAAAGAGGTTGAAATATCCACTTGCAGATTCCACAGAAAGAGTGATTGGAAACTGCTGTTTGAAAAGGAACCTTCAACTCTGTGAGTTGAATGCAATCATCTCAAAGAAGTTTCTGACAATGCTTCTATCTAGCTTTTACGGGAAGATAATTCCTTTTCCACCACAGGCCTCAAAGCTCCCCAAATGTCCACTTGCACATTCTGGAAAAAGAGTGTTTCAAAGCTTCTCTCTCGAAAGGAAAGTTCAACTCTGTGAGTTGAATGCAAGCATCACAAAGAAGTTTCTGAGAATGCTACTGTCTAGCTTTTATATGAAGGTATTTCCTTTACTACCATAGGCCTCAAAGCGGTCCATATCTCCACTTGCAGATTCTACACAAAGAGAGTTTCCAAACTGCTCTGTCAAAGGGAATGTTCAACTCTGTGACTTGAATGCAATCATCACAAAGTAGTTTCTGAGAATGCTTCTGTTTTAGTTCTGTGCGTTTTATCCCGTTTCCAACGAAATCCTCAGAGAGGCCCAAATATCCACTTGCAGATTCTACAAATAGTGTGTTTCGAAACTGCTCCATCCAAAGGAATGTTCAGCTCTGTGAGTTAAACTCAGTCGTCACCAAGAGTTTTCTGTGAATGCTTCTGTTTTAGTTCTGTGCGGTTTATCCCGTTTCCAACGAAATCCTCAGAGAGGACCAAATATCCACTTGCAGTTTCTACAAAAAGAGTGTTTCAAAGCTGCACTATCAAAGAAAGGTTCAGCACTGTGAGTTGAATGCAAACATCACGAAGAGGGCTCTGAGAATGCTTCTGTTTAGTTCTGTGCGGTTTATCCCGTTTCCAACGAAATCCTCAGAGAGGACCAAATATCCACTTGCAGTTTCTACAAGAAGAGTGTTTCAAAGCTGAACTATCAAAGAAAGGTTCAGCACTGTGAGTTGAATGCAAACATCACGAAGAGGGTTCTGAGAATGCTTCTGTCTTCTTTTTATAGGAAGTTATTTCCTTTACTACGGTAGGACTCAAAGAAGTGCAATTTTCCCCTTGCAGTTTCTACAAAAAGAGTGTTTCAAACCTGAACTATCAAAGAAAGGTTCCACACTGTGAGTTGAATGCAGACATCACGAAGAAGGTTCTGAGAATGCTTCTGTTTAGTCAGCTGAAATTATCCCGTTTCCAACGAATTCCTCAGAGAGGTCCAAATATGTACTTGCAGATTCTGCAGAAAGTGTGTTTCTAAACTGCTACATCGCAAGGAATGTTCAGCTCTGTGAGTTCAACTCAATCATCCCAAAGAATTTTCTGAGAAAGCTTCTGTCTAGATGTCGTGTGAAGTTATACCCGTTTCGAACGAAGGACACAGAGTGGTCCAAATATCCACTTGTAGATCCTGCAAAAAGAGTGTTTCAAACGTGAACTTTGAAAGGAAAGTTCAACTCTGGGATTTGAATGCAAACATCACAAAGAAGATTCTGAGACTGCTTCTGTATAGTTTTTATGTGAAGATGATTCCGTTTCCAACGAAATCTTCAAAGAGGTCTACATGTCCCCTTGCAGATGCCACAGAAAGAGTTTCAAAACTGCGCTCTCAAAAGGAGTGTTCAACTCCGTGAGTTGAATGCAGTCATCACAGAGAAGCTTCTGAGAATGCTTCTCTCTAGTATTTAGGTGAAGATATTTCCTTTTCCACCACAAACCACAAAGCCCTCCAAACGTCCACTTGCAGATTCTAGAAAAAGAGTGTTTCATAGCTGCTCTTTCCAAAGGAAATTTCAACTCTGGGAGTTGAATACAAACATCACCAAAAAGTTCCTGAGAATGCATCTGTCTAGTTTTTCTATGAAGCTATTCCCTTTACTACCATAGGCCTCAAAGCGCTCCAAATCTCCACTTGCACATTCCACAACAAGAGTGTTTCCAAACTGCTCTATCAATAGGAATGTTCAACTCTGTGAGGTGAATGCAATCATCACAAAGCAGTTTCTGAGAATGCTTCCGTTTAGTTAGGTGCAGTTATCCCGTTTCCAACGAAATCCTCAGAGAGGTCCAAATATCCACTTGTAGATTCTACAAAAAGTGTGTCTCAAACCTGCTCCATCCAAAGGAATGTTCAGCTCTGTGAGTTCAACTCAATCATCACAAAGTATTTTCTGAGAATTCTTCTGTCTAGATTTTATGCGAAGATATACCCGTTTCGAACGAAGGCCACAGAGTGGTCCAAATAGCCACTTGCAGATCCTACAAAAAGAGTGTTTCAAACCTGAACTATCAAAGGAAGGTTCAACTCTGGGATTTGAATGCAAACATCACCAAGAAGTTTCTGAGAATGCTTCTGTTTAGTTTTTATGTGAAGATATTCCCGTTTCCAAAGACGTCTTCGGAGAGGTCCACATATCCACTTGCAGATTCCACAAAAAGAGAGTTTCAACACTGCTCTATCCATAGGAGGGTTCAACTCTGTGAGTTGAATGCAATCATCACAGAGAAGTTTCTGAGAAGGCATCTCTCCAGTTTTTATGTGACCATAATTCGTTTTCCACCACAGGCCTCAAAGCGCTCCAAATGTCCACTTGCAGACACTACGAAAAGCATGTTTCAGAACTACTCTATGAGAAGCAATGTGAAACTCTGGGAGTTGAACACAAACATCACAGAGAAGTTTCTGAGAATGCTTCTGTTTAGCTTTTCTGTGAAGATTCTCCCGTTTCCAACGAAATCTTCAAAGAGGTCCAAATATCCACTTGCAGATTCCACAGAAAGAGTGATTGGAAACTGCTGTTTGAAAAGGAACCTTCAACTCTGTGAGTTGAATGCAATCATCACAAAGAAGTTTCTGACAATGCTTCTATCTAGCTTTTACGGGAAGATAATTCCTTTTCCAACACAGGCCTCAAAGCCCTCCAAATGTCCACTTGCAGATGTCTGGAAAAAGAGTGTTTCAAAGCTTCTCTCTCTAAAGGAAAGTTCAACTCTGTGAGTTGAATGCAAGCATCACAAAGAAGTTTCTGAGAATGCTACTGTCTAGCTTTTATATGAAGCTATTTCCTTTACTACCATAGGCCTCAAAGCGGTCCATATCTCCACTTGCAGATTCTACACAAAGAGAGTTTCCAAACTGCTCTGTCAAAGGGAATGTTCAACTCTGTGACTTGAATGCAATCATCACAAAGTAGTTTCTGAGAATGCTTCTGTTTAGTTCTGTGCGGTTTATCCCGTTTCCAACGAAATCCTCAGAGAGGCCCAAATATCCACTTGCACATTCTACAAATAGTGTGTTTCGAAACTGCTCCATCCAAAGGAATGTTCAGCTACTGTGAGTTAAACTCAGTCGTCACCAAGAGTTTTCTGTGAATGCTTCTGTTTTAGTTCTGTGCGGTTTATCCCGTTTCCAACGAAATCCTCAGAGAGGTCCAAATATCTACTTGCAGTTTCTACAGAAAGACCGTTTCCAACCTGAACTATCAAAGAAAGGTTCAACACTGTGAGTTGAATGCAAACATCACGAAGAAGGTTCTGAGAATGCTTCTGTTTAGTTCTGTGCGGTTTATCACGTTTCCAACGAAATCCTCAGAGAGGACAAAATATCCACTTGCAGTTTCTCCAAGAAGAGTGTTTCAAAGCTGAACTATCAAAGAAAGTTTCAGCACTGTGAGTTGAATGCAAACATCACGAAGAGGGTTCTGAGAATGCTTCTGTCTTCTTTCTATAGGAAGTTATTTCCTTTACTACGGTAGGCCTCAAAGAAGTGCAATTATCCCCTTGCAGTTTCTACAAAAAGAGTGTTTCAAACCTGAACTATCAAAGAAAGGTTCCACACTGTGAGTTGAATGCAGACATCACGAAGAAGGTTCTGAGAATGCTTCTGTTTAGTCAGCTGAAATTATCCCGTTTCCAACGAATTCCTCAGAGAGGTCCAAATATGCACTTGCAGATTCTGCAGAAAGTGTGTTTCTAAACTGCTACATCGCAAGGAATGTTCAGCTCTGTGAGTTCCACTCAATCATCCCAAAGAATTTTCTGAGAAAGCTTCTGTCTAGATGTCGTGTGAAGATATACCCGTTTCGAACGAAGGACACAGAGTGGTCCAAATATCCACTTGTAGATCCTGCAAAAAGAGTGTTTCAAACGTGAACTTTGAAAGGAAAGTTCAACTCTGGGATTTGAATGCAAACATCACAAAGAAGATTCTGAGACTGCTTCTGTATAGTTTTTATGTGAAGATGATTCCGTTTCCAACGAAATCTTCAAAGAGGTCTACATGTCCCCTTGCAGATGCCACAGAAAGAGAGTTTCAAAACTGCGCTCTCAAAAGGAGTGTTCAACTCCGTGAGTTGAATGCAGTCATCACAGAGAAGCTTCTGAGAATGCTTCTATCTAGTATTTAGGTGAAGATATTTCCTTTTCCACCACAAACCACAAAGCCCTCCAAACGTCCACTTGCAGATTCTAGAAAAAGAGTGTTTCATAGCTGCTCTTTCCAAAGGAAAGTTCAACTCTGGGAGTTGAATACAAACATCACCAAAAAGTTCCTGAGAATGCATCTGTCTAGTTTTTCTATGAAGCTATTCCCTTTACTACCACAGGCCTCAAAGCGCTCCAAATCTCCACTTGCACATTCCACAACAAGAGTGTTTCCAAACTGCTCTATCAATAGGAATGTTCAACTCTGTGAGGTGAATGCAATCATCACAAAGCAGTTTCTGAGAATGCTTCCGCTTAGTTAGGTGCAGTTATCCCGTTTCCAACGAAATCCTCAGAGAGGTCCAAATATCCACTTGTAGATTCTACAAAAAGTGTGTCTCAAACCTGCTCCATCCAAAGGAATGTTCAGCTCTGTGAGTTAAACTCAATCATCACAAAGTATTTTCTGAGAATGCTTCTGTCTAGATTTTATGCGAAGATATACCCGTTTCGAACGAAGGCCACAGAGTGGTCCAAATATCCACTTGCAGATCCTACAAAAAGAGTGTTTCAAACCTGAACTATCAAAGGAAGGTTCAACTCTGGGATTTGAATGCAAACATCACCAAGAAGTTTCTGAGAATGCTTTCTGTTTAGTTTTTATGTGAAGATATTCCCGTTTCCAAAGACATCTTCGGAGAGGTCCACGTATCCACTTGCAGATTCCACAAAAAGAGAGTTTCAACACTGCTCTATCCGTAGGAGGGTTCAACTCTGTGAGTTGAATGCAATCATCACAGAGAAGTTTCTGAGAAGGCTTCTCTCCAGTTTTTATGTGACCATAATTCGTTTTCCACCACAGGCCTGAAAGCGCTCCAAATGTCCACTTGTAGACACTACGAAAAGCATGTTTCAGAACTACTCTATGAAAAGCAATGTGAAACTCTGGGAGTTGAACACAAACATCACAGAGAAGTTTCTGAGAATGCTTCTGTTTAGCTTTTCTGTGAAGATTCTCCCGTTTCCAACGAAATCTTCAAAGAGGTCCAAATATCCACTTGCAGATTCCACAGAAAGAGTGTTTGGAAACTGCTGTTTGTAAAGGAACCTTCATCTCTGTGAGTTGAATGCAATCATCACAAAGAAGTTTCTGACAATGCTTCTATCTAGCTTTTACGGGAAGTTAATTCCTTTTCCACCACAGGCCTCAAAGCCCTCCAAATGTCCACTTGCAGATTCTGGAAAAAGAGTGTTTCAAAGCTTCTCTCTCGAAAGGAAAGTTCAACTCTGTGAGTTGAATGCAAGCATCACAAAGAAGTTTCTGAGAATGCTACTGTCTAGCTTTTATATGAAGCTATTTCCTTTACTACCATAGGCCTCAAAGCGGTCCATATCTCCACTTGCAGATTCTACACAAAGAGAGTTTCCAAACTGCTCTGTCAAAGGGAATGTTCAACTCTGTGACTTGAATGCAATCATCACAAAGTAGTTTCTGAGAATGCTTCTGTTTAGTTCTGTGCGGTTTATCCCGTTTCCAACGAAATCCTCAGAGAGGCCCAAATATCCACTTGCACATTCTACAAATAGTGTGTTTCGAAACTGCTCCATCCAAAGGAATGTTCAGCTCTGTGAGTTAAACTCAGTCGTCACCAAGAGTTTTCTGTGAATGCTTCTGTTTTAGTTCTGTGCGGTTTATCCCGTTTCCAACGAAATCCTCAGAGAGGTCCAAATATCTACTTGCAGTTTCTACAGACAGACCGTTTCAAACCTGAACTATCAAAGAAAGGTTCAACACCGTGAGTTGAATGCAAACATCACGAAGAAGGTTTTGAGAATGCTCTGTTTAGTTCTGTGCGGTTTATCCCGTTTCCAACGAAATCCTCAGAGAGGACCAAATATCCACTTGCAGTTTCTACAAGAAGAGTGTTTCAAAGCTGAACTATCAAAGAAAGGTTCAGCACTGTGAGTTGAATGCAAACATCACGAAGAGGGTTCTGAGAATGCTTTCTGTCTTCTTTCTATAGGAAGTTATTTCCTTTACTACGGTAGGCCTCAAAGAAGTGCAATTATCCCCTTGCAGTTTCTACAAAAAGAGTGTTTCAAACCTGAACTATCAAAGAAAGGTTCCACACTGTGAGTTGAATGCAGACATCACGAAGAAGGTTCTGAGAATGCTTCTGTTTAGTCAGCTGAAATTATCCCGTTTCCAACGAATTCCTCAGAGAGGTCCAAATATGCACTTGCAGATTCTGCAGAAAGTGTGTTTCTAAACTGCTACATCGCAAGGAATGTTCAGCTCTGTGAGTTCCACTCAATCATCCCAAAGAATTTTCTGAGAAAGCTTCTGTCTAGATGTCGTGTGAAGATATACCCGTTTCGAACGAAGGACACAGAGTGGTCCAAATATCCACTTGTAGATCCTGCAAAAAGAGTGTTTCAAACGTGAACTTTGAAAGGAAAGTTCAACTCTGGGATTTGAATGCAAACATCACAAAGAAGATTCTGAGACTGCTTCTGTATAGTTTTTATGTGAAGATGATTCCGTTTCCAACGAAATCTTCAAAGAGGTCTACATGTCCCCTTGCAGATGCCACAGAAAGAGAGTTTCAAAACTGCGCTCTCAAAAGGAGTGTTCAACTCCGTGAGTTGAATGCAGTCATCACAGAGAAGCTTCTGAGAATGCTTCTATCTAGTATTTAGGTGAAGATATTTCCTTTTCCACCACAAACCACAAAGCCCTCCAAACGTCCACTTGCAGATTCTAGAAAAAGAGTGTTTCATAGCTGCTCTTTCCAAAGGAAAGTTCAACTCTGGGAGTTGAATACAAACATCACCAAAAAGTTCCTGAGAATGCATCTGTCTAGTTTTTCTATGAAGCTATTCCCTTTACTACCATAGGCCTCAAAGCGCTCCAAATCTCCACTTGCACATTCCACAACAAGAGTGTTTCCAAACTGCTCTATCAATAGGAATGTTCAACTCTGTGAGGTGAATGCAATCATCACAAAGCAGTTTCTGAGAATGCTTCCGTTTAGTTAGGTGCAGTTATCCCGTTTCCAACGAAATCCTCAGAGAGGTCCAAATATCCACTTGTAGATTCTACAAAAAGTGTGTCTCAAACCTGCTCCATCCAAAGGAATGGTCAGCTCTGTGATTTAAACTCAATCATCACAAAGTATTTTCTGAGAATGCTTCTGTCTAGATTTTATGTGAAGATGTACCCGTTTCGAACGAAGGCCACAGAGTGGTCCAAATATCCACTTGCAGATCCTACAAAAAGAGTGTTTCAAACCTGAACTATCACAGGAAGGTTCAACTCTGGGATTGGAATGCAAACATCACCAAGAAGTTTCTGAGAATGCTTCTGTTTAGTTTTTATGTGAAGATATTCCCGTTTCCAAAGACATCTTCGGAGAGGTCCACATATCCACTTGCAGATTCCACAAAAAGAGAGTTTCAACAATGCTCTATCCATAGGAGGGTTCAAATCTGTGAGTTGAATGCAATCATCACAGAGAAGTTTCTGAGAAGGCTTCCCTCCAGTTTTTATGGGACCATAATTCGTTTTCCACCACAGGCCTGAAAGCGCTCCAAATGTCCACTTGCAGACACTACGAAAAGCATGTTTCAGAACTACTCTATGAAAAGCAATGTGAAACTCTGGGAGTTGAACACAAACATCACAGAGAAGTTTCTGAGGATGCTTCTGTTTAGCTTTTCTGTGAAGATTCTCCCGTTTCCAACGAAATCTTCAAAGAGGTCCAAATATCCACTTGCAGATTCCACAGAAAGAGTGTTTGGAAACTGCTGTTTGTAAAGGAACCTTCATCTCTGTGAGTTGAATGCAATCGTGACAAAGAAGTTTCTGACAATGCTTCTATCTAGCTTTTACGGGAAGATAATTCCTTTTCCACCACAGGCCTCAAAGCCCTCCAAATGTCCACTTGCAGATTCTGGAAAAAGAGTGTTTCAAAGCTTCTCTCTCGAAAGGAAAGTTCAACTCTGTGAGTTGAATGCAAGCATCACAAAGAAGTTTCTGAGAATGCTACTGTCTAGCTTTTATATGAAGCTATTTCCTTTACTACCATAGGCCTCAAAGCGGTCCATATCTCCACTTGCAGATTCTACACAAAGAGAGTTTCCAAACTGCTCTGTCAAAGGGAATGTTCAACTCTGTGACTTGAATGCAATCATCACAAAGTAGTTTACTGAGAATGCTTCTGTTTAGTTCTGTGCGGTTTATCCCGTTTCCAACGAAATCCTCAGAGAGGCCTAAATATCCACTTGCACATTCTACAAATAGTGTGTTTCGAAACTGCTCCATCCAAAGGAATGTTCAGCTCTGTGAGTTAAACTCAGTCGTCACCAAGAGTTTTCTGTGAATGCTTCTGTTTTAGTTCTGTGCGGGTTATCCCGTTTCCAACGAAATCCTCAGAGAGGTCCAAATATCTACTTGCAGTTTCTACAGAAAGACCGTTTCAAACCTGAACTATCAAAGAAAGGTTCAACACTGTGAGTTGAATGCAAACATCACGAAGAAGGTTCTGAGAATGCTTCTGTTTAGTTCTGTGCAGTTTATCCCGTTTCCAACGAAATCCTCAGAGAGGACCAAATATCCACTTGCAGTTTCTACAAAAAGAGTGTTTCGAAGCTGAACTATCAAAGAAAGGTTCAGCACTGTGAGTTGAATGCAAACATCACGAAGAGGGTTCTGAGAATGCTTCTGTCTTCTTTTTATAGGAAGTTATTTCCTTTACTACGGTACTCCTCAAAGAGTGCAATTATCCCCTTGCAGTTTCTACAGAAAGAGTGTTTCAAACCTGAACTATCAAAGAAAGGTTCCACACTGTGAGTTGAATGCAGACATCACGAAGAAGGTTCTGAGAATGCTTCTGTTTAGTCAGCTGAAATTATCCCGTTTCCAACGAATTCCTCACAGAGGTCCAAATATGCACTTGCAGATTCTGCAGAAAGTGTGTTTCTAAACTGCTACATCGCAAGGAATGCTCAGCTCTGTGAGTTCAACTCAATCATCCCAAAGAATTTTCTGAGAAAGCTTCTGTCTAGATGTCATGTGAAGATATACCCGTTTTGATCGAAGGACACAGAGTGGTCCAAATATCCACTTGTAGATCCTGCAAAAAGAGTGTTTCAAACGTGAACTTTGAAAGGAAAGTTCAACTCGGGGATTTGAATGCAAACATCACAAAGAAGATTCTGAGACTGCTTCTGTGTAGTTTTTATGTGAAGATGATTCCGTTTCCAACGAAATCTTCAAAGAGGTCTACATGTCCCCTTGCAGATGCCACAGAAAGAGAGTTTCAAAACTGCGCTCTCAAAAGGAGTGTTCAACTCCGTGAGTTGAATGCAGTCATCACAGAGAAGCTTCTGAGGATGCTTCTATCTAGTATTTAGGTGAAGATATTTCCTTTTCCACCACAAACCACAAAGCCCTCCAAACGTCCACTTGCAGATTCTAGAAAAAGAGTGTTTCATAGCTGCTCTTTCCAAAGGAAAGTTCAACTCTGGGAGTTGAATACAAACATCACCAAAAAGTTCCTGAGAATGCATCTGTCTAGTTTTTCTATGAAGCTATTCCCTTTACTACCATAGGCCTCAAAGCGCTCCAAATCTCCACTTGCACATTCCACAACAAGAGTGTTTCCAAACTGCTCTATCAATAGGAATGTTCAACTCTGTGAGGTGAATGCAATCATCACAAAGCAGTTTCTGAGAATGCTTCCGTTTAGTTAGGTGCAGTTATCCCGTTTCCAACGAAATCCTCAGAGAGGTCCAAATATCCACTTGTAGATTCTACAAAAGGTGTGTCTCAAACCTGCTCCATCCAAAGGAATGTTCAGCTCTGTGAGTTAAACTCAATCATCACAAAGTATTTTCTGAGAATGCTTCTGTCTAGATTTTATGCGAAGATGTACCCGTTTTGAACGAAGGCCACAGAATGGTCCAAATATCCACTTGCAGATCGTACAAAAAGAGTGTTTCAAACCTGAACTATCAAAGGAAGGTTCAACTCTGGGATTTGAATGCAAACATCACCAAGAAGTTTCTGAGAATGCTTCTGTTTAGTTTTTATGTGAAGATATTCCCGTTTCCAAAGACATCTTTGGCGAGGTCCACATATCCACTTGCAGATTCCACAAAAACAGAGTTTCAACACTGCTCTATCCATAGGAGGGTTCAACTCTTTGAGATGAATGCAATCATCACAGAGAAGTTTCTGAGAAGGCTTCTCTCCAGTTTTTATGTGACCATAATTCGTTTTCCACCACAGGCCTGAAAGCGCTCCAAATGTCCACTTGCAGACACTACGAAAAGCATGTTTCAGAACTACTCTATGAAAAGCAACGTGAAACTCTGGGAGTTGAACACAAACATCACAGAGAAGTTTCTGAGAATGCTTCTGTTTAGCTTTTCTGTGAAGATTCTCCCGTTTCCAACGAAATCTTCAAAGAGGTCGAAATATCCACTTGCAGATTCCACAGAAAGAGTGATTGGAAACTGCTCTTTGAAAAGGAACCTTCAACTCTGTGAGTTGAATGCAATCATCACAAAGAAGTTTCTGACAATGCTTCTATCTAGCTTTTACGGGAAGATAATTCCTTTTCCACCACAGGCCTCAAAGCTCCCCAAATGTCCACTTGCACATTCTGGAAAAAGAGTGTTTCAAAGCTTCTCTCTCGAAAGGAAAGTTCAACTCTGTGAGTTGAATGCAAGCATCACAAAGAAGTTTCTGAGAATGCTACTGTCTAGCTTTTATATGAAGCTATTTCCTTTACTACCATAGGCCTCAAAGCGGTCCATATCTCCACTTGCAGATTCTACACAAACAGAGTTTCCAAACTGCTCTGTCAAAGGGAATGTTCAACTCTGTGACTTGAATGCAATCATAACAAAGTAGTTTCTGAGAATGCTTCTGTTTTAGTTCTGTGCGTTTTATCCCGTTTCCAACGAAATCCTCAGAGAGGCCCAAATATCCACTTGCAGATTCTACAAATAGTGTGTTTCGAAACTGCTCCATCCAAAGGAATGTTCAGCTCTGTGAGTTAAACTCAGTCGTCACCAAGAGTTTTCTGTGAATGCTTCTGTTTTAGTTCTGTGCGTTTTATCCCGTTTCCAACGAAATCCTCAGAGAGGAACAAATATCCACTTGCAGTTTCTACAAAAAGAGTGTTTCAAAGCTGCACTATCAAAGAAAGGTTCAGCACTGTGAGTTGAATGCAAACACCACGAAGAGGGCTCTGAGAATTCTTCTGTTTAGTTCTGTGCGGTTTATCCCGTTTCCAACGAAATCCTCAGAGAGGACCAAATATCCACTTGCAGTTTCTACAAGAAGAGTGTTTCAAAGCTGAACTATCAAAGAAAGGTTCAGCACTGTGAGTTGAATGCAAACATCACGAAGAGGGTTCTGAGAATGCTTCTGTCTTCTTTCTATAGGAAGTTATTTCCTTTACTACGGTAGGCCTCAAAGAAGTGCAATTATCCCCTTGCAGTTTCTACAAAAAGAGTGTTTCAAACCTGAACTATCAAAGAAAGGTTCCACACTGTGAGTTGAATGCAGACATCACGAAGAAGGTTCTGAGAATGCTTCTGTTTAGTCAGCTGAAATTATCCCGTTTCCAACGAATTCCTCAGAGAGGTCCAAATATGCACTTGCAGATTCTGCAGAAAGTGTGTTTCTAAACTGCTACATCGCAAGGAATGTTCAGCTCTGTGAGTTCCACTCAATCATCCCAAAGAATTTTCTGAGAAAGCTTCTGTCTAGATGTCGTGTGAAGATATACCCGTTTCGAACGAAGGACACAGAGTGGTCCAAATATCCACTTGTAGATCCTGCAAAAAGAGTGTTTCAAACGTGAACTTTGAAAGGAAAGTTCAACTCTGGGATTTGAATGCAAACATCACAAAGAAGATTCTGAGACTGCTTCTGTATAGTTTTTATGTGAAGATGATTCCGTTTCCAACGAAATCTTCAAAGAGGTCTACATGTCCCCTTGCAGATGCCACAGAAAGAGAGTTTCAAAACTGCGCTCTCAAAAGGAGTGTTCAACTCCGTGAGTTGAATGCAGTCATCACAGAGAAGCTTCTGAGAATGCTTCTATCTAGTATTTAGGTGAAGATATTTCATTTTCCACCACAAACCACAAAGCCCTCCAAACGTCCACTTGCAGATTCTAGAAAAAGAGTGTTTCATAGCTGCTCTTTCCAAAGGAAAGTTCAACTCTGGGAGTTGAATACAAACATCACCAAAAAGTTCCTGAGAATGCATCTGTCTAGTTTTTCTATGAAGCTATTCCCTTTACTACCATAGGCCTCAAAGCGCTCCAAATCTCCACTTGCACATTCCACAAGAAGAGTGTTTCCAAACTGCTCTATCAATAGGAATGTTCAACTCTGTGAGGTGAATGCAATCATCACAAAGCAGTTTACTGAGAATGCTTCCGTTTAGTTAGGTGCAGTTATCGCGTTTCCAACGAAATCCTCAGAGAGGTCCAAATATCCACTTGCAGATTCTACAAAAAGTGTGTCTCAAACCTGCTCCATCCAAAGGAATGTTCAGCTCTGTGAGTTAAACTCAATCATCACAAAGTATTTTCTGAGAATGCTTCTGTCTAGATTTTATGTGAAGATGTACCCGTTTCGAACGAAGGCCACAGAGTGGTCCAAATATCCACTTGCAGATCCTACAAAAAGAGTGTTTCAAACCTGAACTATCACAGGAAGGTTCAACTCTGGGATTTGAATGCAAACATCACCAAGAAGTTTCTGAGAATGCTTCTGTTTAGTTTTTATGTGAAGATATTCCCGTTTCCAAAGACATCTTCGGAGAGGTCAACATATCCACTTGCAGATTCCACAAAAAGAGAGTTTCAAGAATGCTCTATCCATAGGAGGGTTCAAATCTGTGAGTTGAATGCAATCATCACAGAGAAGTTTCTGAGAAGGCTTCTCTCCAGTTTTTATGTGACCATAATTCGATTTCCACCACAGGCCTGAAAGCGCTCCAAATGTCCACTTGCAGACACTACGAAAAGCATGTTTCAGAACTACTCTATGAAAAGCAATGTGAAACTCTGGGAGTTGAACACAAACATCACAGAGAAGTTTCTGAGAATGCTTCTGTTTAGCTTTTCTGTGAAGATTCTCCCGTTTCCAACGAAATCTTCAAAGAGGTCCAAATATCCACTTGCAGATTCCACAGAAAGAGTGTTTGGAAACTGCTGTTTGTAAAGGAACCTTCATCTCTGTGAGTTGAATGCAATCATCACAAAGAAGTTTCTGACAATGCTTCTATCTAGCTTTTACGGGAAGTTAATTCCTTTTCCACCACAGGCCTCAAAGCCCTCCAAATGTCCACATGCAGATTCTGGAAAAAGAGTGTTTCAAAGCTTCTCTCTCGAAAGGAAAGTTCAACTCTGTGAGTTGAATGCAAGCATCACAAAGAAGTTTCTGAGAATGCTACTGTCTAGCTTTCATATGAAGCTATTACCTTTACTACCATAGGCCTCAAAGCGGTCCATATCTCCACTTGCAGATTCTACACAAAGAGAGTTTCCAAACTGCTCTGTCAAAGGGAATGTTCAACTCTGTGACTTGAATGCAATCGTCACAAAGTAGTTTCTGAGAATGCTTCTGTTTAGTTCTGTGCGGTTTATCCCGTTTCCAACGAAATCCTCAGAGAGGCCCAAATATCCACTTGCACATTCTACAAATAGTGTGTTTCGAAACTGCTCCATCCAAAGGAATGTTCAGCTCTGTGAGTTAAACTCAGTCGTCACCAAGAGTTTTCTGTGAATGCTTCTGTTTTAGTTCTGTGCGGGTTATCCCGTTTCCAACGAAATCCTCAGAGAGGTCCAAATATCTACTTGCAGTTTCTACAGAAAGACCGTTTCAAACCTGAACTATCAAAGAAAGGTTCAACACTGTGAGTTGAATGCAAACATCACGAAGAAGGTTCTGAGAATGCTTCTGTTTAGTTCTGTGCAGTTTATCCCGTTTCCAACGAAATCCTCAGAGAGGACCAAATATCCACTTGCAGTTTCTACAAGAAGAGTGTTTCAAAGCTGAACTATCAAAGAAAGGTTCAGCACTGTGAGTTGAATGCAAACATCACGAAGAGGGTTCTGAGAATGCTTCTGTCTTCTTTCTATAAGAAGTTATTTCCTTTACTACGGTAGGCCTCAAAGAAGTGCAATTATCCCCTTGCAGTTTCTACAAAAAGAGTGTTTCAAACCTGAACTATCAAAGAAAGGTTCCACACTGTGAGTTGAATGCAGACATCACGAAGAAGGTTCTGAGAATGCTTCTGTTTAGTCAGCTGAAATTATCCCGTTTCCAACGAATTCCTCAGAGAGGTCCAAATATGCACTTGCAGATTCTGCAGAAAGTGTGTTTCTAAACTGCTACATCGCAAGGAATGTTCAGCTCTGTGAGTTCCACTCAATCATCCCAAAGAATTTTCTGAGAAAGCTTCTGTCTAGATGTCGTGTGAAGATATACCCGTTTCGAACGAAGGACACAGAGTGGTCCAAATATCCACTTGTAGATCCTGCAAAAAGAGTGTTTCAAACGTGAACTTTGAAAGGAAAGTTCAACTCTGGGATTTGAATGCAAACATCACAAAGAAGATTCTGAGACTGCTTCTGTATAGTTTTTATGTGAAGATGATTCCGTTTCCAACGAAATCTTCAAAGAGGTCTACATGTCCCCTTGCAGATGCCACAGAAAGAGAGTTTCAAAACTGCGCTCTCAAAAGGAGTGTTCAACTCCGTGAGTTGAATGCAGTCATCACAGAGAAGCTTCTGAGAATGCTTCTATCTAGTATTTAGGTGAAGATATTTCCTTTTCCACCACAAACCACAAAGCCCTCCAAACGTCCACTTGCAGATTCTAGAAAAAGAGTGTTTCATAGCTGCTCTTTCCAAAGGAAAGTTCAACTCTGGGAGTTGAATACAAACATCACCAAAAAGTTCCTGAGAATGCATCTGTCTAGTTTTTCTATGAAGCTATTCCCTTTACTACCATAGGCCTCAAAGCGCTCCAAATCTCCACTTGCACATTCCACAACAAGAGTGTTTCCAAACTGCTCTATCAATAGGAATGTTCAACTCTGTGAGGTGAATGCAATCATCACAAAGCAGTTTCTGAGAATGCTTCCGTTTAGTTAGGTGCAGTTATCCCGTTTCCAACAAAATCCTCAGAGAGGTCCAAATATCCACTTGTAGATTCTACAAAAAGTGTGTCTCAAACCTGCTCCATCCAAAGGAATGGTCAGCTCTGTGATTTAAACTCAATCATCACAAAGTATTTTCTGAGAATGCTTCTGTCTAGATTTTATGCGAAGATGTACCCGTTTCGAACGAAGGCCACAGAGTGGTCCAAATATCCACTTGCAGATCCTACAAAAAGAGTGTTTCAAACTTGAAGTATCAAAGGAAGGATCAACTCTGCGATGTGAATGCAAACATCACCAAGAAGTTTCTGAGAATGCTTCTGTTTAGTTTTTATGTGAAGATATTCCCGTTTCCAAAGACATCTTCGGAGAGGTCCACATATCCACTTGCAGATTCCACAAAAAGAGAGTTTCAACACTGCTCTATCCATAGGAGGGTTCAACTCTGTGAGTTGAATGCAATCATCACAGAGAAGTTTCTGAGAAGGCTTCTCTCCAGTTTTTATGTGACCATAATTCGTTTTCCACCACAGGCCTGAAAGCGCTCCAAATGTCCACTTGCAGACACTACGAAAAGCATGTTTCAGAACTACTCTATGAAAAGCAACGTGAAACTCTGGGAGTTGAACACAAACATCACAGAGAAGTTTCTGAGAATGCTTCTGTTTTAGTTCTGTGCGTTTTATCCCGTTTCCAACGAAATCCTCAGAGAGGCCCAAATATCCACTTGCAGATTCCACAGAAAGAGTGATTGGAAACTGCTGTTTGAAAAGGAACCTTCAACTCTGTGAGTTGAATGCAATCATCACAAAGAAGTTTCTGACAATGCTTCTGTTTTAGTTCTGTGCGTTTTATCCCGTTTCCAACGAAATCCTCAGAGAGGACCAAACATCCACTTGCAGTTTCTACAAAAAGAGTGTTTCAAAGCTGCACTATCAAAGAAAGGTTCAGCACTGTGAGTTGAATGCAAACATCACGAAGAGGGCTCTGAGAATTCTTCTGTTTAGTTCTGTGCGGTTTATCCCGTTTCCAACGAAATCCTCAGAGAGGACCAAATATCCACTTGCAGTTTCTACAAGAAGAGTGTTTCAAAGCTGAACTATCAAAGAAAGGTTCAGCACTGTGAGTTGAATGCAAACATCACGAAGAGGGTTCTGAGAATGCTTCTGTCTTCTTTCTATAGGAAGTTATTTCCTTTACTACAGTAGGCCTCAAAGAAGTGCAATTATCCCCTTGCAGTTTCTACAAAAAGAGTGTTTCAAACCTGAACTATCAAAGAAAGGTTCCACACTGTGAGTTGAATGCAGACATCACGAAGAAGGTTCTGAGAATGCTTCTGTTTAGTCAGCTGAAATTATCCCGTTTCCAACGAATTCCTCAGAGAGGTCCAAATATGCACTTGCAGATTCTGCAGAAAGTGTGTTTCTAAACTGCTCCATCGCAAGGAATGTTCAGCTCTGTGAGTTCCACTCAATCATCCCAAAGAATTTTCTGAGAAAGCTTCTGTCTAGATGTCATGTGAAGATATACCCGTTTCGAACGAAGGACACAGAGTGGTCCAAATATCCACTTGTAGATCCTGCAAAAAGAGTGTTTCAAACGTGAACTTTGAAAGGAAAGTTCAACTCTGGGATTTGAATGCAAACATCACAAAGAAGATTCTGAGACTGCTTCTGTATAGTTTTTATGTGAAGATGATTCCGTTTCCAACGAAATCTTCAAAGAGGTCTACATGTCCCCTTGCAGATGCCACAGAAAGAGAGTTTCAAAACTGCGCTCTCAAAAGGAGTGTTCAACTCCGTGAGTTGAATGCAGTCATCACAGAGAAGCTTCTGAGAATGCTTCTATCTAGTATTTAGGTGAAGATATTTCCTTTTCCACCACAAACCACAAAGCCCTCCAAACGTCCACTTGCAGATTCTAGAAAAAGAGTGTTTCATAGTTGCTCTTTCCAAAGGAAAGTTCAACTCTGGGAGTTGAATACAAACATCACCAAAAAGTTCCTGAGAATGCATCTGTCTAGTTTTTCTATGAAGCTATTCCCTTTACTACCATAGGCCTCAAAGCGCTCCAAATCTCCACTTGCACATTCCACAACAAGAGTGTTTCCAAACTGCTCTATCAATAGGAATGTTCAACTCTGTGAGGTGAATGCAATCATCACAAAGCAGTTTCTGAGAATGCTTCCGTTTAGTTAGGTGCAGTTATCGCGTTTCCAACGAAATCCTCAGAGAGGTCCAAATATCCACTTGTAGATTCTACAAAAAGTGTGTCTCAAACCTGCTCCATCCAAAGGAATGTTCAGCTCTGTGAGTTAAACTCAATCATCACAAAGTATTTTCTGAGAATGCTTCTGTCTAGATTTTATGCGAAGATATACCCGTTTCGAACGAAGGCCACAGAGTGGTCCAAATATCCACTTGCAGATCCTACAAAAAGAGTGTTTCAAACCTGAACTATCAAAGGAAGGTTCAACTCTGGGATTTGAATGCAAACATCACCAAGAAGTTTCTGAGAATGCTTCTGTTTAGTTTTTATGTGAAGATATTCCCGTTTCCAAAGACATCTTCGGAGAGGTCCACATATCCACTTGCAGATTCCACAAAAAGAGAGTTTCAACACTGCTCTATCCATAGGAGGGTTCAACTCTGTGAGTTGAATGCAATCATCACAGAGAAGTTTCTGAGAAGGCTTCTCTCCAGTTTTTATGTGACCATAATTCGTTTTCCACCACAGGCCTGAAAGCGCTCCAAATGTCCACTTGTAGACACTACGAAAAGCATGTTTCAGAACTACTCTATGAAAAGCAATGTGAAACTCTGGGAGTTGAACACAAACATCACAGAGAAGTTTCTGAGAATGCTTCTGTTTAGCTTTCCTGTGAAGATTCTCCCGTTTCCAACGAAATCTTCAAAATAGGTCCAAATATCCACTTGCAGATTCCACACAAAGAGTGATTGGAAACTGCTCTTTGAAAAGGAACCTTCATCTCTGTGAGTTGAATGCAATCATCACAAAGAAGTTTCTGACAATGCTTCTATCTAGCTTTTACGGGAAGATAATTCCTTTTCCACCACAGGCCTCAAAGCCCTCCAAATGTCCACTTGCAGATTCTGGAAAAAGAGTGTTTCAAAGCTTCTCTCTCGAAAGGAAAGTTCAACTCTGTGAGTTGAATGCAAGCATCACAAAGAAGTTTCTGAGAATGCTACTGTCTAGCTTTTATATGAAGCTATTTCCTTTACTACCATAGGCCTCAAAGCGGTCCATATCTCCACTTGCAGATTCTACACAAAGAGAGTTTCCAAACTGCTCTGTCAAAGGGAATGTTCAACTCTGTGACTTGAATGCAATCATCACAAAGTAGTTTCTGAGAATGCTTCTGTTTTAGTTCTGTGCGTTTTATCCCGTTTCCAACGAAATCCTCAGAGAGGCCCAAATATCCAGTTGCACATTCTACAAATAGTGTGTTTCGAAACTGCTCCATCCAAAGGAATGTTCAGCTCTGTGAGTTAAACTCAGTCGTCACCAAGAGTTTTCTGTGAATGCTTCTGTTTAGTTCTGTGCAGTTTATCCCGTTTCCAACGAAATCCTCAGAGAGGACCAAATATCCACTTGCAGTTTCTACAAAAAGAGTGTTTCAAAGCTGAACTATCAAAGAAAGGTTCAACACTGTGAGTTGAATGCAAACATCACGAAGAAGGTTCTGAGAATGCTTCTGTCTTCTTTTTAGAGGAAGTTATTTCCTTTACTACGGTACTCCTCAAAGAGTGCAATTATCCCCTTGCAGTTTCTACAAAAAGAGTGTTTCAAACCTGAACTATCAAAGAAAGGTTCCACACTGTGAGTTGAATGCAGACATCACGAAGAAGGTTCTGAGAATGCTTCTGTTTAGTCAGCTGAAATTATCCCGTTTCCAACGAATTCCTCACAGAGGTCCAAATATGCACTTGCAGATTCTGCAGAAAGTGTGTTTCTAAACTGCTACATCGCAAGGAATGCTCAGCTCTGTGAGTTCAACTCAATCATCCCAAAGAATTTTCTGAGAAAGCTTCTGTCTAGATGTCATGTGAAGATATACCCGTTTCGAACGAAGGACACAGAGTGGTCCAAATATCCACTTGTAGATCCTGCAAAAAGAGTGTTTCTAACGTGAACTTTGAAAGGAAAGTTCAACTCTGGGATTTGAATGCAAACATCACAAAGAAGATTCTGAGACTGCTTCTGTATAGTTTTTATGTGAAGATGATTCCGTTTCCAACGAAATCTTCAAAGAGGTCTACATGTCCCCTTGCGGATGCCACAGAAGGAGAGTTTCAAAACTGCGCTCTCAAAAGGAGTGTTCAACTCCGTGAGTTGAATGCAGTCATCACAGAGAAGCTTCTGAGAATGCTTCTATCTAGTATTTAGGTGAAGATATTTCCTTTTCCACCACAAACCACAAAGCCCTCCAAACGTCCACTTGCAGATTCTAGAAAAAGAGTGTTTCATAGCTGCTCTTTCCAAAGGAAAGTTCAACTCTGGGAGTTGAATACAAACATCACCAAAAAGTTCCTGAGAATGCATCTGTCTAGTTTTTCTATGAAGCTATTCCCTTTACTACCATAGGCCTCAAAGCGCTCCAAATCTCCACTTGCACATTCCACAACAAGAGTGTTTCCAAACTGCTCTATCAATAGGAATGTTCAACTCTGTGAGGTGAATGCAATCATCACAAAGCAGTTTCTGAGAATGCTTCCGTTTAGTTAGGTGCAGTTATCCCGTTTCCAACGAAATCCTCAGAGAGGTCCAAATATCCACTTGTAGATTCTACAAAAAGTGTGTCTCAAACCTGCTCCATCCAAAGGAATGGTCAGCTCTGTGATTTAAACTCAATCATCACAAAGTATTTTCTGAGAATGCTTCTGTCTAGATTTTATGCGAAGATATACCCGTTTCGAACGAAGGCCACAGAGTGGTCCAAATAGCCACTTGCAGATCCTACAGAAAGAGTGTTTCAAACCTGAACTATCAAAGGAAGGTTCAACTCTGGGATTTGAATGCAAACATCACCAAGAAGTTTCTGAGAATGCTTCTGTTTAGTTTTTATGTGAAGATATTCCCGTTTCCAAAGACATCTTCGGAGAGGTCCACATATCCACTTGCAGATTCCACAAAAAGAGAGTTTCAACACTGCTCTATCCATAGGAGGGTTCAACTCTGTGAGCTGAATGCAATCATCACAGAGAAGTTTCTGAGAAGGCTTCTCTCCAGTTTTTATGTGACCATAATTCGTTTTCCACCACAGGCCTGAAAGCGCTCCAAATGTCCACTTGCAGACACTACGAAAAGCATGTTTCAGAACTACTCTATGAAAAGCAACGTGAAACTCTGGGAGTTGAACACAAACATCACAGAGAAGTTTCTGAGAATGCTTCTGTTTAGCTTTTCTGTGAAGATTCTCCCGTTTCCAACGAAATCTTCAAAATAGGTCCAAATATCCACTTGCAGATTCCACACAAAGAGTGATTGGAAACTGCTCTTTGAAAAGGAACCTTCAACTCTGTGAGTTGAATGCAATCATCACAAAGAAGTTTCTGACAATGCTTCTATCTAGCTTTTACGGGAAGATAATTCCTTTTCCACCACAGGCCTCAAAGCCCTCCAAATGTCCACTTGCAGATTCTGGAAAAAGAGTGTTTCAAAGCTTCTCTCTCGAAAGGAAAGTTCAACTCTGTGAGTTGAATGCAAGCATCACAAAGAAGTTTCTGAGAATGCTACTGTCTAGCTTTTATATGAAGCTATTTCCTTTACTACCATAGGCCTCAAAGCGGTCCGTATCTCCACTTGCAGATTCTACACAAAGAGAGTTTCCAAACTGCTCTGTCAAAGGGAATGTTCAACTCTGTGACTTGAATGCAATCATCACAAAGTAGTTTCTGAGAATGCTTCTGTTTAGTTCTGTGCGGTTTATCCCGTTTCCAACGAAATCCTCAGAGAGGCCTAAATATCCACTTGCACATTCTACAAATAGTGTGTTTCGAAACTGCTCCATCCAAAGGAATGTTCAGCTCTGTGAGTTAAACTCAGTCGTCACCAAGAGTTTTCTGTGAATGCTTCTGTTTAGTTCTGTGCGGTTTATCCCGTTTCCAACGAAATCCTCAGAGAGGTCCAAATATCTACTTGCAGTTTCTACAGAAAAACCGTTTCAAACCTGAACTATCAAAGAAAGGTTCAACACTGTGAGTTGAATGCAAACATCACGAAGAGGGTTCTGAGAATGCTCTGTTTTAGTTCTGTGCGGTTTATCCCGTTTCCAACGAAATCCTCAGAGAGGACCAAACATCCACTTGCAGTTTCTACAAAAAGAGTGTTTCAAAGCTGCACTATCAAAGAAAGGTTCAGCACTGTGAGTTGAATGCAAACATCACGAAGAGGGCTCTGAGAATTCTTTCTGTTTAGTTCTGTGCGGTTTATCCCGTTTCCAACGAAATCCTCAGAGAGGACCAAATATCCACTTGCAGTTTCTACAAGAAGAGTGTTTCAAAGCTGAACTATCAAAGAAAGGTTCAGCACTGTGAGTTGAATGCAAACATCACGAAGAGGGTTCTGAGAATGCTTCTGTCTTCTTTCTATAGGAAGTTATTTCCTTTACTACGGTAGGCCTCAAAGAAGTGCAATTATCCCCTTGCAGTTTCTACAAAAAGAGTGTTTCAAACCTGAACTATCAAAGAAAGGTTCCACACTGTGAGTTGAATGCAGACATCACGAAGAAGGTTCTGAGAATGCTTCTGTTTAGTCAGCTGAAATTATCCCGTTTCCAACGAATTCCTCAGAGAGGTCCAAATATGCACTTGCAGATTCTGCAGAAAGTGTGTTTCTAAACTGCTACATCGCAAGGAATGTTCAGCTCTGTGAGTTCCACTCAATCATCCCAAAGAATTTTCTGAGAAAGCTTCTGTCTAGATGTCATGTGAAGATATACCCGTTTCGAACGAAGGACACAGAGTGGTCCAAATATCCACTTGTAGATCCTGCAAAAAGAGTGTTTCAAACGTGAACTTTGAAAGGAAAGTTCAACTCTGGGATTTGAATGCAAACATCACAAAGAAGATTCTGAGACTGCTTCTGTATAGTTTTGATGTGAAGATGATTCCGTTTCCAACGAAATCTTCAAAGAGGTCTACATGTCCCCTTGCAGATGCCACAGAAAGAGAGTTTCAAAACTGCGCTCTCAAAAGGAGTGTTCAACTCCGTGAGTTGAATGCAGTCATCACAGAGAAGCTTCTGAGAATGCTTCTATCTAGTATTTAGGTGAAGATATTTCCTTTTCCACCACAAACCACAAAGCCCTCCAAACGTCCACTTGCAGATTCTAGAAAAAGAGTGTTTCATAGCTGCTCTTTCCAAAGGAAAGTTCAACTCTGGGAGTTGAATGCAAACATCACCAAAAAGTTCCTGAGAATGCATCTGTCTAGTTTTTCTATGAAGCTATTCCCTTTACTACCATAGGCCTCAAAGCGCTCCAAATCTCCACTTGCACATTCCACAACAAGGGTGTTTCCAAACTGCTCTATCAATAGGAATGGTCAACTCTGTGAGGTGAATGCAATCATCACAAAGCAATTTCTGAGAATGCTTCCGTTTAGTTAGGTGCAGTTATCCCGTTTCCAACGAAATCCTCAGAGAGGTCCAAATATCCACTTGTAGATTCTACAAAAAGTGTGTCTCAAACCTGCTCCATCCAAAGGAATGGTCAGCTCTGTGATTTAAACTCAATCATCACAAAGTATTTTCTGAGAATGCTTCTGTCTAGATTTTATGCGAAGATATACCCGTTTCGAACGAAGGCCACAGAGTGGTCCAAATAGCCACTTGCAGATCCTACAGAAAGAGTGTTTCAAACCTGAACTATCAAAGGAAGGTTCAACTCTGGGATTTGAATGCAAACATCACCAAGAAGTTTCTGAGAATGCTTCTGTTTAGTTTTTATGTGAAGATATTCCCGTTTCCAAAGACATCTTCGGAGAGGTCCACATATCCGCTTGCAGATTCCACAAAAAGAGAGTTTCAACACTGCTCTATCCATAGGAGGGTTCAACTCTGTGAGTTGAATGCAATCGTCACAGAGAAGTTTCTGAGAATGCTTCTCTCCAGTTTTTATGTGACCATAATTCGTTTTCCACCACAGGCCTGAAAGCGCTCCAAATGTCCACTTGCAGACACTACGAAAAGCATGTTTCAGAACTACTCTATGAGAAGCAATGTGAAACTCTGGGAGTTGAACACAAACATCACAGAGAAGTTTCTGAGAATGCTTCTGTTTAGCTTTTCTGTGAAGATTCTCCCGTTTCCAACGAAATCTTCAAAGAGGTCCAAATATCCACTTGCAGATTCCACAGAAAGAGTGATTGGAAACTGCTCTTTGAAAAGGAACCTTCAACTCTGTGACTTGAATGCAATCATCACAAAGAAGTTTCTGACAATGCTTCTATCTAGCTTTTACGGGAAGATAATTCCTTTTCCACCACAGGCCTCAAAGCCCTCCAAATGTCCACTTGCAGATTCTGGAAAAAGACTGTTTCAAAGCTTCTCTCTCGAAAGGAAAGTTCAACTCTGTGAGTTGAATGCAAGCATCACAAAGAAGTTTCTGAGAATGCTACTGTCTAGCTTTTATATGAAGCTCTTTCCTTTACTACCATAGGCCTCAAAGCGGTCCATATCTCCACTTGCAGATTCTACACAAAGAGAGTTTCCAAACTGCTCTGTCATAGGGAATGTTCAACTCTGTGACTTGAATGCAATCATCACAAAGTAGTTTCTGAGAATGCTTCTCTTTAGTTCTGTGCGGTTTATCGCGTTTCCAACGAAATCCTCAGAGAGGCCCAAATATCCACTTGCACATTCTACAAATAGTGTGTTTCGAAACTGCTCCATCCAAAGGAATGTTCAGCTCTGTGAGTTAAACTCAGTCGTCACCAAGAGTTTTCTGTGAATGCTTCTGTTTTAGTTCTGTGCGGTTTATCCCGTTTCCAACGAAATCCTCAGAGAGGTCCAAATATCTACTTGCAGTTTCTACAGAAAGACCGTTTCCAACCTGAACTATCAAAGAAAGGTTCAACACTGTGAGTTGAATGCAATCATCACGAAGAAGATTCTGAGAATGCTTCTGTTTAGTTCTGTGCGGTTTATCCCGTTTCCAACGAAATCCTCAGAGAGGACCAAATATCCACTTGCAGTTTCTACAAGAAGAGTGTTTCAAAGCAGAACTATCAAAGAAAGGTTCAGCACTGTGAGTTGAATGCAAACATCACGAAGAGGGTTCTGAGAATGCTTCTGTCTTCTTTCTATAGGAAGTTATTTCCTTTACTACGGTAGGCCTCAAAGAAGTGCAATTATCCCCTTGCAGTTTCTACAAAAAGAGTGTTTCAAACCTGAACTATCAAAGAAAGGTTCCACACTGTGAGTTGAATGCAGACATCACGAAGAAGGTTCTGAGAATGCTTCTGTTTAGTCAGCTGAAATTATCCCGTTTCCAACGAATTCCTCAGAGAGGTCCAAATATGCACTTGCAGATTCTGCAGAAAGTGTGTTTCTAAACTGCTACATCGCAAGGAATGTTCAGCTCTGTGAGTTCCACTCAATCATCCCAAAGAATTTTGCTGAGAAAGCTTCTGTCTAGATGTCGTGTGAAGATATACCCGTTTCGTACGAAGGACACAGAGTGGTCCAAATATCCACTTGTAGATCCTGCAAAAAGAGTGTTTCAAACGTGAACTTCGAAAGGAAAGTTCAACTCTGGGATTTGAATGCAAACATCACAAAGAAGATTCTGAGACTGCTTCTGTATAGTTTTTATGTGAAGATGATTCCGTTTCCAACGAAATCTTCAAAGAGGTCTACATGTCCCCTTGCAGATGCCACAGAAAGAGAGTTTCAAAACTGCGCTCTCAAAAGGAGTGTTCAACTCCGTGAGTTGAATGCAGTCATCACAGAGAAGCTTCTGAGAATGCTTCTATCTAGTATTTAGGTGAAGATATTTCCTTTTCCACCACAAACCACAAAGCCCTCCAAACGTCCACTTGCAGATTCTAGAAAAAGAGTGTTTCATAGCTGCTCTTTCCAAAGGAAAGTTCAACTCTGGGAGTTGAATACAAACATCACCAAAAAGTTCCTGAGAATGCATCTGTCTAGTTTTTCTATGAAGCTATTCCCTTTACTACCATAGGCCTCAAAGCGCTCCAAATCTCCACTTGCACATTCCACAACAAGAGTGTTTCCAAACTGCTCTATCAATAGGAATGTTCAGCTCTGTGAGGTGAATGCAATCATCACAAAGCAGTTTCTGAGAATGCTTCCGTTTAGTTAGGTGCAGTTATCCCGTTTCCAACGAAATCCTCAGAGAGGTCCAAATATCCACTTGTAGATTCTACAAAAAGTGTGTCTCAAACCTGCTCCATCCAAAGGAATGGTCAGCTCTGTGATTTAAACTCAATCATCACAAAGTATTTTCTGAGAATGCTTCTGTCTAGATTTTATGCGAAGATATACCCGTTTCGAACGAAGGCCACAGAGTGGTCCAAATAGCCACTTGCAGATCCTACAAAAAGAGTGTTTCAAACCTGAACTATCAAAGGAAGGTTCAACTCTGGGATTTGAATGCAAACATCACCAAGAAGTTTCTGAGAATGCTTCTGTTTAGTTTTTATGTGAAGATATTCCCGTTTCCAAAGACATCTTCGGAGAGGTCCACATATCCACTTGCAGATTACACAAAAAGAGAGTTTCAACACTGCTCTATCCATAGGAGGGTTCAACTCTGTGAGTTGAATGCAATCATCACAGAGAAGTTTCTGAGAAGGCTTCTCTCCAGTTTTTATGTGACCATAATTCGTTTTCCACCACAGGCCTGAAAGCGCTCCAAATGTCCACTTGCAGACACTACGAAAAGCATGTTTCAGAACTACTCTATGAGAAGCAATATGAAACTCTGGGAGTTGAACACAAACATCACAGAGAAGTTTCTGAGAATGCTTCTGTTTAGCTTTTCTGTGAAGATTCTCCCGTTTCCAACGAAATCTTCAAAGAGGTCCAAATATCCACTTGCAGATTCCACAGAAAGAGTGTTTGGAAACTGCTGTTTGTAAAGGAACCTTCATCTCTGTGAGTTGAATGCAATCATCACAAAGAAGTTTCTGACAATGCTTCTATCTAGCTTTTACGGGAAGTTAATTCCTTTTCCACCACAGGCCTCAAAGCCCTCCAAATGTCCACTTGCAGATTCTGGAAAAAGAGTGTTTCAAAGCTTCTCTCTCGAAAGGAAAGTTCAACTCTGTGAGTTGAATGCAAGCATCACAAAGAAGTTTCTGAGAATGCTTACTGTCTAGCTTTTATATGAAGCTATTTCCTTTACTACCATAGGCCTCAAAGCGGTCCATATCTCCACTTGCAGATTCTACACAAAGAGAGTTTCCAAACTGCTCTGTCAAAGGGAATGTTCAACTCTGTGACTTGAATGCAATCATCACAAAGTAGTTTCTGAGAATGCTTCTGTTTAGTTCTGTGCGGTTTATCCCGTTTCCAACGAAATCCTCAGAGAGGCCCAAATATCCACTTGCACATTCTACAAATAGTGTGTTTCGAAACTGCTCCATCCAAAGGAATGTTCAGCTCTGTGAGTTAAACTCAGTCGTCACCAAGAGTTTTCTGTGAATGCTTCTGTTTTAGTTCTGTGCGGTTTATCCCGTTTCCAACGAAATCCTCAGAGAGGTCCAAATATCTACTTGCAGTTTCTACAGAAAGACCGTTTCCAACCTGAACTATCAAAGAAAGGTTCAACACTGTGAGTTGAATGCAAACATCACGAAGAAGGTTCTGAGAATGCTTCTGTTTAGTTCTGTGCGGTTTATCCCGTTTCCAACGAAATCCTCAGAGAGGACCAAATATCCACTTGCAGTTTCTACAAGAAGAGTGTTTCAAAGCTGAACTATCAAAGAAAGGTTCAGCACTGTGAGTTGAATGCAAACATCACGAAGAGGGTTCTGAGAATGCTTCTGTCTTCTTTCTATAGGAAGTTATTTCCTTTACTATGGTAGGCCTCAAAGAAGTGCAATTATCCCCTTGCAGTTTCTACAAAAAGATTGTTTCAAACCTGAACTATCAAAGAAAGGTTCCACACTGTGAGTTGAATGCAGACATCACGAAGAAGGTTCTGAGAATGCTTCTGTTTAGTCAGCTGAAATTATCCGGTTTCCAACGAATTCCTCAGAGAGGTCCACATATGCACTTGCAGATTCTGCAGAAAGTGTGTTTCTAAACTGCTACATCGCAAGGAGTGTTCAGCTCTGTTTGCTCAACTCAATCATCCCAAAGAATTTTCTGAGAAAGCTTCTGTCTAGATGTCATGTGAAGATATACCCGTTTCGAACGAAGGACACAGAGTGGTCCAAATATCCACTTGTAGATCCTGCAAAAAGAGTGTTTCAAACGTGAACTTTGAAAGGAAAGTTCAACTCTGGGATTTGAATGCAAACATCACAAAGAAGATTCTGAGACTGCTTCTGTATAGTTTTTATGTGAAGATGATTCCGTTTCCAACGAAATCTTCAAAGAGGTCTACATGTCCCCTTGCAGATGCCACAGAAAGAGAGTTTCAAAACTGCGCTCTCAAAAGGAGTGTTCAACTCCGTGAGTTGAATGCAGTCATCACAGAGAAGCTTCTGAGAATGCTTCTATCTAGTATTTAGGTGAAGATATTTCCTTTTCCACCACAAACCACAAAGCCCTCCAAACGTCCACTTGCAGATTCTAGAAAAAGAGTGTTTCATAGCTGCTCTTTCCAAAGGAAAGTTCAACTCTGGGAGTTGAATACAAACATCACCAAAAAGTTCCTGAGAATGCATCTGTCTAGTTTTTCTATGAAGCTATTCCCTTTACTACCATAGGCCTCAAAGCGCTCCAAATCTCCACTTGCACATTCCACAACAAGAGTGTTTCCAAACTGCTCTATCAATAGGAATGTTCAACTCTGTGAGGTGAATGCAATCATCACAAAGCAGTTTCTGAGAATGCTTCCGTTTAGTTAGGTGCAGTTATCCCGTTTCCAACGAAATCCTCAGAGAGGTCCAAATATCCACTTGTAGATTCTACAAAAAGTGTGTCTCAAACCTGCTCCATCCAAAGGAATGGTCAGCTCTGTGATTTAAACTCAATCATCACAAAGTATTTTCTGAGAATGCTTCTGTCTAGATTTTATGCGAAGATATACCCGTTTCGAACGAAGGCCACAGAGTGGTCCAAATAGCCACTTGCAGATCCTACAGAAAGAGTGTTTCAAACCTGAACTATCAAAGGAAGGTTCAACTCTGGGATTTGAATGCAAACATCACCAAGAAGTTTCTGAGAATGCTTCTGTTTAGTTTTTATGTGAAGATATTCCCGTTTCCAAAGACATCTTCGGAGAGGTCCACATATCCACTTGCAGGTTCCACAAAAAGAGAGTTTCAACACTGCTCTATCCATAGGAGGGTTCAACTCTGTGAGTTGAATGCAATCATCACAGAGAAGTTTCTGAGAAGGCTTCTCTCCAGTTTTTATGTGACCATAATTCGTTTTCCACCACAGGCCTGAAAGCGCTCCAAATGTCCACTTGCAGACACTACGAAAAGCATGTTTCAGAACTACTCTATGAAAAGCAACGTGAAACTCTGGGAGTTGAACACAAACATCACAGAGAAGTTTCTGAGAATGCTTCTGTTTTAGTTCTGTGCGTTTTATCCCGTTTCCAACGAAATCCTCAGAGAGGCCCAAATATCCACTTGCAGATTCCACAGAAAGAGTGATTGGAAACTGCTGTTTGAAAAGGAACCTTCAACTCTGTGAGTTGAATGCAATCATCACAAAGAAGTTTCTGACAATGCTTCTGTTTTAGTTCTGTGCGGTTTATCCCGTTTCCAACGAAATCCTCAGAGAGGACCAAACATCCACTTGCAGTTTCTACAAAAAGAGTGTTTCAAAGCTGCACTATCAAAGAAAGGTTCAGCACTGTGAGTTGAATGCAAACATCACGAAGAGGGCTCTGAGAATTCTTCTGTCTTCTTTCTATAGGAAGTTATTTCCTTTACTACGGTAGGCCTCAAAGAAGTGCAATTATCCCCTTGCAGTTTCTACAAAAAGAGTGTTTCAAACCTGAACTATCAAGGAAAGGTTCCACACTGTGAGTTGAAGGCAGATATCACGAAGAAGGTTCTGAGAATGCTTCTGTTTAGTCAGCTGAAATTATCCCGTTTCCAACGAATTCCTCAGAGAGGTCCAAATATGCACTTGCAGATTCTGCAGAAAGTGTGTTTCTAAACTGCTACATCGCAAGGAATGTTCAGCTCTGTGAGTTCAACTCAATCATCCCAAAGAATTTTCTGAGAAAGCTTCTGTCTAGATGTCATGTGAAGATATACCCGTTTCGCACGAAGGACACAGAGTGGTCCAAATATCCACTTGTAGATCCTGCAAAAAGAGTGTTTCAAACGTGAACTTTGAAAGGAAAGTTCAACTCTGGGATTTGAATGCAAACATCACAAAGAAGATTCTGAGACTGCTTCTGTATAGTTTTGATGTGAAGATGATTCCGTTTCCAACGAAATCTTCAAAGAAGTCTACATGTCCCCTTGCAGATGCCACAGAAAGAGAGTTTCAAAACTGCGCTCTCAAAAGGAGTGTTCAACTCCGTGAGTTGAATGCAGTCATCACAGAGAAGCTTCTGAGAATGCTTCTATCTAGTATTTAGGTGAAGATATTTCCTTTTCCACCACAAACCACAAAGCCCTCCAAACGTCCACTTGCAGATTCTAGAAAAAGAGTGTTTCATAGCTGCTCTTTCCAAAGGAAAGTTCAACTCTGGGAGTTGAATACAAACATCACCAAAAAGTTCCTGAGAATGCATCTGTCTAGTTTTTCTATGAAGCTATTCCCTTTACTACCATAGGCCTCAAAGCGCTCCGAATCTCCACTTGCACATTCCACAACAAGAGTGTTTCCAAACTGCTCTATCAATAGGAATGTTCAACTCTGTGAGGTGAATGCAATCATCACAAAGCAGTTTCTGACAATGCTTCCGTTTAGTTAGGTGCAGTTATCCCGTTTCCAACGAAATCCTCAGAGAGGTCCAAATATCCACTTGTAGATTCTACAAAAAGTGTGTCTCAAACCTGCTCCATCCAAAGGAATGGTCAGCTCTGTGATTTAAACTCAATCATCACAAAGTATTTTCTGAGAATGCTTTTCTGTCTAGATTTTATGCGAAGATATACCCGTTTCGAACGAAGGCCACAGAGTGGTCCAAATAGCCACTTGCAGATCCTACAGAAAGAGTGTTTCAAACCTGAACTATCAAAGGAAGGTTCAACTCTGGGATTTGAATGCAAACATCACCAAGAAGTTTCTGAGAATGCTTCTGTTTAGTTTTTATGTGAAGATATTCCCGTTTCCAAAGACATCTTCGGAGAGGTCCACATATCCACTTGCAGATTCCACAAAAAGAGAGTTTCAACACTGCTCTATCCATAGGAGGGTTCAACTCTGTGAGTTGAATGCAATCATCACAGAGAAGTTTCTGAGAAGGCTTCTCTCCAGTTTTTATGTGACCATAATTCGTTTTCCACCACAGGCCTGAAAGCGCTCCAAATGTCCACTTGCAGACACTACGAAAAGCATGTTTCAGAACTACTCTATGAAAAGCAACGTGAAACTCTGGGAGTTGAACACAAACATCACAGAGAAGTTTCTGAGAATGCTTCTGTTTTAGTTCTGTGCGTTTTATCCCGTTTCCAACGAAATCCTCAGAGAGGCCCAAATATCCACTTGCAGATTCCACAGAAAGAGTGATTGGAAACTGCTGTTTGAAAAGGAACCTTCAACTCTGTGAGTTGAATGCAATCATCACAAAGAAGTTTCTGACAATGCTTCTGTTTTAGTTCTGTGCGGTTTATCCCGTTTCCAACGAAATCCTCAGAGAGGACCAAACATCCACTTGCAGTTTCTACAAAAAGAGTGTTTCGAAGCTGCACTATCAAAGAAAGGTTCAGCACTGTGAGTTGAATGCAAACATCACGAAGAGGGCTCTGAGAATTCTTCTGTTTAGTTCTGTGCGGTTTATCCCGTTTCCAACGAAATCCTCAGAGAGGACCAAATATCCACTTGCAGTTTCTACAAGAAGAGTGTTTCAAAGCTGAACTATCAAAGAAAGGTTCAGCACTGTGAGTTGAATGCAAACATCACGAAGAGGGTTCTGAGAATGCTTCTGTCTTCTTTCTATAGGAAGTTATTTCCTTTACTACGGTAGGCCTCAAAGAAGTGCAATTATCCCCTTGCAGTTTCTACAAAAAGAGTGTTTCAAACCTGAACTATCAAAGAAAGGTTCCACACTGTGAGTTGAATGCAGACATCACGAAGAAGGTTCTGAGAATGCTTCTGTTTAGTCAGCTGAAATTATCCCGTTTCCAACGAATTCCTCAGAGAGGTCCAAATATGCACTTGCAGATTCTGCAGAAAGTGTGTTTCTAAACTGCTACATCGCAAGGAATGTTCAGCTCTGTGAGTTCCACTCAATCATCCCAAAGAATTTTCTGAGAAAGCTTCTGTCTAGATGTCGTGTGAAGATATACCCGTTTCGAACGAAGGACACAGAGTGGTCCAAATATCCACTTGTAGATCCTGCAAAAAGAGTGTTTCAAACGTGAACTTTGAAAGGAAAGTTCAACTCTGGGATTTGAATGCAAACATCACAAAGAAGATTCTGAGACTGCTTCTGCATAGTTTTGATGTGAAGATGATTCCGTTTCCAACGAAATCTTCAAAGAGGTCTACATGTCCCCTTGCGGATGCCACAGAAAGAGAGTTTCAAAACTGCGCTCTCAAAAGGAGTGTTCAACTCCGTGAGTTGAATGCAGTCATCACAGAGAAGCTTCTGAGAATGCTTCTATCTAGTATTTAGGTGAAGATATTTCCTTTTCCACCACAAACCACAAAGCCCTCCAAACGTCCACTTGCAGATTCTAGAAAAAGAGTGTTTCATAGCTGCTCTTTCCAAAGGAAAGTTCAACTCTGGGAGTTGAATACAAACATCACCAAAAAGTTCCTGAGAATGCATCTGTCTAATTTTTCTATGAAGCTATTGCCTTTACTACCATAGGCCTCAAAGCGCTCCAAATCTCCACTTGCACATTCCACAACAAGAGTGTTTCCAAACTGCTCTATCAATAGGAATGTTCAACTCTGTGAGGTGAATGCAATCATCACAAAGCAGTTTCTGAGAATGCTTCCGTTTAGTTAGGTGCAGTTATCCCGTTTCCAACGAAATCCTCAGAGAGGTCCAAATATCCACTTGTAGATTCTACAAAAAGTGTGTCTCAAACCTGCTCCATCCAAAGGAATGTTCAGCTCTGTGAGTTCAACTCAATCATCACAAAGTATTTTCTGAGAATGCTTCTGTCTAGATTTTATGCGAAGATATACCCGTTTTGAACGAATGCCACAGGAGTGGTCCAAATAGCCACTTGCAGATCCTACAAAAAGAGTGTTTCAAACCTGAACTATCAAAGGAAGGTTCAACTCTGGGATTTGAATGCAAACATCACCAAGAAGTTTCTGAGAATCCTTCTGTTTAGTTTTTATGTGAAGATATTCCCGTTTCCAAAGACATCTTCGGCGAGGTCCACATATCCACTTGCAGATTCCACAAAAAGAGAGTTTCAACACTGCTCTATCCATAGGAGGGTTCAACTCTGTGAGTTGAATGCAATCATCACAGAGAAGTTTCTGAGAAGGCTTCTCTCCAGTTTTTATGTGACCATAATTCGTTTTCCACCACAGGCCTGAAAGCGCTCCAAATGTCCACTTGCAGACACTACGAAAAGCATGTTTCAGAACTACTCTATGAAAAGCAACGTGAAACTCTGGGAGTTGAACACAAACATCACAGAGAAGTTTCTGAGAATGCTTCTGTTTAGCTTTTCTGTGAAGATTCTCCCGTTTCCAACGAAATCTTCAAAGAGGTCGAAATATCCACTTGCAGATTCCACAGAAAGAGTGATTGGAAACTGCTGTTTGAAAAGGAACCTTCAACTCTGTGAGTTGAATGCAATCATCACAAAGAAGTTTCTGACAATGCTTCTATCTAGCTTTTACGGGAAGATAATTCCTTTTCCACCCCAGGCCTCAAAGCTCCCCAAATGTCCACTTGCACATTCTGGAAAAAGAGTGTTTCAAAGCTTCTCTCTCGAAAGGAAAGTTCAACTCTGTGAGTTGAATGCAAGCATCACAAAGAAGTTTCTGAGAATGCTACTGTCTAGCTTTTATATGAAGCTATTTCCTTTACTACCATAGGCCTCAAAGCGGTCCATATCTCCACTTGCAGATTCTACACAAAGAGAGTTTCCAAACTGCTCTGTCAAAGGGAATGTTCAACTCTGTGACTTGAATGCAATCATCACAAAGTAGTTTCTGAGAATGCTTCTGTTTTAGTTCTGTGCGTTTTATCCCGTTTCCAACGAAATCCTCAGAGAGGCCCAAATATCCACTTGCAGATTCTACAAATAGTGTGTTTCGAAACTGCTCCATCCAAAGGAATGTTCAGCTCTGTGAGTTAAACTCAGTCGTCACCAAGAGTTTTCTGTGAATGCTTCTGTTTTAGTTCTGTGCGGTTTATCCCGTTTCCAACGAAATCCTCAGAGAGGACCAAATATCCACTTGCAGTTTCTACAAAAAGAGTGTTTCAAAGCTGCACTATCAAAGAAAGGTTCAGCACTGTGAGTTGAATGCAAACATCACGAAGAGGGCTCTGAGAGTTCTTCTGTTTAGTTCTGTGCGGTTTATCCCGTTTCCAACGAAATCCTCAGAGAGGACCAAATATCCACTTGCAGTTTCTACAAGAAGAGTGTTTCAAAGCTGAACTATCAAAGAAAGGTTCAGCACTGTGAGTTGAATGCAAACATCACGAAGAGGGTTCTGAGAATGCTTCTGTCTTCTTTTTATAGGAAGTTATTTCCTTTACTACGGTACTCCTCAAAGAGTGCAATTATCCCCTTGCAGTTTCTACAAAAAGAGTTTTTAAAACCTGAACTATCAAAGAAAGGTTCCACACTTTGAGTTGAATGCAGACATCACGAAGAAGGTTCTGAGAATGCTTCTGTTTAGTCAGCTGAAATTATCCCGTTTCCAACGAATTCCTCAGAGAGGTCCACATATGCACTTGCAGATTCTGCAGAAAGTGTGTTTCTAAACTGCTACATCGCAAGGAATGCTCAGCTCTGTGAGTTCAACTCAATCATCCCAAAGAATTTTCTGAGAAAGCTTCTGTCTAGATGTCATGTGAAGATATACCCGTTTCGAACGAAGGACACAGAGTGGTCCAAATATCCACTTGTAGATCCTGCAAAAAGAGTGTTTCAAACGTGAACTTTGAAAGGAAAGTTCAACTCGGGGATTTGAATGCAAACATCACAAAGAAGATTCTGAGACTGCTTCTGTATAGTTTTTATGTGAAGATGATTCCGTTTCCAACGAAATCTTCAAAGAGGTCTACATGTCCCCTTGCAGATGCCACAGAAAGAGAGTTTCAAAACTGCGCTCTCAAAAGGAGTGTTCAACTCCGTGAGTTGAATGCAGTCATCACAGAGAAGCTTCTGAGGATGCTTCTATCTAGTATTTAGGTGAAGATATTTCCTTTTCCACCACAAACCACAAAGCCCTCCAAACGTCCACTTGCAGATTCTAGAAAAAGAGTGTTTCATAGCTGCTCTTTCCAAAGGAAAGTTCAACTCTGGGAGTTGAATACAAACATCACCAAAAAGTTCCTGAGAATGCATCTGTCTAGTTTTTCTATGAAGCTATTCCCTTTACTACCATAGGCCTCAAAGCGCTCCAAATCTCCACTTGCACATTCCACAACAAGAGTGTTTCCAAACTGCTCTATCAATAGGAATGTTCAACTCTGTGAGGTGAATGCAATCATCACAAAGCAGTTTCTGAGAATGCTTCCGTTTAGTTAGGTGCAGTTATCCCGTTTCCAACGAAATCCTCAGAGAGGTCCAAATATCCACTTGTAGATTCTACAAAAAGTGTGTCTCAAACCTGCTCCATCCAAAGGAATGTTCAGCTCTGTGAGTTAAACTCAATCATCACAAAGTATTTTCTGAGAATGCTTCTGTCTAGATTTTATGCGAAGATGTACCCGTTTCGAACGAAGGCCACAGAGTGGTCCAAATATCCACTTGCAGATCCTACAAAAAGAGTGTTTCAAACCTGAACTCTCAAAGGAAGGTTCAACTCTGGGATTTGAATGCAAACATCACCAAGAAGTTTCTGAGAATGTTTCTGTTTAGTTTTTATGTGAAGATAATCCCGTTGCCAAAGACATCTTCGGAGAGGTCCACATATCCGCTTGCAGATTCCACAAAAAGAGAGTTTCAACACTGCTCTATCCATAGGAGGGTTCAACTCTGTGAGTTGAATGCAATCATCACAGAGAAGTTTCTGAGAAGGCTTCTCTCCAGTTTTTATGTGACCATAATTCGTTTTCCACCACAGGCCTGAAAGCGCTCCAAATGTCCACTTGCAGACACTACGAAAAGCATGTTTCAGAACTACTCTATGAGAAGCAATGTGAAACTCTGGGAGTTGAACACAAACATCACAGAGAAGTTTCTGAGAATGCTTCTGTTTAGCTTTTCTGTGAAGATTCTCCCGTTTCCAACGAAATCTTCAAAGAGGTCCAAATATCCACTTGCAGATTCCACAGAAAGAGTGTTTGGAAACTGCTGTTTGTAAAGGAACCTTCATCTCTTTGAGTTGAATGCAATCATCACAAAGAAGTTTCTGACAATGCTTCTATCTAGCTTTTACGGGAAGTTAATTCCTTTTCCACCACAGGCCTCAAAGCCCTCCAAATGTCCACTTGCAGATTCTGGAAAAAGAGTGTTTCAAAGCTTCTCTCTCGAAAGGAAAGTTCAACTCTGTGAGTTGAATGCAAGCATCACAAAGAAGTTTCTGAGAATGCTACTGTCTAGCTTTTATATGAAGCTATTTCCTTTACTACCATAGGCCTCAAAGCGGTCCATATCTCCACTTGCAGATTCTACACAAAGAGAGTTTCCAAACTGCTCTGTCAAAGGGAATGTTCAACTCTGTGACTTGAATGCAATCATCACAAAGTAGTTTCTGAGAATGCTTTCTGTTTAGTTCTGTGCGGTTTATCCCGTTTCCAACGAAATCCTCAGAGAGGCCTAAATATCCACTTGCACATTCTACAAATAGTGTGTTTCGAAACTGCTCCATCCAAAGGAATGTTCAGCTCTGTGAGTTAAACTCAGTCGTCACCAAGAGTTTTCTGTGAATGCTTCTGTTTTAGTTCTGTGCGGGTTATCCCGTTTCCAACGAAATCCTCAGAGAGGTCCAAATATCTACTTGCAGTTTCTACAGAAAGACCGTTTCAAACCTGAACTATCAAAGAAAGGTTCAACACTGTGAGTTGAATGCAAACATCACGAAGAAGGTTCTGAGAATGCTTCTGTTTAGTTCTGTGCAGTTTATCCCGTTTCCAACGAAATGCTCAGAGAGGACCAAATATCCACTTGCAGTTTCTACAAAAAGAGTGTTTCAAAGCTGAACTATCAAAGAAAGGTTCAGCACTGTGAGTTGAATGCAAACATCACGAAGAGGGTTCTGAGAATGCTTCTGTCTTCTTTTTATAGGAAGTTATTTCCTTTACTACGGTACTCCTCAAAGAGTGCAATTATCCCCTTGCAGTTTCTACAGAAAGAGTGTTTCAAACCTGAACTATCAAAGAAAGGTTCCACACTGTGAGTTGAATGCAGACATCACGAAGAAGGTTCTGAGAATGCTTCTGTTTAGTCAGCTGAAATTATCCCGTTTCCAACGAATTCCTCACAGAGGTCCAAATATGCACTTGCAGATTCTGCAGAAAGTGTGTTTCTAAACTGCTACATCGCAAGGAATGCTCAGCTCTGTGAGTTCAACTCAATCATCCCAAAGAATTTTCTGAGAAAGCTTCTGTCTAGATGTCATGTGAAGATATACCCGTTTCGAACGAAGGACACAGAGTGGTCCAAATATCCACTTGTAGATCCTGCAAAAAGAGTGTTTCAAACGTGAACTTTGAAAGGAAAGTTCAACTCGGGGATTTGAATGCAAACATCACAAAGAAGATTCTGAGACTGCTTCTGTATAGTTTTTATGTGAAGATGATTCCGTTTCCAACGAAATCTTCCAAGAGGTCTACATGTCCCCTTGCAGATGCCACAGAAAGAGAGTTTCAAAACTGCGCTCTCAAAAGGAGTGTTCAACTCCGTGAGTTGAATGCAGTCATCACAGAGAAGCTTCTGAGAATGCTTCTATCTAGTATTTAGGTGAAGATATTTCCTTTTCCACCACAAACCACAAAGCCCTCCAAACGTCCACTTGCAGATTCTAGAAAAAGAGTGTTTCATAGCTGCTCTTTCCAAAGGAAAGTTCAACTCTGGGAGTTGAATACAAACATCACCAAAAAGTTCCTGAGAATGCATCTGTCTAGTTTTTCTATGAAGCTATTCCCTTTACAACCATAGGCCTCAAAGCGCTCCAAATCTCCACTTGCACATTCCACAACAGCAGTGTTTCCCAACTGCTCTATCAATAGGAATGTTCAACTCTGTGAGGTGAATGCAATCATCACAAAGCAGTTTCTGAGAATGCTTCCGTTTAGTTAGGTGCAGTTATCCCGTTTCCAACGAAATCCTCAGAGAGGTCCAAATATCCACTTGTAGATTCTACAAAAAGTGTGTCTCAAACCTGCTCCATCCAAAGGAATGGTCAGCTCTGTGATTTAAACTCAATCATCACAAAGTATTTTCTGAGAATGCTTCTGTCTAGATTTTATGCGAAGATATACCCGTTTCGAACGAAGGCCACAGAGTGGTCCAAATAGCCACTTGCAGATCCTACAGAAAGAGTGTTTCAAACCTGAACTATCAAAGGAAGGTTCAACTCTGGGATTTGAATGCAAACATCACCAAGAAATTTCTGAGAATGCTTCTGTTTAGTTTTTATGTGAAGATATTCCCGTTTCCAAAGACATCTTCGGAGAGGTCCACATATCCACTTGCAGATTCCACAAAAAGAGAGTTTCAACACTGCTCTATCCATAGGAGGGTTCAACTCTGTGAGTTGAATGCAATCATCACAGAGAAGTTTCTGAGAAGGCTTCTCTCCAGTTTTTATGTGACCATAATTCGTTTTCCACCACAGGCCTGAAAGCGCTCCAAATGTCCACTTGCAGACACTACGAAAAGCATGTTTCAGAACTACTCTATGAAAAGCAACGTGAAACTCTGGGAGTTGAACACAAACATCACAGAGAAGTTTCTGAGAATGCTTCTGTTTTAGTTCTGTGCGTTTTATCCCGTTTCCAACGAAATCCTCAGAGAGGCCCAAATATCCACTTGCAGATTCCACAGAAAGAGTGATTGGAAACTGCTGTTTGAAAAGGAACCTTCAACTCTGTGAGTTGAATGCAATCATCACAAAGAAGTTTCTGACAATGCTTCTGTTTTAGTTCTGTGCGGTTTATCCCGTTTCCAACGAAATCCTCAGGAGCAGGACCAAACATCCACTTGCAGTTTCTACAAAAAGAGTGTTTCAAAGCTGCACTATCAAAGAAAGGTTCAGCACTGTGAGTTGAATGCAAACATCACGAAGAGGGCTCTGAGAATTCTTCTGTTTAGTTCTGTGCGGTTTATCCCGTTTCCAACGAAATCCTCAGAGAGGACCAAATATCCACTTGCAGTTTCTACAAGAAGAGTGTTTCAAAGCTGAACTATCAAAGAAAGGTTCAGCACTGTGAGTTGAATGCAAACATCACGAAGAGGGTTCTGAGAATGCTTCTGTCTTCTTTCTATAGGAAGTTATTTCCTTTACTACGGTAGGCCTCAAAGAAGTGCAATTATCCCCTTGCAGTTTCTACAAAAAGAGTGTTTCAAACCTGAACTATCAAAGAAAGGTTCCACACTGTGAGTTGAATGCAGACATCACGAAGAAGGTTCTGAGAATGCTTCTGTTTAGTCAGCTGAAATTATCCCGTTTCCAACGAATTCCTCAGAGAGGTCCAAATATGCACTTGCAGATTCTGCAGAAAGTGTGTTTCTAAACTGCTCCATCGCAAGGAATGTTCAGCTCTGTGAGTTCCACTCAATCATCCCAAAGAATTTTCTGAGAAAGCTTCTGTCTAGATGTCATGTGAAGATATACCCGTTTCGAACGAAGGACACAGAGTGGTCCAAATATCCACTTGTAGATCCTGCAAAAAGAGTGTTTCAAACGTGAACTTTGAAAGGAAAGTTCAACTCTGGGATTTGAATGCAAACATCACAAAGAAGATTCTGAGACTGCTTCTGTATAGTTTTTATGTGAAGATGATTCCGTTTCCAACGAAATCTTCAAAGAGGTCTACATGTCCCCTTGCAGATGCCACAGAAAGAGAGTTTCAAAACTGCGCTCTCAAAAGGAGTGTTCAACTCCGTGAGTTGAATGCAGTCATCACAGAGAAGCTTCTGAGAATGCTTCTATCTAGTATTTAGGTGAAGATATTTCCTTTTCCACCACAAACCACAAAGCCCTCCAAACGTCCACTTGCAGATTCTAGAAAAAGAGTGTTTCATAGCTGCTCTTTCCAAAGGAAAGTTCAACTCTGGGAGTTGAATACAAACATCACCAAAAAGTTCCTGAGAATGCATCTGTCTAGTTTTTCTATGAAGCTATTCCCTTTACTACCATAGGCCTCAAAGCGCTCCAAATCTCCACTTGCACATTCCACAACAAGAGTGTTTCCAAACTGCTCTATCAATAGGAATGTTCAACTCTGTGAGGTGAATGCAATCATCACAAAGCAGTTTCTGGGAATGCTTCCGTTTAGTTAGGTGCAGTTATCCCGTTTCCAACGAAATCCTCAGAGAGGTCCAAATATCCACTTGTAGATTCTACAAAAAGTGTGTCTCAAACCTGCTCCATCCAAAGGAATGTTCAGCTCTGTGAGTTCAACTCAATCATCACAAAGTATTTTCTGAGAATGCTTCTGTCTAGATTTTATGCGAAGATGTACCCGTTTCAAACGAAGGCCACAGAGTGGTCCAAATATCCACTTGCAGATCCTACAAAAAGAGTGTTTCAAACCTGAACTCTCAAAGGAAGGTTCAACTCTGGGATTTGAATGCAAACATCACCAAGAAGTTTCTGAGAATGCTTCTGTTTAGTTTTTATGTGACGATATTCCCGTTTCCAAAGACATCTTCAGAGAGGTCCACATATCCGCTTGCAGATTCCACAAAAAGAGAGTTTCAACACTGCTCTATCCATAGGAGGGTTCAACTCTGTGAGTTGAATGCAATCATCCCAGAGAAGTTTCTGAGAAGGCTTCTCTCCAGTTTTTATGTGACCATAATTCGTTTTCCACCACAGGCCTGAAAGCGCTCCAAATGTCCACTTGCAGACACTACGAAAAGCATGTTTCAGAACTACTCTATGAGAAGCAATGTGAAACTCTGGGAGTTGAACACAAACATCACAGAGAAGTTTCTGAGAATGCTTCTGTTTAGCTTTCCTGTGAAGATTCTCCCGTTTCCAACGAAATCTTCAAAATAGGTCCAAATATCCACTTGCAGATTCCACAGAAAGAGTGATTGGAAACTGCTCTTTGAAAAGGAACCTTCAACTACTGTGAGTTGAATGCAATCATCACAAAGAAGTTTCTGACAATGCTTCTATCTAGCTTTTACGGGAAGATAATTCCTTTTCCACCACAGGCCTCAAAGCCCTCCAAATGTCCACTTGCAGATTCTGGAAAAAGAGTGTTTCAAAGCTTCTCTCTCGAAAGGAAAGTTCAACTCTGTGAGTTGAATGCAAGCATCACAAAGAAGTTTCTGAGAATGCTACTGTCTAGCTTTTATATGAAGCTATTTCCTTTACTACCATAGGCCTCAAAGCGGTCCATATCTCCACTTGCAGATTCTACACAAAGAGAGTTTCCAAACTGCTCTGTCAAAGGGAATGTTCAACTCTGTGACTTGAATGCAATCATCACAAAGTAGTTTCTGAGAATGCTTCTGTTTAGTTCTGTGCGGTTTATCCCGTTTCCAACGAAATCCTCAGAGAGGCCTAAATATCCACTTGCACATTCTACAAATAGTGTGTTTCGAAACTGCTCCATCCAAAGGAATGTTCAGCTCTGTGAGTTAAACTCAGTCGTCACCAAGAGTTTTCTGTGAATGCTTCTGTTTTAGTTCTGTGCGGGTTATCCCGTTTCCAACGAAATCCTCAGAGAGGTCCAAATATCTACTTGCAGTTTCTACAGAAAGACCGTTTCAAACCTGAACTATCAAAGAAAGGTTCAACACTGTGAGTTGAATGCAAACATCACGAAGAAGGTTCTGAGAATGCTTCTGTTTTAGTTCTGTGCGGTTTATCCCGTTTCCAACGATATCCTCAGAGAGGACCAAACATCCACTTGCAGTTTCTACAAAAAGAGTGTTTCAAAGCTGCACTATCAAAGAAAAGTTCAGCACTGTGAGTTGAATGCAAACATCACGAAGAGGGCTCTGAGAATTCTTCTGTTTAGTTCTGTGCGGTTTATCCCGTTTCCAACGAAATCCTCAGAGAGGACCAAATATCCACTTGCAGTTTCTACAAGAAGAGTGTTTCAAAGCTGAACTATCAAAGAAAGGTTCAGCACTGTGAGTTGAATGCAAACATCACGAAGAGGGTTCTGAGAATGCTTCTGTCTTCTTTCTATAGGAAGTTATTTCCTTTACTACGGTAGGCCTCAAAGAAGTGCAATTATCCCCTTGCAGTTTCTACAAAAAGAGTGTTTCAAACCTGAACTATCAAAGAAAGGTTCCACACTGTGAGTTGAATGCAGACATCACGAAGAAGGTTCTGAGAATGCTTCTGTTTAGTCAGCTGAAATTATCCCGTTTCCAACGAATTCCTCAGAGAGGTCCAAATATGCACTTGCAGATTCTGCAGAAAGTGTGTTTCTAAACTGCTACATCGCAAGGAATGTTCAGCTCTGTGAGTTCCACTCAATCATCCCAAAGAATTTTCTGAGAAAGCTTCTGTCTAGATGTCGTGTGAAGATATACCCGTTTCGAACGAAGGACACAGAGTGGTCCAAATATCCACTTGTAGATCCTGCAAAAAGAGTGTTTCAAACGTGAACTTTGAAAGGAAAGTTCAACTCTGGGATTTGAATGCAAACATCACAAAGAAGATTCTGAGACTGCTTCTGTATAGTTTTTATGTGAAGATGATTCCGTTTCCAACGAAATCTTCAAAGAGGTCTACATGTCCCCTTGCAGATGCCACAGAAAGAGAGTTTCAAAACTGCGCTCTCAAAAGGAGTGTTCAACTCCGTGAGTTGAATGCAGTCATCACAGAGAAGCTTCTGAGAATGCTTCTATCTAGTATTTAGGTGAAGATATTTCCTTTTCCACCACAAACCACAAAGCCCTCCAAACGTCCACTTGCAGATTCTAGAAAAAGAGTGTTTCATAGCTGCTCTTTCCAAAGGAAAGTTCAACTCTGGGAGTTGAATACAAACATCACCAAAAAGTTCCTGAGAATGCATCTGTCTAGTTTTTCTATGAAGCTATTCCCTTTACTACCACAGGCCTCAAAGCGCTCCAAATCTCCACTTGCACATTCCACAACAAGAGTGTTTCCAAACTGCTCTATCAATAGGAATGTTCAACTCTGTGAGGTGAATGCAATCATCACAAAGCAGTTTCTGAGAATGCTTCCGTTTAGTTAGGTGCAGTTATCCCGTTTCCAACGAAATCCTCAGAGAGGTCCAAATATCCACTTGTAGATTCTACAAAAAGTGTGTCTCAAACCTGCTCCATCCAAAGGAATGGTCAGCTCTGTGATTTAAACTCAATCATCACAAAGTATTTTCTGAGAATGCTTCTGTCTAGATTTTATGCGAAGATATACCCGTTTCGAACGAAGGCCACAGAGTGGTCCAAATAGCCACTTGCAGATCCTACAGAAAGAGTGTTTCAAACCTGAACTATCAAAGGAAGGTTCAACTCTGGGATTTGAATGCAAACATCACCAAGAAGTTTCTGAGAATGCTTCTGTTTAGTTTTTATGTGAAGATATTCCCGTTTCCAAAGACATCTTCGGAGAGGTCCACATATCCACTTGCAGATTCCACAAAAAGAGAGTTTCAACACTGCTCTATCCATAGGAGGGTTCAACTCTGTGAGTTGAATGCAATCATCACAGAGAAGTTTCTGAGAAGGCTTCTCTCCAGTTTTTATGTGACCATAATTCGTTTTCCACCACAGGCCTGAAAGCGCTCCAAATGTCCACTTGCAGACACTACGAAAAGCATGTTTCAGAACTACTCTATGAAAAGCAACGTGAAACTCTGGGAGTTGAACACAAACATCACAGAGAAGTTTCTGAGAATGCTTCTGTTTTAGTTCTGTGCGTTTTATCCCGTTTCCAACGAAATCCTCAGAGAGGCCCAAATATCCACTTGCAGATTCCACAGAAAGAGTGATTGGAAACTGCTGTTTGAAAAGGAACCTTCAACTCTGTGAGTTGAATGCAATCATCACAAAGAAGTTTCTGACAATGCTTCTGTTTTAGTTCTGTGCGGTTTATCCCGTTTCCAACGAAATCCTCAGAGAGGACCAAACATCCACTTGCAGTTTCTACAAAAAGAGTGTTTCAAAGCTGCACTATCAAAGAAAGGTTCAGCACTGTGAGTTGAATGCAAACATCACGAAGAGGGCTCTGAGAATTCTTCTGTTTAGTTCTGTGCGGTTTATCCCGTTTCCAACGAAATCCTCAGAGAGGACCAAATATCCACTTGCAGTTTCTACAAGAAGAGTGTTTCAAAGCTGAACTATCAAAGAAAGGTTCAGCACTGTGAGTTGAATGCAAACATCACGAAGAGGGTTCTGAGAATGCTTCTGTCTTCTTTCTATAGGAAGTTATTTCCTTTACTACGGTAGGCCTCAAAGAAGTGCAATTATCCCCTTGCAGTTTCTACAAAAAGAGTGTTTCAAACCTGAACTATCAAAGAAAGGTTCCACACTGTGAGTTGAATGCAGACATCACGAAGAAGGTTCTGAGAATGCTTCTGTTTAGTCAGCTGAAATTATCCCGTTTCCAACGAATTCCTCAGAGAGGTCCAAATATGCACTTGCAGATTCTGCAGAAAGTGTGTTTCTAAACTGCTACATCGCAAGGAATGTTCAGCTCTGTGAGTTCCACTCAATCATCCCAAAGAATTTTCTGAGAAAGCTTCTGTCTAGATGTCGTGTGAAGATATACCCGTTTCGAACGAAGGACACAGAGTGGTCCAAATATCCACTTGTAGATCCTGCAAAAAGAGTGTTTCAAACGTGAACTTTGAAAGGAAAGTTCAACTCTGGGATTTGAATGCAAACATCACAAAGAAGATTCTGAGACTGCTTCTGTATAGTTTTTATGTGAAGATGATTCCGTTTCCAACGAAATCTTCAAAGAGGTCTACATGTCCCCTTGCAGATGCCACAGAAAGAGAGTTTCAAAACTGCGCTCTCAAAAGGAGTGTTCAACTCCGTGAGTTGAATGCAGTCATCACAGAGAAGCTTCTGAGAATGCTTCTATCTAGTATTTAGGTGAAGATATTTCCTTTTCCACCACAAACCACAAAGCCCTCCAAACGTCCACTTGCAGATTCTAGAGAAACAGTGTCTCATAGCTGCTCTTTCCAAAGGAAAGTTCAACTCTGGGAGTTGAATACAAACATCACCAAAAAGTTCCTGAGAATGCATCTGTCTAGTTTTTCTATGAAGCTATTCCCTTTACTACCATAGGCCTCAAAGCGCTCCAAATCTCCACTTGCACATTCCACAACAAGAGTGTTTCCAAACTGCTCTATCAATAGGAATGTTCAACTCTGTGAGGTGAATGCAATCATCACAAAGCAGTTTCTGAGAATGCTTCCGTTTAGTTAGGTGCAGTTATCCCGTTTCCAACGAAATCCTCAGAGAGGTCCAAATATCCACTTGTAGATTCTACAAAAAGTGTGTCTCAAACCTGCTCCATCCAAAGGAATGTTCAGCTCTGTGAGTTAAACTCAATCATCACAAAGTATTTTCTGAGAATGCTTCTGTCTAGATTTTATGCGAAGATATACCCGTTTCGAACGAAGGCCACAGAGTGGTCCAAATATCCACTTGCAGATCCTACAAAAAGAGTGTTTCAAACCTGAACTATCAAAGGAAGGTTCAACTCTGGGATTTGAATGCAAACATCACCAAGAAGTTTCTGAGAATGCTTCTGTTTAGTTTTTATGTGAAGATATTCCCGTTTCCAAAGACATCTTCGGAGAGGTCCACATATCCACTTGCAGATTCCACAAAAAGAGAGTTTCAACACTGCTCTATCCATAGGAGGGTTCAACTCTGTGAGTTGAATGCAATCATCACAGAGAAGTTTCTGAGAAGGCTTCTCTCCAGTTTTTATGTGACCATAATTCGTTTTCCACCACAGGCCTGAAAGCGCTCCAAATGTCCACTTGCAGACACTACGAAAAGCATGTTTCAGAACTACTCTATGAAAAGCAACGTGAAACTCTGGGAGTTGAACACAAACATCACAGAGAAGTTTCTGAGAATGCTTCTGTTTTAGTTCTGTGCGTTTTATCCCGTTTCCAACGAAATCCTCAGAGAGGCCCAAATATCCACTTGCAGATTCCACAGAAAGAGTGATTGGAAACTGCTGTTTGAAAAGGAACCTTCAACTCTGTGAGTTGAATGCAATCATCACAAAGAAGTTTCTGACAATGCTTCTGTTTTAGTTCTGTGCGGTTTATCCCGTTTCCAACGAAATCCTCAGAGAGGACCAAACATCCACTTGCAGTTTCTACAAAAAGAGTGTTTCAAAGCTGCACTATCAAAGAAAGGTTCAGCACTGTGAGTTGAATGCAAACATCACGAAGAGGGCTCTGAGAATTCTTCTGTTTAGTTCTGTGCGGTTTATCCCGTTTCCAACGAAATCCTCAGAGAGGACCAAATATCCACTTGCAGTTTCTACAAGAAGAGTGTTTCAAAGCTGAACTATCAAAGAAAGGTTCAGCACTGTGAGTTGAATGCAAACATCACGAAGAGGGTTCTGAGAATGCTTCTGTCTTCTTTCTATAGGAAGTTATTTCCTTTACTACGGTAGGCCTCAAAGAAGTGCAATTATCCCCTTGCAGTTTCTACAAAAAGAGTGTTTCAAACCTGAACTATCAAAGAAAGGTTCCACACTGTGAGTTGAATGCAGACATCACGAAGAAGGTTCTGAGAATGCTTCTGTTTAGTCAGCTGAAATTATCCCGTTTCCAACGAATTCCTCAGAGAGGTCCAAATATGCACTTGCAGATTCTGCAGAAAGTGTGTTTCTAAACTGCTACATCGCAAGGAATGTTCAGCTCTGTGAGTTCCACTCAATCATCCCAAAGAATTTTCTGAGAAAGCTTCTGTCTAGATGTCATGTGAAGATATACCCGTTTCGAACGAAGGACACAGAGTGGTCCAAATATCCACTTGTAGATCCTGCAAAAAGAGTGTTTCAAACGTGAACTTTGAAAGGCAAGTTCAACTCTGGGATTTGAATGCAAACATCACAAAGAAGATTCTGAGACTGCTTCTGTATAGTTTTTATGCGAAGATGATTCCGTTTCCAACGAAATCTTCAAAGAGGTCTACATGTCCCCTTGCAGATGCCACAGAAAGAGAGTTTCAAAACTGCGCTCTCAAAAGGAGTGTTCAACTCCGTGAGTTGAATGCAGTCATCACAGAGAAGCTTCTGAGAATGCTTCTATCTAGTATTTAGGTGAAGATATTTCCTTTTCCACCACAAACCACAAAGCCCTCCAAACGTCCACTTGCAGATTCTAGAAAAAGAGTGTTTCATAGCTGCTCTTTCCAAAGGAAAGTTCAACTCTGGGAGTTGAATACAAACATCACCAAAAAGTTCCTGAGAATGCATCTGTCTAGTTTTTCTATGAAGCTATTCCCTTTACTACCATAGGCCTCAAAGCGCTCCAAATCTCCACTTGCACATTCCACAAGAAGAGTGTTTCCAAACTGCTCTATCAATAGGAATGTTCAACTCTGTGAGGTGAATGCAATCATCACAAAGCAGTTTCTGACAATGCTTCCGTTTAGTTAGGTGCATTTATCCCGTTTCCAACGAAATCCTCAGAGAGGTCCAAATATCCACTTGTAGATTCTACAAAAAGTGTGTCTCAAACCTGCTCCATCCAAAGGAATGTTCAGCTCTGTGAGTTCAACTCAACCATCACAAAGTATTTTCTGAGAATGCTTCTGTCTAGATTTATGCGAAGATGTACCCGTTTTGAACGAAGGCCACAGAGTGGTCCAAATATCCACTTGCAGATCCTACAAAAAGAGTGTTTCAAACCTGAACTATCAAAGGAAGGTTCAACTCTGGGATTTGAATGCAAACATCACCAAGAAGTTTCTGAGAATGCTTCTGTTTAGTTTTTATGTGAAGATATTCCCGTTTCCAAAGACATCTTCGGAGAGGTCCACATATCCACTTGCAGATTCCACAAAAAGAGAGTTTCAACACTGCTCTATCCATAGGAGGGTTCAACTCTGTGAGTTGAATGCAATCATCACAGAGAAGTTTCTGAGAAGGCTTCTCTCCAGTTTTTATGTGACCATAATTCGTTTTCCACCACAGGCCTGAAATCTCTCCAAATGTCCACTTGCAGACACTACGAAAGGCATGTTTCAGAACTACTCTATGAAAAGCAATGTGAAACTCTGGGAGTTGAACACAAACATCACAGAGAAGTTTCTGAGAATGCTTCTGTTTAGCTTTTCTGTGAAGATTATCCCGTTTCCAACGAAATCTTCAAAATAGGTCCAAATATACACTTGCAGATTCCACAGAAAGAGTGATTGGAAACTGCTGTTTGAAAAGGAACCTTCAACTCTGTGAGTTGAATGCAATCATCACAAAGAAGCTTCTGACTATGCTTCTATCTAGCTTTTACGGGAAGATAATTCCTTTTCCACCACAGGCCTCAAAGCCCTCCAAATGTCCACTTGCAGATTCTGGAAAAAGAGTGTTTCAAAGCTTCTCTCTCGAAAGGAAAGTTCAACTCTGTGAGTTGAATACAAGCATCACAAAGAAGTTTCTGAGAATGCTCTGTCTAGCTTTTATATGAAGCTATTTCCTTTACTACCATAGGCCTCAAAGCGGTCCATATCTCCACTTGCAGATTCTACACAAAGAGAGTTTCCAAACTGCTCTGTCAAAGGGAATGTTCAACTCTGTGACTTGAATGCAATCATCACAAAATAGTTTCTGAGAATGCTTTCTGTTTAGTTCTGTGTGGTTTATCCCGTTTCCAACGAAATCCTCAGAGAGGCCCACATATCCACTTGCACATTCTACAAATAGTGTGTTTCGAAACTGCTCCATCCAAAGGAATGTTCAGCTCTGTGAGTTAAACTCAGTCGTCACCAAGAGTTTTCTGTGAATGCTTCTGTTTTAGTTCTGTGCGGTTTATCCCGTTTCCAACGAAATCCTCAGAGAGGACCAAATATCCACTTGCAGTTTCTACAAAAAGAGTGTTTCAAAGCTGCACTATCAAAGAAAGGTTCAGCACTGTGAGTTGAATGCAAACATCACGAAGAGGGCTCTGAGAATGCTTCTGTTTAGTTCTGTGCGGTTTATCCCTTTTCCAACGAAATCCTCAGAGAGGACCAAATATCCACTTGCAGTTTCTACAAGAAGAGTGTTTCAAAGCTGAACTATCAAAGAAAGTTTCAGCACTGTGAGTTGAATGCAAACATCACGAAGAGGGTTCTGAGAATGCTTCTGTCTTCTTTCTATAGGAAGTTATTTCCTTTACTACGGTAGGCCTCAAAGAAGTGCAATTATCCCCTTGCAGTTTCTACAAAAAGAGTGTTTCAAACCTGAACTATCAAAGAAAGGTTCCACACTGTGAGTTGAATGCAGACATCACGAAGAAGGTTCTGAGAATGCTTCTGTTTAGTCAGCTGAAATTATCCCGTTTCCAACGAATTCCTCAGAGAGGTCCAAATATGCACTTGCAGATTCTGCAGAAAGTGTGTTTCTAAACTGCTACATCGCAAGGAATGTTCATCTCTGTGAGTTCCACTCAATCATCCCAAAGAATTTTCTGAGAAAGCTTCTGTCTAGATGTCGTGTGAAGATATACCCGTTTCGAACGAAGGACACAGAGTGGTCCAAATATCCACTTGTAGATCCTGCAAAAAGAGTGTTTCAAACGTGAACTTTGAAAGGAAAGTTCAACTCTGGGATTTGAATGCAAACATCACAAAGAAGATTCTGAGACTGCTTCTGTGTAGTTTTTATGTGAAGATGATTCCGTTTCCAACGAAATTTTCAAAGAGGTCTACATGTCCCCTTGCAGATGCCACAGAAAGAGAGTTTCAAAACTGCGCTCTCAAAAGGAGTGTTCAACTCCGTGAGTTGAATGCAGTCATCACAGAGAAGCTTCTGAGAATGCTTCTATCTAGTATTTAGGTGAAGATATTTCCTTTTCCACCACAAACCACAAAGCCCTCCAAACGTCCACTTGCAGATTCTAGAAAAACAGTGTTTCATAGCTGCTCTTTCCAAAGGAAAGTTCAACTCTGGGAGTTGAATACAAACATCACCAAAAAGTTCCTGAGAATGCATCTGTCTAGTTTTTCTATGAAGCTATTCCCTTTACTACCATAGGCCTCAAAGCGCTCCAAATCTCCACTTGCACATTCCACAACAAGAGTGTTTCCAAACTGCTCTATCAATAGGAATGTTCAACTCTGTGAGGTGAATGCAATCATCACAAAGCAGTTTCTGAGAATGCTTCCGTTTAGTTAGGTGCAGTTATCCCGTTTCCAACGAAATCCTCAGAGAGGTCCAAATATCCACTTGTAGATTCTACAAAAGGTGTGTCTCAAACCTGCTCCATCCAAAGGAATGTTCAGCTCTGTGAGTTAAACTCAATCATCACAAAGTATTTTCTGAGAATGCTTCTGTCTAGATTTTATGCGAAGATATACCCGTTTCGAACGAAGGCCACAGAGTGGTCCAAATATCCACTTGCAGATCCTACAAAAAGAGTGTTTCAAACCTGAACTATCAAAGGAAGGTTCAACTCTGGGATTTGAATGCAAACATCACCAAGAAGTTTCTGAGAATGCTTCTGTTTAGTTTTTATGTGAAGATATTCCCGTTTCCAAAGACATCTTCGGAGAGGTCCACATATCCACTTGCAGATTCCACAAAAAGAGAGTTTCAACACTGCTCTATCCATAGGAGGGTTCAACTCTGTGAGTTGAATGCAATCATCACAGAGAAGTTTCTGAGAAGGCTTCTCTCCAGTTTTTATGTGACCATAATTCGTTTTCCACCACAGGCCTGAAAGCGCTCCAAATGTCCACTTGCAGACACTACGAAAAGCATGTTTCAGAACTACTCTATGAAAAGCAACGTGAAACTCTGGGAGTTGAACACAAACATCACAGAGAAGTTTCTGAGAATGCTTCTGTTTTAGTTCTGTGCGTTTTATCCCGTTTCCAACGAAATCCTCAGAGAGGCCCAAATATCCACTTGCAGATTCCACAGAAAGAGTGATTGGAAACTGCTGTTTGAAAAGGAACCTTCAACTCTGTGAGTTGAATGCAATCATCACAAAGAAGTTTCTGACAATGCTTCTGTTTTAGTTCTGTGCGGTTTATCCCGTTTCCAACGAAATCCTCAGAGAGGACCAAACATCCACTTGCAGTTTCTACAAAAAGAGTGTTTCAAAGCTGCACTATCAAAGAAAGGTTCAGCACTGTGAGTTGAATGCAAACATCACGAAGAGGGCTCTGAGAATTCTTCTGTTTAGTTCTGTGCGGTTTATCCCGTTTCCAACGAAATCCTCAGAGAGGACCAAATATCCACTTGCAGTTTCTACAAGAAGAGTGTTTCAAAGCTGAACTATCAAAGAAAGGTTCAGCACTGTGAGTTGAATGCAAACATCACGAAGAGGGTTCTGAGAATGCTTCTGTCTTCTTTCTATAGGAAGTTATTTCCTTTACTACGGTAGGCCTCAAAGAAGTGCAATTATCCCCTTGCAGTTTCTACAAAAAGAGTGTTTCAAACCTGAACTATCAAAGAAAGGTTCCACACTGTGAGTTGAATGCAGACATCACGAAGAAGGTTCTGAGAATGCTTCTGTTTAGTCAGCTGAAATTATCCCGTTTCCAACGAATTCCTCAGAGAGGTCCAAATATGCACTTGCAGATTCTGCAGAAAGTGTGTTTCTAAACTGCTCCATCGCAAGGAATGTTCAGCTCTGTGAGTTCCACTCAATCATCCCAAAGAATTTTCTGAGAAAGCTTCTGTCTAGATGTCGTGTGAAGATATACCCGTTTCGAACGAAGGACACAGAGTGGTCCAAATATCCACTTGTAGATCCTGCAAAAAGAGTGTTTCAAACGTGAACTTTGAAAGGAAAGTTCAACTCTGGGATTTGAATGCAAACATCACAAAGAAGATTCTGAGACTGCTTCTGTATAGTTTTTATGTGAAGATGATTCCGTTTCCAACGAAATCTTCAAAGAGGTCTACATGTCCCCTTGCAGATGCCACAGAAAGAGAGTTTCAAAACTGCGCTCTCAAAAGGAGTGTTCAACTCCGTGAGTTGAATGCAGTCATCACAGAGAAGCTTCTGAGAATGCTTCTATCTAGTATTTAGGTGAAGATATTTCCTTTTCCACCACAAACCACAAAGCCCTCCAAACGTCCACTTGCAGATTCTAGAAAAAGAGTGTTTCATAGCTGCTCTTTCCAAAGGAAAGTTCAACTCTGGGAGTTGAATACAAACATCACCAAAAAGTTCCTGAGAATGCATCTGTCTAGTTTTTCTATGAAGCTATTCCCTTTACTACCATAGGCCTCAAAGCGCTCCAAATCTCCACTTGCACATTCCACAACAAGAGTGTTTCCAAACTGCTCTATCAATAGGAATGTTCAACTCTGTGAGGTGAATGCAACCATCACAAAGCAGTTTCTGAGAATGCTTCCGTTTAGTTAGGTGCAGTTATCCCGTTTCCAACGAAATCCTCAGAGAGGTCCAAATATCCACTTGTAGATTCTACAAAAAGTGTGTCTCAAACCTGCTCCATCCAAAGGAATGGTCAGCTCTGTGATTTAAACTCAATCATCACAAAGTATTTTCTGAGAATGCTTCTGTCTAGATTTTATGCGAAGATATACCCGTTTCGAACGAAGGCCACAGAGTGGTCCAAATAGCCACTTGCAGATCCTACAGAAAGAGTGTTTCAAACCTGAACTATCAAAGGAAGGTTCAACTCTGGGATTTGAATGCAAACATCACCAAGAAGTTTCTGAGAATGCTTCTGTTTAGTTTTTATGTGAAGATATTCCCGTTTCCAAAGACATCTTCGGAGAGGTCCACATATCCACTTGCAGATTCCACAAAAAGAGAGTTTCAACACTGCTCTATCCATAGGAGGGTTCAACTCTGTGAGTTGAATGCAATCATCACAGAGAAGTTTCTGAGAAGGCTTCTCTCCAGTTTTTATGTGACCATAATTCGTTTTCCACCACAGGCCTGAAAGCGCTCCAAATGTCCACTTGCAGACACTACGAAAAGCATGTTTCAGAACTACTCTATGAAAAGCAACGTGAAACTCTGGGAGTTGAACACAAACATCACAGAGAAGTTTCTGAGAATGCTTCTGTTTTAGTTCTGTGCGTTTTATCCCGTTTCCAACGAAATCCTCAGAGAGGCCCAAATATCCACTTGCAGATTCCACAGAAAGAGTGATTGGAAACTGCTGTTTGAAAAGGAACCTTCAACTCTGTGAGTTGAATGCAATCATCACAAAGAAGTTTCTGACAATGCTTCTGTTTTAGTTCTGTGCGGTTTATCCCGTTTCCAACGAAATCCTCAGAGAGGACCAAACATCCACTTGCAGTTTCTACAAAAAGAGTGTTTCAAAGCTGCACTATCAAAGAAAGGTTCAGCACTGTGAGTTGAATGCAAACATCACGAAGAGGGCTCTGAGAATTCTTCTGTTTAGTTCTGTGCGGTTTATCCCGTTTCCAACGAAATCCTCAGAGAGGACCAAATATCCACTTGCAGTTTCTACAAGAAGAGTGTTTCAAAGCTGAACTATCAAAGAAAGGTTCAGCACTGTGAGTTGAATGCAAACATCACGAAGAGGGTTCTGAGAATGCTTCTGTCTTCTTTCTATAGGAAGTTATTTCCTTTACTACGGTAGGCCTCAAAGAAGTGCAATTATCCCCTTGCAGTTTCTACAAAAAGAGTGTTTCAAACCTGAACTATCAAAGAAAGGTTCCACACTGTGAGTTGAATGCAGACATCACGAAGAAGGTTCTGAGAATGCTTCTGTTTAGTCAGCTGAAATTATCCCGTTTCCAACGAATTCCTCAGAGAGGTCCAAATATGCACTTGCAGATTCTGCAGAAAGTGTGTTTCTAAACTGCTACATCGCAAGGAATGTTCAGCTCTGTGAGTTCCACTCAATCATCCCAAAGAATTTTCTGAGAAAGCTTCTGTCTAGATGTCATGTGAAGATATACCCGTTTCGAACGAAGGACACAGAGTGGTCCAAATATCCACTTGTAGATCCTGCAAAAAGAGTGTTTCAAACGTGAACTTTGAAAGGAAAGTTCAACTCTGGGATTTGAATGCAAACATCACAAAGAAGATTCTGAGACTGCTTCTGTATAGTTTTGATGTGAAGATGATTCCGTTTCCAACGAAATCTTCAAAGAGGTCTACATGTCCCCTTGCAGATGCCACAGAAAGAGAGTTTCAAAACTGCGCTCTCAAAAGGAGTGTTCAACTCCGTGAGTTGAATGCAGTCATCACAGAGAAGCTTCTGAGAACGCTTCTATCTAGTATTTAGGTGAAGATATTTCCTTTTCCACCACAAACCACAAAGCCCTCCAAACGTCCACTTGCAGATTCTAGAAAAAGAGTGTTTCATAGCTGCTCTTTCCAAAGGAAAGTTCAACTCTGGGAGTTGAATACAAACATCACCAAAAAGTTCCTGAGAATGCATCTGTCTAGTTTTTCTATGAAGCTATTCCCTTTACTACCATAGGCCTCAAAGCGCTCCAAATCTCCACTTGCACATTCCACAACAAGAGTGTTTCCAAACTGCTCTATCAATAGGAATGTTCAACTCTGTGAGGTGAATGCAATCATCACAAAGCAGTTTCTGAGAATGCTTCCGTTTAGTTAGGTGCAGTTATCCCGTTTCCAACGAAATCCTCAGAGAGGTCCAAATATCCACTTGTAGATTCTACAAAAAGTGTGTCTCAAACCTGCTCCATCCAAAGGAATGGTCAGCTCTGTGATTTAAACTCAATCATCACAAAGTATTTTCTGAGAATGCTTCTGTCTAGATTTTATGCGAAGATATACCCGTTTCGAACGAAGGCCACAGAGTGGTCCAAATAGCCACTTGCAGATCCTACAGAAAGAGTGTTTCAAACCTGAACTATCAAAGGAAGGTTCAACTCTGGGATTTGAATGCAAACATCACCAAGAAGTTTCTGAGAATGCTTCTGTTTAGTTTTTATGTGAAGATATTCCCGTTTCCAAAGACATCTTCGGAGAGGTCCACATATCCACTTGCAGATTCCACAAAAAGAGAGTTTCAACACTGCTCTATCCATAGGAGGGTTCAACTCTGTGAGTTGAATGCAATCATCACAGAGAAGTTTCTGAGAAGGCTTCTCTCCAGTTTTTATGTGACCATAATTCGTTTTCCACCACAGGCCTGAAAGCGCTCCAAATGTCCACTTGCAGACACTACGAAAAGCATGTTTCAGAACTACTCTATGAAAAGCAACGTGAAACTCTGGGAGTTGAACACAAACATCACAGAGAAGTTTCTGAGAATGCTTCTGTTTTAGTTCTGTGCGTTTTATCCCGTTTCCAACGAAATCCTCAGAGAGGCCCAAATATCCACTTGCAGATTCCACAGAAAGAGTGATTGGAAACTGCTGTTTGAAAAGGAACCTTCAACTCTGTGAGTTGAATGCAATCATCACAAAGAAGTTTCTGACAATGCTTCTGTTTTAGTTCTGTGCGGTTTATCCCGTTTCCAACGAAATCCTCAGAGAGGACCAAACATCCACTTGCAGTTTCTACAAAAAGAGTGTTTCAAAGCTGCACTATCAAAGAAAGGTTCAGCACTGTGAGTTGAATGCAAACATCACGAAGAGGGCTCTGAGAATTCTTCTGTTTAGTTCTGTGCGGTTTATCCCGTTTCCAACGAAATCCTCAGAGAGGACCAAATATCCACTTGCAGTTTCTACAAGAAGAGTGTTTCAAAGCTGAACTATCAAAGAAAGGTTCAGCACTGTGAGTTGAATGCAAACATCACGAAGAGGGTTCTGAGAATGCTTCTGTCTTCTTTCTATAGGAAGTTATTTCCTTTACTACGGTAGGCCTCAAAGAAGTGCAATTATCCCCTTGCAGTTTCTACAAAAAGAGTGTTTCAAACCTGAACTATCAAAGAAAGGTTCCACACTGTGAGTTGAATGCAGACATCACGAAGAAGGTTCTGAGAATGCTTCTGTTTAGTCAGCTGAAATTATCCCGTTTCCAACGAATTCCTCAGAGAGGTCCAAATATGCACTTGCAGATTCTGCAGAAAGTGTGTTTCTAAACTGCTACATCGCAAGGAATGTTCAGCTCTGTGAGTTCCACTCAATCATCCCAAAGAATTTTCTGAGAAAGCTTCTGTCTAGATGTCGTGTGAAGATATACCCGTTTCGAACGAAGGACACAGAGTGGTCCAAATATCCACTTGTAGATCCTGCAAAAAGAGTGTTTCAAACGTGAACTTTGAAAGGAAAGTTCAACTCTGGGATTTGAATGCAAACATCACAAAGAAGATTCTGAGACTGCTTCTGTATAGTTTTTATGTGAAGATGATTCCGTTTCCAACGAAATCTTCAAAGAGGTCTACATGTCCCCTTGCAGATGCCACAGAAAGAGAGTTTCAAAACTGCGCTCTCAAAAGGAGTGTTCAACTCCGTGAGTTGAATGCAGTCATCACAGAGAAGCTTCTGAGAATGCTTCTATCTAGTATTTAGGTGAAGATATTTCCTTTTCCACCACAAACCACAAAGCCCTCCAAACGTCCACTTGCAGATTCTAGAAAAAGAGTGTTTCATAGCTGCTCTTTCCAAAGGAAAGTTCAACTCTGGGAGTTGAATACAAACATCACCAAAAAGTTCCTGAGAATGCATCTGTCTAGTTTTTCTATGAAGCTATTCCCTCTAATACCATAGGCCTCAAAGCGCTCCAAATCTCCACTTGCACATTCCACAACAAGAGTGTTTCCAAACTGCTCTATCAATAGAAATGTTCAACTCTGTGAGGTGAATGCAATCATCACAAAGCAGTTTCTGAGAATGCTTCCGTTTAGTTAGGTGCAGTTATCCCGTTCCCAACGAAATCCTCAGAGAGGTCCAAATATCCACTTGTAGATTCTACAAGAAGTGTGTCTCAAACCTGCTCCATCCAAAGGAATGTTCAGCTCTGTGAGTTCAACTCAATCATCACAAAGTATTTTCTGAGAATGCTTCTGTCTAGATTTTATGCGAAGATGTACCCGTTTCGAACGAAGGCCACAGAGTGGTCCAAATATCCACTTGCAGATCCTACAAAAAGAGTGTTTCAAACCTGAACTCTCAAAGGAAGGTTCAACTCTGGGATTTGAATGCAAACATCACCAAGAAGTTTCTGAGAATGCTTCTGTTTAGTTTTTATGTGAAGATATTCCCGTTTCCAAAGACATCTTCGGAGAGGTCCACATATCCACTTGCAGATTCCACAAAAAGAGAGTTTCAACACTGCTCTATCCATAGGAGGGTTCAACTCTGTGAGTTGAATGCAATCATCACAGAGAAGTTTCTGAGAAGGCTTCTCTCCAGTTTTTATGTGACCATAATTCGTTTTCCACCACAGGCCTGAAAGCGCTCCAAATGTCCACTTGCAGACACTACGAAAAGCATGTTTCAGAACTACTCTATGAGAAGCAACGTGAAACTCTGGGAGTTGAACACAAACATCACAGAGAAGTTTCTGAGAATGCTTCTGTTTAGCTTTTCTGTGAAGATTCTCCCGTTTCCAACGAAATCTTCAAAGAGGTCCAAATATCCACTTGCAGATTCCACAGAAAGAGTGATTGGAAACTGCTCTTTGAAAAGGAACCTTCAACTCTGTGACTTGAATGCAATCATCACAAAGAAGTTTCTGACAATGCTTCTATCTAGCTTTTACGGGAAGATAATTCCTTTTCCACCACAGGCCTCAAAGCCCTCCAAATGTCCACTTGCAGATTCTGGAAAAAGAGTGTTTCAAAGCTTCTCTCTCGAAAGGAAAGTTCAACTCTGTGAGTTGAATGCAAGCATCACAAAGAAGTTTCTGAGAATGCTACTGTCTAGCTTTTATATGAAGCTATTTCCTTTACTACCATAGGCCTCAAAGCGGTCCATATCTCCACTTGCAGATTCTACACAAAGAGAGTTTCCAAACTGCTCTGTCAAAGGGAATGTTCAACTCTGTGACTTGAATGCAATCATCACAAAGTAGTTTCTGAGAATGCTTCTGTTTAGTTCTGTGCGGTTTATCCCGTTTCCAACGAAATCCTCAGAGAGGCCTAAATATCCACTTGCACATTCTACAAATAGTGTGTTTCGAAACTGCTCCATCCAAAGGAATGTTCAGCTCTGTGAGTTAAACTCAGTCGTCACCAAGAGTTTTCTGTGAATGCTTCTGTTTTAGTTCTGTGCTGTTTATCCCGTTTCCAACGAAATCCTCAGAGAGGTCTAAATATCTACTTGCAGTTTCTACAGAAAGACCGTTTCAAACCTGAACTATCAAAGAAAGGTTCAACACTGTGAGTTGAATGCAAACATCACGAAGAAGGTTCTGAGAATGCTTCTGTTTAGTTCTGTGCGGTTTATCCCGTTTCCAACGAAATCCTCAGAGAGGACCAAATATCCACTTGCAGTTTCTACAAAAAGAGTGTTTCAAAGCTGAACTATCAAAGAAAGGTTCAGCACCGTGAGTTGAATGCAAACATCACGAAGAGTGTTCTGAGAATGCTTCTGTCTTCTTTTTATAGGAAGTTATCTCCTTTACTACGGTAGGCCTCAAAGAAGTGCAATGATCCCCTTGCAGTTTCTACAAAAAGAGTGTTTCAAACCTGAACTATCAAAGAAAGGTTCCACACTGTGAGTTGAATGCAGACATCATGAAGAAGGTTCTGAGAATGCTTCTGTTTAGTCAGCTGAAATTATCCCGTTTCCAACGAATTCCTCAGAGAGGTCCACATATGCACTTGCAGATTCTGCAGAAAGTGTGTTTCTAAACTGCTACATCGCAAGGAGTGTTCAGCTCTGTTTGCTCAACTCAATCATCCCAAAGAATTTTCTGAGAAAGCTTCTGTCTAGATGTCATGTGAAGATATACCCGTTTCGAACGAAGGACACAGAGTGGTCCAAATATCCACTTGCAGATCCTGCAAAAAGAGTGTTTCAAACGTGAACTTGGAAAGGAAAGTTCAACTCTGGGATTTGAATGCAAACATCACAAAGAAGATTCTGAGACTGCTTCTGTATAGTTTTGATGTGAAGATGATTCCGTTTCCAACGAAATCTTCAAAGAGGTCTACATGTCCCCTTGCAGATGCCACAGAAAGAGAGTTTCAAAACTGCGCTCTCAAAAGGAGTGTTCAACTCCGTGAGTTGAATGCAGTCATCACAGAGAAGCTTCTGAGAATGCTTCTATCTAGTATTTAGGTGAAGATATTTCCTTTTCCACCACAAACCACATAGCCCTCCAAACGTCCACTTGCAGATTCTAGAAAAAGAGTGTTTCATAGCTGCTCTTTCCAAAGGAAAGTTCAACTCTGGGAGTTGAATACAAACATCACCAAAAAGTTCCTGAGAATGCATCTGTCTAGTTTTTCTATGAAGCTATTCCCTTTACTACCATAGGCCTCAAAGCGCTCCAAATCTCCACTTGCACATTCCACAACAAGAGTGTTTCCAAACTGCTCTATCAATAGGAATGTTCAACTCTGTGAGGTGAATGCAATCATCACAAAGCAGTTTCTGAGAATGCTTCCGTTTAGTTAGGTGCAGTTATCCCGTTTCCAACGAAATCCTCAGAGAGGTCCAAATATCCACTTGTAGATTCTACAAAAAGTGTGTCTCAAACCTGCTCCATCCAAAGGAATGTTCAGCTCTGTGAGTTCAACTCAATCATCACAAAGTATTTTCTGAGAATGCTTTCTGTCTAGATTTTATGCGAAGATATACCCGTTTCGAACGAAGGCCACAGAGTGGTCCAAATAGCCACTTGCAGATCCTACAAAAAGAGTGTTTCAAACCTGAACTATCAAAGGAAGGTTCAACTCTGGGATTTGAATGCAAACATCACCAAGAAGTTTCTGAGAATGCTTCTGTTTAGTTTTTATGTGAAGATATTCCCGTTTCCAAAGACATCTTCGGAGAGGTCCACATATCCACTTGCAGATTCCACAAAAAGAGAGTTTCAACACTGCTCTATCCATAGGAGGGTTCAACTCTGTGAGTTGAATGCAATCATCACAGAGAAGTTTCTGAGAAGGCTTCTCTCCAGTTTTTATGTGACCATAATTCGTTTTCCACCACAGGCCTGAAAGCGCTCCAAATGTCCACTTGCAGACACTACGAAAAGCATGCTTCAGAACTACTCTATGAAAAGCAACGTGAAACTCTGGGAGTTGAACACAAACATCACAGAGAAGTTTCTGAGAATGCTTCTGTTTTATTTCTGTGCGTTTTATCCCGTTTCCAACGAAATCCTCAGAGAGGCCCAAATATCCACTTGCAGATTCCACAGAAAGAGTGATTGGAAACTGCTGTTTGAAAAGGAACCTTCAACTCTGTGAGTTGAATGCAATCATCACAAAGAAGTTTCTGACAATGCTTCTGTTTTAGTTCTGTGCGGTTTATCCCGTTTCCAACGAAATCCTCAGAGAGGACCAAACATCCACTTGCAGTTTCTACAAAAAGAGTGTTTCAAAGCTGCACTATCAAAGAAAGGTTCAGCACTGTGAGTTGAATGCAAACATCACGAAGAGGGCTCTGAGAATTCTTCTGTCTTCTTTTTATAGGAAGTTATTTCCTTTACTACGGGTACTCCTCAAAGAGTGCAATTATCCCCTTGCAGTTTCTACAAAAAGAGTGTTTCAAACCTGAACTATCAAAGAAAGGTTCCACACTGTGAGTTGAATGCAGACATCACGAAGAAGGTTCTGAGAATGCTTCTGTTTAGTCAGCTGAAATTATCCCGTTTCCAACGAATTCCTCACAGAGGTCCAAATATGCACTTGCAGATTCTGCAGAAAGTGTGTTTCTAAACTGCTACATCGCAAGGAATGCTCAGCTCTGTGAGTTCAACTCAATCATCCCAAAGAATTTTCTGAGAAAGCTTCTGTCTAGATGTCGTGTGAAGATATACCCGTTTCGAACGAAGGACACAGAGTGGTCCAAATATCCACTTGTAGATCCTGCAAAAAGAGTGTTTCAAACGTGAACTTTGAGAGGAAAGTTCAACTCTGGGATTTGAATGCAAACATCACAAAGAAGATTCTGAGACTGCTTCTGTATAGTTTTTATGTGAAGATGATTCCGTTTCCAACGAAATCTTCAAAGAGGTCTACATGTCCCCTTGCAGATGCCACAGAAAGAGAGTTTCAAAACTGCGCTCTCAAAAGGAGTGTTCAGACTCCGTGAGTTGAATGCAGTCATCACAGAGAAGCTTCTGAGAATGCTTCTATCTAGTATTTAGGTGAAGATATTTCCTTTTCCACCACAAACCACAAAGCCCTCCAAACGTCCACTTGCAGATTCTAGAAAAAGAGTGTTTCATAGCTGCTCTTTCCAAAGGAAAGTTCAACTCTGGGAGTTGAATACAAACATCACCAAAAAGTTCCTGAGAATGCATCTGTCTAGTTTTTCTATGAAGCTATTCCCTTTACTACCATAGGCCTCAAAGCACTCCAAATCACCACTTGCACATTCCACAAGAAGAGTGTTTCCAAACTGCTCTATCAATAGGAATGTTCAACTCTGTGAGGTGAATGCAATCATCACAAAGCAGTTTCTGAGAATTCTTCCGTTTAGTTAGGTGCAGTTATCCCGTTTCCAACGAAATCCTCAGAGAGGTCCAAATATCCACTTGTAGATTCTACAAAAAGTGTGTCTCAAACCTGCTCCATCCAAAGGAATGTTCAGCTCTGTGAGTTCAACTCAATCATCACAAAGTATTTTCTGAGAATGCTTCTGTCTAGATTTTATGCGAAGATATACCCGTTTCGAACGAAGGCCACAGAGTGGTCCAAATATCCACTTGCAGATCCTACAAAAAGAGTGTTTCAAACCTGAACTATCAAAGGAAGGTTCAACTCTGGGATTTGAATGCAAACATCACCAAGAAGTTTCTGAGAATGCTTCTGTTTAGTTTTTATGTGAAGATATTCCCGTTTCCAAAGACATCTTCGGAGAGGTCCACATATCCACTTGCAGATTCCACAAAAAGAGAGTTTCAACACTGCTCTATCCATAGGAGGGTTCAACTCTGTGAGTTGAATGCAATCATCACAGAGAAGTTTCTGAGAAGGCTTCTCTCCAGTTTTTATGTGACCATAATTCGTTTTCCACCACAGGCCTGAAAGCGCTCCAAATGTCCACTTGTAGACACTACGAAAAGCATGTTTCAGAACTACTCTATGAAAAGCAATGTGAAACTCTGGGAGTTGAACACAAACATCACAGAGAAGTTTCTGAGAATGCTTCTGTTTAGCTTTCCTGTGAAGATTCTCCCGTTTCCAACGAAATCTTCAAAATAGGTCCAAATATCCACTTGCAGATTCCACAGAAAGAGTGATTGGAAACTGCTCTTTGAAAAGGAACCTTCAACTCTGTGAGTTGAATGCAATCATCACAAAGAAGTTTCTGACAATGCTTCTATCTAGCTTTTACGGGAAGATAATTCCTTTTCCACCACAGGCCTCAAAGCCCTCCAAATGTCCACTTGCAGATTCTGGAAAAAGAGTGTTTCAAAGCTTCTCTCTCGAAAGGAAAGTTCAACTCTGTGAGTTGAATGCAAGCATCACAAAGAAGTTTCTGAGAATGCTACTGTCTAGCTTTTATATGAAGCTATTTCCTTTACTACCATAGGCCTCAAAGCGGTCCATATCTCCACTTGCAGATTCTACACAAAGAGAGTTTCCAAACTGCTCTGTCAAAGGGAATGTTCAACTCTGTGACTTGAATGCAATCATCACAAAGTAGTTTCTGAGAATGCTTCTGTTTAGTTCTGTGCGGTTTATCCTGTTTCCAACGAAATCCTCAGAGAGGCCCAAATATCCACTTGCACATTGTACAAATAGTGTGTTTCGAAACTGCTCCATCCAAAGGAATGTTCAGCTCTGTGAGTTAAACTCAGTCGTCACCAAGAGTTTTCTGTGAATGCTTCTGTTTTAGTTCTGTGCGGTTTATCCCGTTTCCAACGAAATCCTCAGAGAGGTCCAAATATCTACTTGCAGTTTCTACAGAAAGACCGTTTCCAACCTGAACTATCAAAGAAAGGTTCAACACTGTGAGTTGAATGCAAACATCACGAAGAAGGTTCTGAGAATGCTTCTGTTTAGTTCTGTGCGGTGTATCACGTCTACAACGAAATCCTCAGAGAGGAGCAAATATCCACTTACAGTTTCTACAAGAAGAGTGTTTCAAAGCTGAACTATCAAAGAAAGGTTCAGCACTGTGAGTTGAATGCAAACATCACGAAGAGGGTTCTGAGAATGCTTCTGTCTTCTTTCTATAGGAAGTTATTTCCTTTACTACGGTAGGCCTCAAAGAAGTGCAATTATCCCCTTGCAGTTTCTACAAAAAGAGTGTTTCAAACCTGAACTATCAAAGAAAGGTTCCACACTGTGAGTTGAATGCAGACATCACGAAGAAGGTTCTGAGAATGCTTCTGTTTAGTCAGCTGAAATTATCCCGTTTCCAACGAATTCCTCAGAGAGGTCCAAATATGCACTTGCAGATTCTGCAGAAAGTGTGTTTCTAAACTGCTACATCGCAAGGGATGTTCAGCTCTGTGAGTTCCACTCAATCATTCCAAAGAATTTTCTGAGAAAGCTTCTGTCTAGATGTCATGTGAAGATATACCCGTTTCGAAGGAAGGACACAGAGTGGTCCAAATATCCACTTGTAGATCCTGCAAAAAGAGTGTTTCAAACGTGAACTTTGAAAGGAAAGTTCAACTCTGGGATTTGAATGCAAACATCACAAAGAAGATTCTGAGACTGCTTCTGTATAGTTTTTATGTGAAGATGATTCCGTTTCCAACGAAATCTTCAAAGAGGTCTACATGTCCCCTTGCAGATGCCACAGAAAGGGAGTTTCAAAACTGCGCTCTCAAAAGGAGTGTTCAACTCCGTGAGTTGAATGCAGTCATCACAGAGAAGCTTCTGAGAATGCTTCTATCTAGTATTTAGGTGAAGATATTTCCTTTTCCACCACAAACCACAAAGCCCTCCAAACGTCCACTTGCAGATTCTAGAAAAAGAGTGTTTCATAGCTGCTCTTTCCAAAGGAAAGTTCAACTCTGGGAGTTGAATACAAACATCACCAAAAAGTTCCTGAGAATGCATCTGTCTAGTTTTTCTATGAAGCTATTCCCTTTACTACCATAGGCCTCAAAGCGCTCCAAATCTCCACTTGCACATTCCACAACAAGAGTGTTTCCAAACTGCTCTATCAATAGGAATGTTCAACTCTGGTGAGGTGAATGCAATCATCACAAAGCAGTTTCTGAGAATGCTTCCGTTTAGTTAGGTGCAGTTATCCTGTTTCCAACGAAATCCTCAGAGAGGTCCAAATATCCACTTGTAGATTCTACAAAAAGTGTGTCTCAAACCTGCTCCATCCAAAGGAATGGTCAGCTCTGTGATTTAAACTCAATCATCACAAAGTATTTTCTGAGAATGCTTCTGTCTAGATTTTATGCGAAGATATACCCGTTTCGAACGAAGGCCACAGAGTGGTCCAAATAGCCACTTGCAGATCCTACAGAAAGAGTGTTTCAAACCTGAACTATCAAAGGAAGGTTCAACTCTGGGATTTGAATGCAAACATCACCAAGAAGTTTCTGAGAATGCTTCTGTTAAGTTTTTATGTGAAGATATTCCCGTTTCCAAAGACATCTTCGGAGAGGTCCACATATCCACTTGCAGATTCCACAAAAAGAGAGTTTCAACACTGCTCTATCCATAGGAGGGTTCAACTCTGTGAGTTGAATGCAATCATCACAGAGAAGTTTCTGAGAAGGCTTCTCTCCAGTTTTTATGTGACCATAATTCGTTTTCCACCACAGGCCTGAAAGCGCTCCAAATGTCCACTTGCAGACACTACGAAAAGCATGTTTCAGAAGTACTCTATGAAAAGCAACGTGAAACTCTGGGAGTTGAACACAAACATCACAGAGAAGTTTCTGAGAATGCTTCTGTTTTAGTTCTGTGCGTTTTATCCCGTTTCCAACGAAATCCTCAGAGAGGCCCAAATATCCACTTGCAGATTCCACAGAAAGAGTGATTGGAAACTGCTGTTTGAAAAGGAACCTTCAACTCTGTGAGTTGAATGCAATCATCACAAAGAAGTTTCTGACAATGCTTCTGTTTTAGTTCTGTGCGGTTTATCCCGTTTCCAACGAAATCCTCAGAGAGGACCAAACATCCACTTGCAGTTTCTACAAAAAGAGTGTTTCAAAGCTGCACTATCAAAGAAAGGTTCAGCACTGTGAGTTGAATGCAAACATCACGAAGAGGGCTCTGAGAATTCTTCTGTTTAGTTCTGTGCGGTTTATCCCGTTTCCAACGAAATCCTCAGAGAGGACCAAATATCCACTTGCAGTTTCTACAAGAAGAGTGTTTCAAAGCTGAACTATCAAAGAAAGGTTCAGCACTGTGAGTTGAATGCAAACATCACGAAGAGGGTTCTGAGAATGCTTCTGTCTTCTTTCTATAGGAAGTTATTTCCTTTACTACGGTAGGCCTCAAAGAAGTGCAATTATCCCCTTGCAGTTTCTACAAAAAGAGTGTTTCAAACCTGAACTATCAAAGAAAGGTTCCACACTGTGAGTTGAATGCAGACATCACGAAGAAGGTTCTGAGAATGCTTCTGTTTAGTCAGCTGAAATTATCGCGTTTCCAACGAATTCCTCAGAGAGGTCCAAATATGCACTTGCAGATTCTGCAGAAAGTGTGTTTCTAAACTGCTCCATCGCAAGGAATGTTCAGCTCTGTGAGTTCAACTCAATCATCCCAAAGAATTTTCTGAGAAAGCTTCTGTCTAGATGTCATGTGAAGATATACCCGTTTCGAACGAAGGACACAGAGTGGTCCAAATATCCACTTGTAGATCCTGCAAAAAGAGTGTTTCAAACGTGAACTTTGAAAGGAAAGTTCAACTCTGGGATTTGAATGCAAACATCACAAAGAAGATTCTGAGACTGCTTCTGTATAGTTTTTATGTGAAGATGATTCCGTTTCCAACGAAATCTTCAAAGAGGTCTACATGTCCCCTTGCAGATGCCACAGAAAGAGAGTTTCAAAACTGCGCTCTCAAAAGGAGTGTTCAACTCCGTGAGTTGAATGCAGTCATCACAGAGAAGCTTCTGAGAATGCTTCTATCTAGTATTTAGGTGAAGATATTTCCTTTTCCACCACAAACCACAAAGCCCTCCAAACGTCCACTTGCAGATTCTAGAAAAAGAGTGTTTCATAGCTGCTCTTTCCAAAGGAAAGTTCAACTCTGGGAGTTGAATACAAACATCACCAAAAAGTTCCTGAGAATGCATCTGTCTAGTTTTTCTATGAAGCTATTCCCTTTACTACCATAGGCCTCAAAGCGCTCCAAATCTCCACTTGCACATTCCACAACAAGAGTGTTTCCAAACTGCTCTATCAATAGGAATGTTCAACTCTGTGAGGTGAATGCAATCATCACAAAGCAGTTTCTGAGAATGCTTCCGTTTAGTTAGGTGCAGTTATCCCGTTTCCAACGAAATCCTCAGAGAGGTCCAAATATCCACTTGTAGATTCTACAAAAAGTGTGTCTCAAACCTGCTCCATCCAAAGGAATGGTCAGCTCTGTGATTTAAACTCAATCATCACAAAGTATTTTCTGAGAATGCTTCTGTCTAGATTTTATGCGAAGATATACCCGTTTCGAACGAAGGCCACAGAGTGGTCCAAATAGCCACTTGCAGATCCTACAAAAAGAGTGTTTCAAACCTGAACTATCAAAGGAAGGTTCAACTCTGGGATTTGAATGCAAACATCACCAAGAAGTTTCTGAGAATGCTTCTGTTTAGTTTTTATGTGAAGATATTCCCGTTTCCAAAGACATCTTCGGAGAGGTCCACATATCCACTTGCAGATTCCACAAAAAGAGAGTTTCAACACTGCTCTATCCATAGGAGGGTTCAACTCTGTGAGTTGAATGCAATCATCACAGAGAAGTTTCTGAGAAGGCTTCTCTCCAGTTTTTATGTGACCATAATTCGTTTTCCACCACAGGCCTGAAAGCGCTCCAAATGTCCACTTGCAGACACTACGAAAAGCATGTTTCAGAACTACTCTATGAAAAGCAACGTGAAACTCTGGGAGTTGAACACAAACATCACAGAGAAGTTTCTGAGAATGCTTCTGTTTTAGTTCTGTGCGTTTTATCCCGTTTCCAACGAAATCCTCAGAGAGGCCCAAATATCCACTTGCAGATTCCACAGAAAGAGTGATTGGAAACTGCTGTTTGAAAAGGAACCTTCAACTCTGTGAGTTGAATGCAATCATCACAAAGAAGTTTCTGACAATGCTTCCATCTAGCTTTTACGGGAAGATAATTCCTTTTCCACCACAGGCCTCAAAGCCCTCCAAATCTACACTTGCAGATTCTGGAAAAAGAGTGTTTCAAAGCTTCTCTCTCGAAAGGAAAGTTCAACTCTGTGAGTTGAATGCAAGCATCACAAAGAAGTTTCTGAGAATGCTACTGTCTAGCTTTTATATGAAGCTATTTCCTTTACTACCATAGGCCTCAAAGCGGTCCATATCTCCACTTGCAGATTCTACACAAAGAGAGTTTCCAAACTGCTCTGTCAAAGGGAATGTTAAACTCTGTGACTTGAATGCAATCATCACAAAGTAGTTTCTGAGAATGCTTCTGTTTAGTTCTGTGCGGTTTATCCCGTTTCCAACGAAATCCTCAGAGAGGCCCAAATATCCACTTGCACATTCTACAAATAGTGTGTTTCGAAACTGCTCCATCCAAAGGAATGTTCAGCTCTGTGAGTTAAACTCAGTCATCACCAAGAGTTTTCTGTGAATGCTTCTGTTTTAGTTCTGTGCGGTTTATCCCGTTTCCAACGAAATCCTCAGAGAGGTCCAAATATCTACTTGCAGTTTCTACAGAAAGACCGTTTCCAACCTGAACTATCACAGAAAGGTTCAACACTGTGAGTTGAATGCAAACATCACGAAGAAGGTTCTGAGAATGCTTCTGTTTAGTTCTGTGCGGTTTATCCCGTTTCCAACGAAATCCTCAGAGAGGACCAAATATCCACTTGCAGTTTCTACAAGAAGAGTGTTTCAAAGCTGAACTATCAAAGAAAGGTTCAGCACTGTGAGTTGAATGCAAACATCACGAAGAGGGTTCTGAGAATGCTTCTGTCTTCTTTCTATAGGAAGTTATTTCCTTTACTACGGTAGGCCTCAAAGAAGTGCAATTATCCCCTTGCAGTTTCTACAAAAAGAGTGTTTCAAACCTGAACTATCAAAGAAAGGTTCCACACTGTGAGTTGAATGCAGACATCACGAAGAAGGTTCTGAGAATGCTTCTGTTTAGTCAGCTGAAATTATCCCGTTTCCAACGAATTCCTCAGAGAGGTCCAAATATGCACTTGCAGATTCTGCAGAAAGTGTGTTTCTAAACTGCTACATCGCAAGGAATGTTCAGCTCTGTGAGTTCAACTCAATCAACCCAAAGAATTTTCTGAGAAAGCTTCTGTCTAGATGTCATGTGAAGATATACCCGTTTCGAACGAAGGACACAGAGTGGTCCAAATATCCACTTGTAGATCCTGCAAAAAGAGTGTTTCAAACGTGAACTTTGAAAGGAAAGTTCAACTCTGGGATTTGAATGCAAACATCACAAAGAAGATTCTGAGACTGCTTCTGTATAGTTTTTATGTGAAGATGATTCCGTTTCCAACGAAATCTTCAAAGAGTTCTACATGTCCCCTTGCAGATGCCACAGAAAGAGAGTTTCAAAACTGCGCTCTCAAAAGGAGTGTTCAACTCCGTGAGTTGAATGCAGTCATCACAGAGAAGCTTCTGAGAATGCTTCTATCTAGTATTTAGGTGAAGATATTTCCTTTTCCACCACAAACCACAAAGCCCTCCAAACGTCCACTTGCAGATTCTAGAAAAAGAGTGTTTCATAGCTGCTCTTTCCAAAGGAAAGTTCAACTCTGGGAGTTGAATACAAACATCACCAAAAAGTTCCTGAGAATGCATCTGTCTAGTTTTTCTATGAAGCTATTCCCTTTACTACCATAGGCCTCAAAGCGCTCCAAATCTCCACTTGCACATTCCACAACAAGAGTGTTTCCAAACTGCTCTATCAATAGGAATGTTCAACTCTGTGAGGTGAATGCAATCATCACAAAGCAGTTTCTGAGAATGCTTCCGTTTAGTTAGGTGCAGTTATCCCGTTTCCAACGAAATCCTCAGAGAGGTCCAAATATCCACTTGTAGATTCTACAAAAAGTGTGTCTCAAACCTGCTCCATCCAAAGGAATGGTCAGCTCTGTGATTTAAACTCAATCATCACAAAGTATTTTCTGAGAATGCTTCTGTCTAGATTTTATGCGAAGATATACCCGTTTCGAACGAAGGCCACAGAGTGGTCCAAATAGCCACTTGCAGATCCTACAGAAAGAGTGTTTCAAACCTGAACTATCAAAGGAAGGTTCAACTCTGGGATTTGAATGCAAACATCACCAAGAAGTTTCTGAGAATGCTTCTGTTTAGTTTTTATGTGAAGATATTCCCGTTTCCAAAGACATCTTCGGAGAGGTCCACATATCCACTTGCAGGTTCCACAAAAAGAGAGTTTCAACACTGCTCTATCCATAGGAGGGTTCAACTCTGTGAGTTGAATGCAATCATCACAGAGAAGTTTCTGAGAAGGCTTCTCTCCAGTTTTTATGTGACCATAATTCGTTTTCCACCACAGGCCTGAAAGCGCTCCAAATGTCCACTTGCAGACACTACGAAAAGCATGTTTCAGAACTACTCTATGAAAAGCAACGGTGAAACTCTGGGAGTTGAACACAAACATCACAGAGAAGTTTCTGAGAATGCTTCTGTTTAGCTTTTCTGTGAAGATTCTCCCGTTTCCAACGAAATCTTCAAAGAGGTCGAAATATCCACCTGCAGATTCCACAGAAAGAGTGATTGGAAACTGCTGTTTGAAAAGGAACCTTCAACTCTGTGAGTTGAATGCAATCATCACAAAGAAGTTTCTGACAATGCTTCTATCTAGCTTTTACGGGAAGATAATTCCTTTTCCACCACAGGCCTCAAAGCCCTCCAAATGTCCACTTGCAGATTCTGGAAAAAGAGTGTTTCAAAGCTTCTCTCTCGAAAGGAAAGTTCAACTCTGTGAGTTGAATGCAAGCATCACAAAGAAGTTTCTGAGAATGCTACTGTCTAGCTTTTATATGAAGCTATTTCCTTTACTACCATAGGCCTCAAAGCGGTCCATATCTCCACTTGCAGATTCTACACAAAGAGAGTTTCCAAACTGCTCTGTCAAAGGGAATGTTCAACTCTGTGACTTGAATGCAATCATCACAAAGTAGTTTCTGAGAATGCTTCTGTTTAGTTCTGTGCGGTTTATCCCGTTTCCAACGAAATCCTCAGAGAGGCCTAAATATCCACTTGCACATTCTACAAATAGTGTGTTTCGAAACTGCTCCATCCAAAGGAATGTTCAGCTCTGTGAGTTAAACTCAGTCGTCACCAAGAGTTTTCTGTGAATGCTTCTGTTTTAGTTCTGTGCGGGTTATCCCGTTTCCAACGAAATCCTCAGAGAGGTCCAAATATCTACTTGCAGTTTCTACAGAAAGACCGTTTCAAACCTGAACTATCAAAGAAAGGTTCAACACTGTGAGTTGAATGCAAACATCACGAAGAAGGTTCTGAGAATGCTTCTGTTTTAGTTCTGTGCGGTTTATCCCGTTTCCAACGAAATCCTCAGAGAGGACCAAATATCCACTTGCAGTTTCTACAAGAAGAGTGTTTCAAAGCTGAACTATCAAAGAAAGGTTCAGCACTGTGTGTTGAATGCAAACATCACGAAGAGGGTTCTGAGAATGCTTCTGTTTAGTTCTGTGCAGTTTATCCCGTTTCCAACGAAATCCTCAGAGAGAACCAAATATCCACTTGCAGTTTCTACAAAAAGAGTGTTTCAAAGCTGAACTGTGAAAGAAAGGTTCAACACTGTGAGTTGAATGCAAACATCACGAAGAAGGTTCTGAGAATGCTTCTGTCTTCTTTTTATAGGAAGTTATTTCCTTTACTACGGTAGGCCTCAAAGAAGTGCAATTATCCCCTTGCAGTTTCTACAAAAAGAGTGTTTCAAACCTGAACTATCAAAGAAAGGTTCCACACTGTGAGTTGAATGCAGACATCACGAAGAAGGTTCTGAGAATGCTTCTGTTTAGTCAGCTGAAATTATCCCGTTTCCAACGAATTCCTCAGAGAGGTCCAAATATGCACTTGCAGATTCTGCAGAAAGTGTGTTTCTAAACTGCTACATCGCAAGGAATGTTCAGCTCCGTGAGTTCAACTCAATCATCCCAAAGAATTTTCTGAGAAAGCTTCTGTCTAGATGTCCTGTGAAGATATACCCGTTTCGAACGAAGGACACAGAGTGGTCCAAATATCCACTTGTAGATCCTGCAAAAAGAGTGTTTCAAACGTGAACTTTGAAAGGAAAGTTCAACTCTGGGATTTGAATGCAAACATCACAAACAAGATTCTGAGACTGCTTCTGTATAGTTTTTATGTGAAGATGATTCCGTTTCCAACGAAATCTTCAAAGAGGTCCACATGTCCCCTTGCGGATGCCACAGAAAGAGAGTTTCAAAACTGCGCTCTCAAAAGGAGTGTTCAACTCCGTGAGTTGAATGCAGTCATCACAGAGAAGCTTCTGAGAATGCTTCTATCTAGTATTTAGGTGAAGATATTTCCTTTTCCACCACAAACCACAAAGCCCTCCAAACGTCCACTTGCAGATTCTAGAAAAAGAGTGTTTCATAGCTGCTCTTTCCAAAGGAAAGTTCAACTCTGGGAGTTGAATACAAACATCACGAAAAGGTTCCTGAGAATGCATCTGTCTAGTTTTTCTATGAAGCTATTCCCTTTACTACCACAGGCCTCAAAGCGCTCCAAATCTCCACTTGCACATTCCACAACAAGAGTGTTTCCAAACTGCTCTATCAATAGGAATGTTCAACTCTGTGAGGTGAATGCAATCATCACAAAGCAGTTTCTGAGAATGCTTCCGTTTAGTTAGGTGCAGTTATCCCGTTTCCAACGAAATCCTCAGAGAGGTCCAAATATCCACTTGTAGATTCTACAAAAAGTGTGTCTCAAACCTGCTCCATCCAAAGGAATGGTCAGCTCTGTGATTTAAACTCAATCATCACAAAGTATTTTCTGAGAATGCTTCTGTCTAGATTTTATGCGAAGATATACCCGTTTCGAACGAAGGCCACAGAGTGGTCCAAATAGCCACTTGCAGATCCTACAGAAAGAGTGTTTCAAACCTGAACTATCAAAGGAAGGTTCAACTCTGGGATTTGAATGCAAACATCACCAAGAAGTTTCTGAGAATGCTTCTGTTTAGTTTTTATGTGAAGATATTCCCGTTTCCAAAGACATCTTCGGAGAGGTCCACATATCCACTTGCAGGTTCCACAAAAAGAGAGTTTCAACACTGCTCTATCCATAGGAGGGTTCAACTCTGTGAGTTGAATGCAATCATCACAGAGAAGTTTCTGAGAAGGCTTCTCTCCAGTTTTTATGTGACCATAATTCGTTTTCCACCACAGGCCTGAAAGCGCTCCAAATGTCCACTTGCAGACACTACGAAAAGCATGTTTCAGAACTACTCTATGAAAAGCAACGTGAAACTCTGGGAGTTGAACACAAACATCACAGAGAAGTTTCTGAGAATGCTTCTGTTTTAGTTCTGTGCGTTTTATCCCGTTTCCAACGAAATCCTCAGAGAGGCCCAAATATCCACTTGCAGATTCCACAGAAAGAGTGATTGGAAACTGCTGTTTGAAAAGGAACCTTCAACTCTGTGAGTTGAATGCAATCATCACAAAGAAGTTTCTGACAATGCTTCTGTTTTAGTTCTGTGCGGCTTATCCCGTTTCCAACGAAATCCTCAGAGAGGACCAAATATCCACTTGCAGTTTCTACAAAAAGAGTGTTTCAAAGCTGCACTATCAAAGAAAGGTTCAGCACTGTGAGTTGAATGCAAACATCACGAAGAGGGCTCTGAGAATTCTTCTGTTTAGTTCTGTGCGGTTTATCCCGTTTCCAACGAAATCCTCAGAGAGGACCAAATATCCACTTGCAGTTTCTACAAGAAGAGTGTTTCAAAGCTGAACTATCAAAGAAAGGTTCAGCACTGTGAGTTGAATGCAAATATCACGAAGAGGGTTCTGAGAATGCTTCTGTCTTCTTTCTATAGGAAGTTATTTCCTTTACTACGGTAGGCCTCAAAGAAGTGCAATTATCCCCTTGCAGTTTCTACAAAAAGAGTGTTTCAAACCTGAACTATCAAAGTAAGGTTCCACACTGTGAGTTGAATGCAGACATCACGAAGAAGGTTCTGAGAATGCTTCTGTTTAGTCAGCTGAAATTATCCCGTTTCCAACGAATTCCTCAGAGAGGTCCAAATATGCACTTGCAGATTCTGCAGAAAGTGTGTTTCTAAACTGCTCCATCGCAAGGAATGTTCAGCTCTGTGAGTTCCACTCAATCATCCCAAAGAATTTTCTGAGAAAGCTTCTGTCTAGATGTCGTGTGAAGATATACCCGTTTCGAACGAAGGACACAGAGTGGTCCAAATATCCACTTGTAGATCCTGCAAAAAGAGTGTTTCAAACGTGAACTTTGAAAGGAAAGTTCAACTCTGGGATTTGAATGCAAACATCACAAAGAAGATTCTGAGACTGCTTCTGTATAGTTTTTATGTGAAGATGATTCCGTTTCCAACGAAATCTTCAAAGAGGTCTACATGTCCCCTTGCAGATGCCACAGAAAGAGAGTTTCAAAACTGCGCTCTCAAAAGGAGTGTTCAACTCCGTGAGTTGAATGCAGTCATCACAGAGAAGCTTCTGAGAATGCTTCTATCTAGTATTTAGGTGAAGATATTTCCTTTTCCACCACAAACCACAAAGCCCTCCAAACGTCCACTTGCAGATTCTAGAAAAAGAGTGTTTCATAGCTGCTCTTTCCAAAGGAAAGTTCAACTCTGGGAGTTGAATACAAACATCACCAAAAGGTTCCTGAGAATGCATCTGTCTAGTTTTTCTATGAAGCTATTCCCTTTACTACCATAGGCCTCAAAGCGCTCCAAATCTCCACTTGCACATTCCACAACAAGAGTGTTTCCAAACTGCTCTATCAATAGGAATGTTCAACTCTGTGAGGTGAATGCAACCATCACAAAGCAGTTTCTGAGAATGCTTCCGTTTAGTTAGGTGCAGTTATCCCGTTTCCAACGAAATCCTCAGAGAGGTCCAAATATCCACTTGTAGATTCTACAAAAAGTGTGTCTCAAACCTGCTCCATCCAAAGGAATGGTCAGCTCTGTGATTTAAACTCAATCATCACAAAGTATTTTCTGAGAATGCTTCTGTCTAGATTTTATGCGAAGATATACCCGTTTCGAACGAAGGCCACAGAGTGGTCCAAATAGCCACTTGCAGATCCTACAGAAAGAGTGTTTCAAACCTGAACTATCAAAGGAAGGTTCAACTCTGGGATTTGAATGCAAACATCACCAAGAAGTTTCTGAGAATGCTTCTGTTTAGTTTTTATGTGAAGATATTCCCGTTTCCAAAGACATCTTCGGAGAGGTCCACATATCCACTTGCAGATTCCACAAAAAGAGAGTTTCAACACTGCTCTATCCATAGGAGGGTTCAACTCTGTGAGTTGAATGCAATCATCACAGAGAAGTTTCTGAGAAGGCTTCTCTCCAGTTTTTATGTGACCATAATTCGTTTTCCACCACAGACCTGAAAGCGCTCCAAATGTCCACTTGCAGACACTACGAAAAGCATGTTTCAGAACTACTCTATGAGAAGCAATGTGAAACTCTGGGAGTTGAACACAAACATCACAGAGAAGTTTCTGAGAATGCTTCTGTTTAGCTTTTCTGTGAAGATTCTCCCGTTTCCAACGAAATCTTCAAAGAGGTCCAAATATCCACTTGCAGATTCCACAGAAAGAGTGATTGGAAACTGCTCTTTGAAAAGGAACCTTCAACTCTGTGAGTTGAATGCAATCATCACAAAGAAGTTTCTGACAATGCTTCTATCTAGCTTTTACGGGAAGAAAATTCCTTTTCCACCACAGGCCTCAAAGCCCTCCGAATGTCCACTTGCAGATTCTGGAAAAAGAGTGTTTCAAAGCTTCTCTCTCGAAAGGAAAGTTCAACTCAGTGAGTTGAATGCAAGCATCACAAAGAAGTTTCTGAGAATGCTACTGTCTAGCTTTTATATGAAGCTATTTCCTTTACTACCATAGGCCTCAAAGCGTTCCATATCTCCACTTGCAGATTCTACACAAAGAGAGTTTCCAAACTGCTCTGTCAAAGGGAATGTTCAACTCTGTGACTTGAATGCAATCATCACAAAGTAGTTTCTGAGAATGCTTCTGTTTTAGTTCTGTGCGTTTTATCCCGTTTCCAACGAAATCCTCAGAGAGGCCCAAATATCCACTTGCAGATTCTACAAATAGTGTGTTTCGAAACTGCTCCATCCAAAGGAATGTTCAGCTCTGTGAGTTAAACTCAGTCGTCACCAAGAGTTTTCTGTGAATGCTTCTGTTTTAGTTCTGTGTGGTTTATCCCGTTTCCAACGAAATCCTCAGAGAGGACCAAATATCCACTTGCAGTTTCTACAAAAAGAGTGTTTCAAAGCTGCACTATCAAAGAAAGGTTCAGCACTGTGAGTTGAATGCAAACATCACGAAGAGGGCTCTGAGAGTTCTTCTGTTTAGTTCTGTGCGGTTTATCCCGTTTCCAACGAAATCCTCAGAGAGGACCAAATATCCACTTGCAGTTTCTACAAGAAGAGTGTTTCAAAGCTGAACTATCAAAGAAAGGTTCAGCACTGTGAGTTGAATGCAAACATCACGAAGAGGGTTCTGAGAATGCTTCTGTCTTCTTTCTATAGGAAGTTATTTCCTTTACTACGGTAGGCCTCAAAGAAGTGCAATTATCCCCTTGCAGTTTCTACAAAAAGAGTGTTTCAAACCTGAACTATCAAAGAAAGGTTCCACACTGTGAGTTGAATGCAGACATCACGAAGAAGGTTCTGAGAATGCTTCTGTTTAGTCAGCTGAAATTATCCCGTTTCCAACGAATTCCTCAGAGAGGTCCAAATATGCACTTGCAGATTCTGCAGAAAGTGTGTTTCTAAACTGCTACATCGCAAGGAATGTTCAGCTCTGTGAGTTCCACTCAATCATCCCAAAGAATTTTCTGAGAAAGCTTCTGTCTAGATGTCGTGTGAAGATATACCCGTTTCGAACGAAGGACACAGAGTGGTCCAAATATCCACTTGTAGATCCTGCAAAAAGAGTGTTTCAAACGTGAACTTTGAAAGGAAAGTTCAACTCTGGGATTTGAATGCAAACATCACAAAGAAGATTCTGAGACTGCTTCTGTATAGTTTTTATGTGAAGATGATTCCGTTTCCAACGAAATCTTCAAAGAGGTCTACATGTCCCCTTGCAGATGCCACAGAAAGAGAGTTTCAAAACTGCGCTCTCAAAAGGAGTGTTCAACTCCGTGAGTTGAATGCAGTCATCACAGAGAAGCTTCTGAGAATGCTTCTGTCTAGTATTTAGGTGAAGATATTTCCTTTTCCACCACAAACCACAAAGCCCTCCAAACGTCCACTTGCAGATTCTAGAAAAAGTGTGTTTCATAGCTGCTCTTTCCAAAGGAAAGTTCAACTCTGGGAGTTGAATACAAACATCACCAAAAAGTTCCTGAGAATGCATCTGTCTAGTTTTTCTATGAAGCTATTCCCTTTACTACCATAGGCCTCAAAGCGCTCCAAATCTCCACTTGCACATTCCACAACAAGAGTGTTTCCAAACTGCTCTATCAATAGGAATGTTCAACTCTGTGAGGTGAATGCAATCATCACAAAGCAGTTTCTGAGAATGCTTCCGTTTAGTTAGGTGCAGTTATCCCGTTTCCAACGAAATCCTCAGAGAGGTCCAAATATCCACTTGTAGATTCTACAAAAAGTGTGTCTCAAACCTGCTCCATCCAAAGGAATGGTCAGCTCTGTGATTTAAACTCAATCATCACAAAGTATTTTCTGAGAATGCTTCTGTCTAGATTTTATGCGAAGATATACCCGTTTCGAACGAAGGCCACAGAGTGGTCCAAATAGCCACTTGCAGATCCTACAGAAAGAGTGTTTCAAACCTGAACTATCAAAGGAAGGTTCAACTCTGGGATTTGAATGCAAACATCACCAAGAAGTTTCTGAGAATGCTTCTGTTTAGTTTTTATGTGAAGATATTCCCGTTTCCAAAGACATCTTCGGAGAGGTCCACATATCCACTTGCAGATTCCACAAAAAGAGAGTTTCAACACTGCTCTATCCATAGGAGGGTTCAACTCTGTGAGTTGAATGCAATCATCACAGAGAAGTTTCTGAGAAGGCTTCTCTCCAGTTTTTATGTGACCATAATTCGTTTTCCACCACAGGCCTGAAAGCGCTCCAAATGTCCACTTGCAGACACTACGAAAAGCATGTTTCAGAACTACTCTATGAAAAGCAACGTGAAACTCTGGGAGTTGAACACAAACATCACAGAGAAGTTTCTGAGAATGCTTCTGTTTTAGTTCTGTGCGTTTTATCCCGTTTCCAACGAAATCCTCAGAGAGGCCCAAATATCCACTTGCAGATTCCACAGAAAGAGTGATTGGAAACTGCTGTTTGAAAAGGAACCTTCAACTCTGTGAGTTGAATGCAATCATCACAAAGAAGTTTCTGACAATGCTTCTGTTTTAGTTCTGTGCGGTTTATCCCGTTTCCAACGAAATCCTCAGAGAGGACCAAACATCCACTTGCAGTTTCTACAAAAAGAGTGTTTCAAAGCTGCACTATCAAAGAAAGGTTCAGCACTGTGAGTTGAATGCAAACATCACGAAGAGGGCTCTGAGAATTCTTCTGTTTAGTTCTGTGCGGTTTATCCCGTTTCCAACGAAATCCTCAGAGAGGACCAAATATCCACTTGCAGTTTCTACAAGAAGAGTGTTTCAAAGCTGAACTATCAAAGAAAGGTTCAGCACTGTGAGTTGAATGCAAACATCACGAAGAGGGTTCTGAGAATGCTTCTGTCTTCTTTCTATAGGAAGTTATTTCCTTTACTACGGTAGGCCTCAAAGAAGTGCAATTATCCCCTTGCAGTTTCTACAAAAAGAGTGTTTCAAACCTGAACTATCAAAGAAAGGTTCCACACTGTGAGTTGAATGCAGACATCACGAAGAAGGTTCTGAGAATGCTTCTGTTTAGTCAGCTGAAATTATCCCGTTTCCAACGAATTCCTCAGAGAGGTCCAAATATGCACTTGCAGATTCTGCAGAAAGTGTGTTTCTAAACTGCTACATCGCAAGGAATGTTCAGCTCTGTGAGTTCCACTCAATCATCCCAAAGAATTTTCTGAGAAAGCTTCTGTCTAGATGTCGTGTGAAGATATACCCGTTTCGAACGAAGGACACAGAGTGGTCCAAATATCCACTTGTAGATCCTGCAAAAAGAGTGTTTCAAACGTGAACTTTGAAAGGAAAGTTCAACTCTGGGATTTGAATGCAAACATCACAAAGAAGATTCTGAGACTGCTTCTGTATAGTTTTTATGTGAAGATGATTCCGTTTCCAACGAAATCTTCAAAGAGGTCTACATGTCCCCTTGCAGATGCCACAGAAAGAGAGTTTCAAAACTGCGCTCTCAAAAGGAGTGTTCAACTCCGTGAGTTGAATGCAGTCATCACAGAGAAGCTTCTGAGAATGCTTCTATCTAGTATTTAGGTGAAGATATTTCCTTTTCCACCACAAACCACAAAGCCCTCCAAACGTCCACTTGCAGATTCTAGAAAAAGAGTGTTTCATAGCTGCTCTTTCCAAAGGAAAGTTCAACTCTGGGAGTTGAATACAAACATCACCAAAAAGTTCCTGAGAATGCATCTGTCTAGTTTTTCTATGAAGCTATTCCCTTTACTACCACAGGCCTCAAAGCGCTCCAAATCTCCACTTGCACATTCCACAACAAGAGTGTTTCCAAACTGCTCTATCAATAGGAATGTTCAACTCTGTGAGGTGAATGCAATCATCACAAAGCAGTTTCTGAGAATGCTTCCGTTTAGTTAGGTGCAGTTATCCCGTTTCCAACGAAATCCTCAGAGAGGTCCAAATATCCACTTGTAGATTCTACAAAAAGTGTGTCTCAAACCTGCTCCATCCAAAGGAATGGTCAGCTCTGTGATTTAAACTCAATCATCACAAAGTATTTTCTGAGAATGCTTCTGTCTAGATTTTATGCGAAGATATACCCGTTTCGAACGAAGGCCACAGAGTGGTCCAAATAGCCACTTGCAGATCCTACAGAAAGAGTGTTTCAAACCTGAACTATCAAAGGAAGGTTCAACTCTGGGATTTGAATGCAAACATCACCAAGAAGTTTCTGAGAATGCTTCTGTTTAGTTTTTATGTGAAGATATTCCCGTTTCCAAAGACATCTTCGGAGAGGTCCACATATCCACTTGCAGATTCCACAAAAAGAGAGTTTCAACACTGCTCTATCCATAGGAGGGTTCAACTCTGTGAGTTGAATGCAATCATCACAGAGAAGTTTCTGAGAAGGCTTCTCTCCAGTTTTTATGTGACCATAATTCGTTTTCCACCACAGGCCTGAAAGCGCTCCAAATGTCCACTTGCAGACACTACGAAAAGCATGTTTCAGAACTACTCTATGAAAAGCAACGTGAAACTCTGGGAGTTGAACACAAACATCACAGAGAAGTTTCTGAGAATGCTTCTGTTTAGCTTTTCTGTGAAGATTCTCCCGTTTCCAACGAAATCTTCAAAGAGGTCGAAATATCCACTTGCAGATTCCACAGAAAGAGTGATTGGAAACTGCTGTTTGAAAAGGAACCTTCAACTCTGTGAGTTGAATGCAATCATCTCAAAGAAGTTTCTGACAATGCTTCTATCTAGCTTTTACGGGAAGATAATTCCTTTTCCTCCACAGGCCTCAAAGCTCCCCAAATGTCCACTTGCACATTCTGGAAAAAGAGTGTTTCAAAGCTTCTCTCTCGAAAGGAAAGTTCAACTCTGTGAGTTGAATGCAAGCATCACAAAGAAGTTTCTGAGAATGCTACTGTCTAGGTTTTATATGAAGCTATTTCCTTTACTACCATAGGCCTCAAAGCGGTCCATATCTCCACTTGCAGATTCTACACAAAGAGAGTTTCCAAACTGCTCTGTCAAAGGGAATGTTCAACTCTGTGACTTGAATGCAATAATCACAAAGTAGTTTCTGAGAATGCTTCTGTTTTAGTTCTGTGCGTTTTATCCCGTTTCCAACGAAATCCTCAGAGAGGCCCAAATATCCACTTGCAGATTCTACAAATAGTGTGTTTCGAAACTGCTCCATCCAAAGGAATGTTCAGCTCTGTGAGTTAAACTCAGTCGTCACCAAGAGTTTTCTGTGAATGCTTCTGTTTTAGTTCTGTGCGGTTTATCCCGTTTCCAACGAAATCCTCAGAGAGGACCAAATATCCACTTGCAGTTTCTACAAAAAGAGTGTTTCAAAGCTGCACTATCAAAGAAAGGTTCAGCACTGTGAGTTGAATGCAAACATCACGAAGAGGGCTCTGAGAATTCTTCTGTTTAGTTCTGTGCGGTTTATCCCGTTTCCAACGAAATCCTCAGAGAGGACCAAATATCCACTTGCAGTTTCTACAAGAAGAGTGTTTCAAAGCTGAACTATCAAAGAAAGGTTCAGCACTGTGAGTTGAATGCAAACATCACGAAGAGGGTTCTGAGAATGCTTCTGTCTTCTTTCTATAGGAAGTTATTTCCTTTACTACGGTAGGCCTCAAAGAAGTGCAATTATCCCCTTGCAGTTTCTACAAAAAGAGTGTTTCAAACCTGAACTATCAAAGAAAGGTTCCACACTGTGAGTTGAATGCAGACATCACGAAGAAGGTTCTGAGAATGCTTCTGTTTAGTCAGCTGAAATTATCCCGTTTCCAACGAATTCCTCAGAGAGGTCCAAATATGCACTTGCAGATTCTGCAGAAAGTGTGTTTCTAAACTGCTACATCGCAAGGAATGTTCAGCTCTGTGAGTTCCACTCAATCATCCCAAAGAATTTTCTGAGAAAGCTTCTGTCTAGATGTCGTGTGAAGATATACCCGTTTCGAACGAAGGACACAGAGTGGTCCAAATATCCACTTGTAGATCCTGCAAAAAGAGTGTTTCAAACGTGAACTTTGAAAGGAAAGTTCAACTCTGGGATTTGAATGCAAACATCACAAAGAAGATTCTGAGACTGCTTCTGTATAGTTTTTATGTGAAGATGATTCCGTTTCCAACGAAATCTTCAAAGAGGTCTACATGTCCCCTTGCAGATGCCACAGAAAGAGAGTTTCAAAACTGCGCTCTCAAAAGGAGTGTTCAACTCCGTGAGTTGAATGCAGTCATCACAGAGAAGCTTCTGAGAATGCTTCTATCTAGTATTTAGGTGAAGATATTTCCTTTTCCACCACAAACCACAAAGCCCTCCAAACGTCCACTTGCAGATTCTAGAAAAAGAGTGTTTCATAGCTGCTCTTTCCAAAGGAAAGTTCAACTCTGGGAGTTGAATACAAACATCACCAAAAAGTTCCTGAGAATGCATCTGTCTAGTTTTTCTATGAAGCTATTCCCTTTACTACCATAGGCCTCAAAATGCTCCAAGTCTCCACTTGCACATTCCACAACAAGAGTGTTTCCAAACTGCTCTATCAATAGGAATGTTCAACTCTGTGAGGTGAATGCAATCATCACAAAGCAGTTTCTGAGAATGCTTCCGTTTAATTAGGTGCAGTTATCGCGTTTCCAACGAAATCCTCAGAGAGGTCCAAATATCCACTTGTAGTTTCTACAAAAAGTGTGTCTCAAACCTGCTCCATCCAAAGGAATGTTCAGCTCTGTGAGTTAAACTCAATCATCACAAAGTATTTTCTGAGAATGCTTCTGTCTAGATTTTATGGGAAGATGTACCCGTTTCGAACGAAGGCCACAGAGTGGTCCAAATATCCACTTGCAGATCCTACAAAAAGAGTGTTTCAAACCTGAACTATCAAAGGAAGGTTCAACTCTGGGATTTGAATGCAAACATCACCAAGAAGTTTCTGAGAATGCTTCTGTTTAGTTTTTATGTGAAGATATTCCCGTTTCCAAAGACATCTTCGGAGAGGTCCACATATCCACTTGCAGATTCCACAAAAAGAGAGTTTCAACAATGCTCTATCCATAGGAGGGTTCAACTCTGTGAGTTGAATGCAATCATCACAGAGAAGTTTCTGAGAAGGCTTCTCTCCAGTTTTTATGTGACCATAATTCGTTTTCCACCACAGGCCTGAAAGCGCTCCAAATGTCCACTTGCAGACACTACGAAAAGCATGTTTCAGAACTACTCTATGAAAAGCAATGTGAAACTCTGGGAGTTGAACACAAACATCACAGAGAAGTTTCTGAGAATGCTTCTCTTTAGCTTTTCTGTGAAGATTCTCCCGTTTCCAACGAAATCTTCAAAGAGGTCCAAATATCCACTTGCAGATTCCACAGAAAGAGTGATTGGAAACTGCTCTTTGAAAAGGAACCTTCAACTCTGTGAGTTGAATGCAATCATCACAAAGAAGTTTCTGACAATGCTTCTATCTAGCTTTTACGGGAAGATAATTCCTTTTCCACCACAGGCCTCAAAGCCCTCCAAATGTCCACTTGCAGATTCTGGAAAAAGAGTGTTTCAAAGCTTCTCTCTCGAAAGGAAAGTTCAACTCTGTGAGTTGAATGCAAGCATCACAAAGAAGTTTCTGAGAATGCTACTGTCTAGTTTTTCTATGAAGCTATTCCCTTTACTACCATAGGCCTCAAAGCGGTCCATATCTCCACTTGCAGATTCTACACAAAGAGAGTTTCCATACTGCTCTGTCAAACGGAATGTTCAACTCTGTGACTTGAATGCAATCATCACAAAGTAGTTTCTGAGAATGCTTCTGTTTAGTTCTGTGCGATTTACCCGTTTCCAACGAAATCCTCAGAGAGGCCCACATATCCACTTGCAGATTCTACAAATAGTGTGTTTCGAAACTGCTCCATCCAAAGGAATGTTCAGCTCTGTGAGTTAAACTCAGTCGTCACCAAGAGTTTTCTGTGAATGCTTCTGTTTTAGTTCTGTGCGGTTTATCCCGTTTCCAACGAAATCCTCAGAGAGGTCCAAATATCTACTTGCAGTTTCTACAGAAAGATCGTTTCAAACCTGAACTATCAAAGAAAGGTTCAACACTGTGAGTTGAATGCAAACATCACGAAGAAGGTTCTGAGAATGCTTCTGTTTAGTTCTGTGCGGTTTATCCCGTTTCCCAACGAAATCCTCAGAGAGGACCAAATATCCACTTGCAGTTTCTACAAGAAGAGTGTTTCAAAGCTGAACTATCAAAGAAAGGTTCAGCACTGTGAGTTGAATGCAAACATCACGAAGAGGGTTCTGAGAATGCTTCTGTCTTCTTTCTATAGGAAGTTATTTCCTTTACTACGGTAGGCCTCAAAGAAGTGCAATTATCCCCTTGCAGTTTCTACAAAAAGAGTGTTTCAAACCTGAACTATCAAAGAAAGGTTCCACACTGTGAGTTGAATGCAGACATCACGAAGAAGGTTCTGAGAATGCTTCTGTTTAGTCAGCTGAAATTATCCCGTTTCCAACGAATTCCTCAGAGAGGTCCAAATATGCACTTGCAGATTCTGCAGAAAGTGTGTTTCTAAACTGCTCCATCGCAAGGAATGTTCAGCTCTGTGAGTTCCACTCAATCATCCCAAAGAATTTTCTGAGAAAGCTTCTGTCTAGATGTCGTGTGAAGATATACCCGTTTCGAACGAAGGACACAGAGTGGTCCAAATATCCACTTGTAGATCCTGCAAAAAGAGTGTTTCAAACGTGAACTTTGAAAGGAAAGTTCAACTCTGGGATTTGAATGCAAACATCACAAAGAAGATTCTGAGACTGCTTCTGTATAGTTTTTATGTGAAGATGATTCCGTTTCCAACGAAATCTTCAAAGAGGTCTACATGTCCCCTTGCAGATGCCACAGAAAGAGAGTTTCAAAACTGCGCTCTCAAAAGGAGTGTTCAACTCCGTGAGTTGAATGCAGTCATCACAGAGAAGCTTCTGAGAATGCTTCTATCTAGTATTTAGGTGAAGATATTTCCTTTTCCACCACAAACCACAAAGCCCTCCAAACGTCCACTTGCAGATTCTAGAAAAAGAGTGTTTCATAGCTGCTCTTTCCAAAGGAAAGTTCAACTCTGGGAGTTGAATACAAACATCACCAAAAGGTTCCTGAGAATGCATCTGTCTAGTTTTTCTATGAAGCTATTCCCTTTACTACCATAGGCCTCAAAGCGCTCCAAATCTCCACTTGCACATTCCACAACAAGAGTGTTTCCAAACTGCTCTATCAATAGGAATGTTCAACTCTGTGAGGTGAATGCAATCATCACAAAGCAGTTTCTGAGAATGCTTCCGTTTAGTTAGGTGCAGTTATCCCGTTTCCAACGAAATCCTCAGAGAGGTCCAAATATCCACTTGTAGATTCTACAAAAAGTGTGTCTCAAACCTGCTCCATCCAAAGGAATGGTCAGCTCTGTGATTTAAACTCAATCATCACAAAGTATTTTCTGAGAATGCTTCTGTCTAGATATTATGCGAAGATGTACCCGTTTTGAACGAAGGCCACAGAGTGGTCCAAATATCCACTTGCACATCCTACAAAAAGAGTGTTTCAAACCTGAACTATCAAAGGAAGGTTCAACTCTGGGATTTGAATGCAAACATCACCAAGAAGTTTCTGAGAATGCTTCTGTTTAGTTTTTATGTGAAGATATTCCCGTTTCCAAAGACATCTTTGGCGAGGTCCACATATCCACTTGCAGATTCCACAAAAACAGAGTTTCAACACTGCTCTATCCATAGGAGGGTTCAACTCTGTGAGATGAATGCAATCATCACAGAGAAGTTTCTGAGAAAGCTTCTCTCCAGTTTTTATGTGACCATAATTCGTTTTCCACCACAGGCCTGAAAGCGCTCCAAATGTCCACTTGCAGACACTTCGAAAAGCATGTTTCAGAACTACTCTATGAAAAGCAACGTGAAACTCTGGGAGTTGAACACAAACATCACAGAGAAGTTTCTGAGAATGCTTCTGTTTAGCTTTTCTGTGAAGATTCTCCCGTTTCCAACGAAATCTTCAAAGAGGTCGAAATATCCACTTGCAGATTCCACAGAAAGAGTGATTGGAAACTGCTGTTTGAAAAGGAACCTTCAACTCTGTGAGTTGAATGCAATCATCAGAAAGAAGTTTCTGACAATGCTTCTATCTAGCTTTTACGGGAAGATAATTCCTTTTCCACCACAGGCCTCAAAGCTCCCCAAATGTCCACTTGCACATTCTGGAAAAAGAGTGTTTCAAAGCTTCTCTCTCGAAAGGAAAGTTCAACTCTGTGAGTTGAATGCAAGCATCACAAAGAAGTTTCTGAGAATGCTACTGTCTAGCTTTTATATGAAGCTATTTCCTTTACTACCATAGGCCTCAAAGCGGTCCATATCTCCACTTGCAGATTCTACACAAAGAGAGTTTCCAAACTGCTCTGTCAAAGGGAATGTTCAACTCTGTGACTTGAATGCAATCATCACAAAGTAGTTTCTGAGAATGCTTCTGTTTAGTTCTGTGCGGTTTACCCCGTTTCCAACGAAACCCTCAGAGAGGCCTAAATATCCACTTGCACATTCTACAAATAGTGTGTTTCGAAACTGCTCCATCCAAAGGAATGTTCAGCTCTGTGAGTTAAACTCAGTCGTCACCAAGAGTTTTCTGTGAATGCTTCTGTTTTAGTTCTGTGCGGGTTATCCCGTTTCCAACGAAATCCTCAGAGAGGTCCAAATATCTACTTGCAGTTTCTACAGAAAGACCGTTTCAAACCTGAACTATCAAAGAAAGGTTCAACACTGTGAGTTGAATGCAAACATCACGAAGAAGGTTCTGAGAATGCTTCTGTTTAGTTCTGTGCAGTTTATCCCGTTTCCAACGAAATCCTCAGAGAGGACCAAATATCCACTTGCAGTTTCTACAAAAAGAGTGTTTCAAAGCTGAACTATCAAAGAAAGGTTCAGCACTGTGAGTTGAATGCAAACATCAGGAAGAGGGTTCTGAGAATGCTTCTGTCTTCTTTTTATAGGAAGTTATTTCCTTTACTACGGTAGGCCTCAAAGAAGTGCAATTATCCCCTTGCAGTTTCTACAAAAAGAGTGTTTCAAACCTGAACTATCAAAGAAAGGTTCCACACTGTGAGTTGAATGCAGACATCACGAAGAAGGTTACTGAGAATGCTTCTGTTTAGTCAGCTGAAATTATCCCGTTTCCAACGAATTCCTCACAGAGGTCCAAATATGCACTTGCAGATTCTGCAGAAAGTGTGTTTCTAAACTGCTACATCGCAAGGAATGCTCAGCTCTGTGAGTTCAACTCAATCATCCCAAAGAATTTTCTGAGAAAGCTTCTGTCTAGATGTCATGTGAAGATATACCCGTTTCGAACGAAGGACACAGAGTGGTCCAAATATCCACTTGTAGATCCTGCAAAAAGAGTGTTTCAAACGTGAACTTTGAAAGGAAAGTTCAACTCGGGGATTTGAATGCAAACATCACAAAGAAGATTCTGAGACTGCTTCTGTATAGTTTTTATGTGAAGATGATTCCGTTTCCAACGAAATCTTCAAAGAGGTCTACATGTCCCCTTGCAGATGCCACAGAAAGAGAGTTTCAAAACTGCGCTCTCAAAAGGAGTGTTCAACTCCGTGAGTTGAATGCAGTCATCACAGAGAAGCTTCTGAGAATGCTTCTATCTAGTATTTAGGTGAAGATATTTCCTTTTCCACCACAAACCACAAAGCCCTCCAAACGTCCACTTGCAGATTCTAGAAAAAGAGTGTTTCATAGCTGCTCTTTCCAAAGGAAAGTTCAACTCTGGGAGTTGAATACAAACATCACCAAAAAGTTCCTGAGAATGCATCTGTCTAGTTTTTCTATGAAGCTATTCCCTTTACTACCATAGGCCTCAAAGCGCTCCAAATCTCCACTTGCACATTCCACAACAAGAGTGTTTCCAAACTGCTCTATCAATAGGAATGGTCAACTCTGTGAGGTGAATGCAATCATCACAAAGCAGTTTCTGAGAATGCTTCCGTTTAGTTAGGTGCAGTTATCCCGTTTCCAACGAAATCCTCAGAGAGGTCCAAATATCCACTTGTAGATTCTACAAAAAGTGTGTCTCAAACCTGCTCCATCCAAAGGAATGGTCAGCTCTGTGATTTAAACTCAATCATCACAAAGTATTTTCTGAGAATGCTTCTGTCTAGATTTTATGCGAAGATATACCCGTTTCGAACGAAGGCCACAGAGTGGTCCAAATAGCCACTTGCAGATCCTACAGAAAGAGTGTTTCAAACCTGAACTATCAAAGGAAGGTTCAACTCTGGGATTTGAATGCAAACATCACCAAGAAGTTTCTGAGAATGCTTCTGTTTAGTTTTTATGTGAAGATATTCCCGTTTCCAAAGACATCTTCGGAGAGGTCCACATATCCACTTGCAGATTCCACAAAAAGAGAGTTTCAACACTGCTCTATCCATAGGAGGGTTCAACTCTGTGAGTTGAATGCAATCATCACAGAGAAGTTTCTGAGAAGGCTTCTCTCCAGTTTTTATGTGACCATAATTCGTTTTCCACCACAGGCCTGAAAGCGCTCCAAATGTCCACTTGCAGACACTACGAAAAGCATGTTTCAGAACTACTCTATGAAAAGCAACGTGAAACTCTGGGAGTTGAACACAAACATCACAGAGAAGTTTCTGAGAATGCTTCCGTTTAGCTTTTCTGTGAAGATTCTCCCGTTTCCAACGAAATCTTCAAAGAGGTCCAAATATCCACTTGTAGATTCCACAGAAAGAGTGTTTGGAAACTGCTGTTTGAAAAGGAACCTTCAACTCTGTGAGTTGAATGCAATCATCACAAAGAAGTTTCTGACAATGTTTCTATCTAGCTTTTACGGGAAGATAATTCCTTTTCCACCACAGGCCTCAAAGCCCTCCAAATGTCCACTTGCAGATTCTGGAAAAAGAGTGTTTCAAAGCTTCTCTCTCGAAAGGAAAGTTCAACTCTGTGAGTTGAATGCAAGCATCACAAAGAAGTTTCTGAGAATGCTACTGTCTAGCTTTTATATGAAGCTATTTCCTTTACTACCATAGTCCTCAAAGCATTCCATATCTCCACTTGCAGATGCTACACAAAGAGAGTTTCCAAACTGCTCTGTCAAAGGGAATGTTCTGCTCTGTGACTTGAATGCAATCATCACAAAGTAGTTTCTGAGAATGCTTCTGTTTAGTTCTGTGCGGTTTATCCCGTTTCCAACGAAATCCTCAGAGAGGCCCACATATACACTTGCACATTCTACAAATAGTGTGTTTCGAAACTGCTCCATCCAAAGGAATGCTCAGCTCTGTGAGTTCAAATCAATCATCCCAAACAATTTTCTGAGAAAGCTTCTGTTTTAGTTCTGTGCGGTTTATCCCGTTTCCAACGAAATCCTCAGAGAGGTCCAAATATCTACTTGCAGTTTCTACAGAAAGACCGTTTCAAACCTGAACTATCAAAGAAAGGTTCAACACTGTGAGTTGAATGCAAACATCACGAAGAAGGTTCTGAGAATGCTTCTGTTTTAGTTCTGTGCGGTTTATCCCGTTTCCAACGAAATCCTCAGGGAGGACAAAACATCCACTTGCAGTTTCTACAAAAAGAGTGTTTCAAAGCTGCACTATCAAAGAAAGGTTCAGCACTGTGAGTTGAATGCAAACATCACGAAGAGGGCTCTGAGAATGCTTCTGTTTAGTTCTGTGCGGTTTATCCCTTTTCCAACGAAATCCTCAGAGAGGACAAAATATCCACTTGCAGTTTCTACAAGAAGAGTGTTTCAAAGCTGAACTATCAAAGAAAGGTTCAGCACTGTGAGTTGAATGCAAACATCACGAAGAGGGTTCTGAGAATGCTTCTGTCTTCTTTCTATAGGAAGTTATTTCCTTTACTACGGTAGGCCTCAAAGAAGTGCAATTATCCCCTTGCAGTTTCTACAAAAAGAGTGTTTCAAACCTGAACTATCAAAGAAAGGTTCCACACTGTGAGTTGAATGCAGACATCACGAAGAAGGTTCTGAGAATGCTTCTGTTTAGTCAGCTGAAATTATCCCGTTTCCAACGAATTCCTCAGAGAGGTCCAAATATGCACTTGCAGATTCTGCAGAAAGTGTGTTTCTAAACTGCTACATCGCAAGGAATGTTCAGCTCTGTGAGTTCCACTCAATCATCCCAAAGAATTTTGCTGAGAAAGCTTCTGTCTAGATGTCCTGTGAAGATATACCCGTTTCGAACGAAGGACACAGAGTGGTCCAAATATCCACTTGTAGATCCTGCAAAAAGAGTGTTTCAAACGTGAACTTTGAAAGGAAAGTTCAACTCTGGGATTTGAATGCAAACATCACAAAGAAGATTCTGAGACTGCTTCTGTATAGTTTTTATGTGAAGATGATTCCGTTTCCAACGAAATCTTCAAAGAGGTCTACATGTCCCCTTGCAGATGCCACAGAAAGAGAGTTTCAAAACTGCGCTCTCAAAAGGAGTGTTCAACTCCGTGAGTTGAATGCAGTCATCACAGAGAAGCTTCTGAGAATGCTTCTATCTAGTATTTAGGTGAAGATATTTCCTTTTCCACCACAAACCACAAAGCCCTCCAAACGTCCACTTGCAGATTCTAGAAAAAGAGTGTTTCATAGCTGCTCTTTCCAAAGGAAAGTTCAACTCTGGGAGTTGAATACAAACATCACCAAAAAGTTCCTGAGAATGCATCTGTCTAGTTTTTCTATGAAGCTATTCCCTTTACTACCATAGGCCTCAAAGCGCTCCAAATCTCCACTTGCACATTCCACAACAAGAGTGTTTCCAAACTGCTCTATCAATAGGAATGTTCAACTCTGTGAGGTGAATGCAATCATCACAAAGCAGTTTCTGAGAATGCTTCCGTTTAGTTAGGTGCAGTTATCCCGTTTCCAACGAAATCCTCAGAGAGGTCCAAATATCCACTTGTAGATTCTACAAAAAGTGTGTCTCAAACCTGCTCCATCCAAAGGAATGGTCAGCTCTGTGATTTAAACTCAATCATCACAAAGTATTTTCTGAGAATGCTTCTGTCTAGATTTTATGCGAAGATATACCCGTTTCGAACGAAGGCCACAGAGTGGTCCAAATAGCCACTTGCAGATCCTACAGAAAGAGTGTTTCAAACCTGAACTATCAAAGGAAGGTTCAACTCTGGGATTTGAATGCAAACATCACCAAGAAGTTTCTGAGAATGCTTCTGTTTAGTTTTTATGTGAAGATATTCCCGTTTCCAAAGACATCTTCGGAGAGGTCCACATATCCACTTGCAGGTTCCACAAAAAGAGAGTTTCAACACTGCTCTATCCATAGGAGGGTTCAACTCTGTGAGTTGAATGCAATCATCACAGAGAAGTTTCTGAGAAGGCTTCTCTCCAGTTTTTATGTGACCATAAATCGTTTTCCACCACAGGCCTGAAAGCGCTCCAAATGTCCACTTGCAGACACTACGAAAAGCATGTTTCAGAACTACTCTATGAAAAGCAATGTGAAACTCTGGGAGTTGAACACAAACATCACAAAGAAGTTTCTCAGAATGCTTCTGTTTAGCTTTTCTGTGAAGATTCTCCCGTTTCCAACGAAATCTTCAAAGAGGTCCAAATATCCACTTGCAGATTCCACAGAAATAGTGTTTGGAAACTGCTGTTTGAAAAGGAACCTTCAACTCTGTGAGTTGAATGCAATCATCACGAAGATGTTTCTGACAATGCTTCTATCTAGCTTTTATGGGAAGATAATTCCTTTTCCACCACAGGCCTCAAAGCCCTCCAAATGTCCACTTGCAGATTCTGGAAAAAGAGTGTTTCAAAGCTTCTCTCTCGAAAGGAAAGTTCAACTCTGTGAGTTGAATGCAAGCATCACAAAGAAGTTTCTGAGAATGCTACTGTCTAGCTTTTATATGAAGCTATTTCCTTTACTACCATAGTCCTCAAAGCATTCCATATCTCCACTTGCAGATTCTACACAAAGAGAGTTTCCAAACTGCTCCGTCAAAGGGAATGTTCAGCTCTGTGACTTGAATGCAATCATCACAAAGTAGTTTCTGAGAATGCTTCTGTTTTAGTTCTGTGCGGTTTATCCCGTTTCCAACGAAATCCTCAGAGAGGCCCAAATATCCACCTGCAGATTCCAAAAAGAGTGTGTTTCGAAACTGCTCCAACCAAGGGAATGTTCAGCTCTGTGAGTTAAACTCAGTCGTCAACAGGAGTTTTCTGTGAATGCTTCTGTTTAGTTCTGTGCGGTTTATCCCTTTTCCAACGAAATCCTCAGAGAGGACCAAGTATCCACTTGCAGTTTCTACAAAAAGATTGTTTCAAAGCTGAACTATCAAAGAAAGGTTCAGCACTGTGAGTTGAATGCAAACATCACGAAGAGGGTTCTGAGAATGCTTCTGTCTTCTTTTTATAGGAAGTTATTTCCTTTACTACGGTAGGCCTCAAAGAAGTGCAATTATCCCCTTGCAGTTTCTACAAAAAGAGTGTTTCAAACCTGAACTATCAAAGAAAGGTTCCACACTGTGAGTTGAATGCAGACATCACGAAGAAGGTTCTGAGAATGCTTCTGTTTAGTCAGCTGAAATTATCCCGTTTCCAACGAATTCCTCAGAGAGGTCCAAATATGCACTTGCAGATTCTGCAGAAAGTGTGTTTCTAAACTGCTCCATCGCAAGGAATGTTCAGCTCTGTGAGTTCAACTCAATCATCCCAAAGAATTTTCTGAGAAAGCTTCTGTCTAGATGTCATGTGAAGATATACCCGTTTCGAACGAAGGACACAGAGTGGTCCAAATATCCACTTGTAGATCCTGCAAAAAGAGTGTTTCAAACGTGAACTTTGAAAGGAAAGTTCAACTCTGGGATTTGAATGCAAACATCACAAAGAAGATTCTGAGACTGCTTCTGTATAGTTTTTATGTGAAGATGATTCCGTTTCCAACGAAATCTTCAAAGAGGTCTACATGTCCCCTTGCAGATGCCACAGAAAGAGAGTTTCAAAACTGCGCTCTCAAAAGGAGTGTTCAACTCCGTGAGTTGAATGCAGTCATCACAGAGAAGCTTCTGAGAATGCTTCTATCTAGTATTTAGGTGAAGATATTTCCTTTTCCACCACAAACCACAAAGCCCTCCAAACGTCCACTTGCAGATTCTAGAAAAAGAGTGTTTCATAGCTGCTCTTTCCAAAGGAAAGTTCAACTCTGGGAGTTGAATACAAACATCACCAAAAAGTTCCTGAGAATGCATCTGTCTAGTTTTTCTATGAAGCTATTCCCTTTACTACCATAGGCCTCAAAGCGCTCCAAATCTCCACTTGCACATTCCACAACAAGAGTGTTTCCAAACTGCTCTATCAATAGGAATGTTCAACTCTGTGAGGTGAATGCAATCATCACAAAGCAGTTTCTGAGAATGCTTCCGTTTAGTTAGGTGCAGTTATCGCGTTTCCAACGAAATCCTCAGAGAGGTCCAAATATCCACTTGTAGATTCTACAAATGTGTGTCTCAAACCTGCTCCATCCAAAGGAATGTTCAGCTCTGTGAGTTAAACTCAATCATCACAAAGTATTTTCTGAGAATGCTTCTGTCTGGATTTTATGCGAAGATATACCCGTTTCGAACGAAGGCCACAGAGTGGTCCAAATATCCACTTGCAGATCCTACAAAAAGAGTGTTTCAAACCTGAACTATCAAAGGAAGGTTCAACTCTGGGATTTGAATGCAAACATCACCAAGAAGTTTCTGAGAATGCTTCTGTTTAGTTTTTATGTGAAGATATTCCCGTTTCCAAAGACATCTTCGGAGAGGTCCACATATCCACTTGCAGATTCCACAAAAAGAGAGTTTCAACACTGCTCTATCCATAGGAGGGTTCAACTCTGTGAGTTGAATGCAATCATCACAGAGAAGTTTCTGAGAAGGCTTCTCTCCAGGTTTTATGGGACCATAAATCGTTTTCCACCACAGGCCTGAAAGCGCTCCAAATGTCCACTTGCAGACACTACGAAAAGCATGTTTCAGAACTACTCTATGAAAGGCAATCTGAAATTCTGGGAGTTGAACACAAACATCACAGAGAAGTTTCTGAGAATGCTTCTGTTTAGCTTTTCTGTGAAGATTCTCCCGTTTCCAACGAAATCTTCAAAGAGGTCCAAATATCCACTTGCAGATTCCACAGAAAGAGTGATTGGAAACTGCTCTTTGAAAAGGAACCTTCAACTCTGTGAGTTGAATGCAATCATCACAAAGAAGTTTCTGACAATGCTTCTATCTAGCTTTTACGGGAAGATAATTCCTTTTCCACCACAGGCCTCAAAGCCCTCCAAATGTCCACTTGCAGATTCTGGAAAAAGAGTGTTTCAAAGCTTCTCTCTCGAAAGGAAAGTTCAACTCTGTAAGTTGAATGCAAGCATCACAAAGAAGTTTCTGAGAATGCTACTGTCTAGCTTTTATATGAAGCTATTTCCTTTACTACCATAGGCCTCAAAGCGGTCCATATCTCCACTTGCAGATTCTACACAAAGATAGTTTCCAAGCTGCTCTGTCAAAGGGAATCTTCAACTCTGTGACTTGAATGCAATCATCACAAAGTAGTTTCTGAGAATGCTTCTGTTTTAGTTCTGTGCGTTTTATCCCGTTTCCAACGAAATCCTCAGAGAGGCCCAAATATCCACTTGCAGATTCTACAAATAGTGTGTTTCGAAACTGCTCCATCCAAAGGAATGTTCAGCTCTGTGAGTTAAACTCAGTCGTCACCAAGAGTTTTCTGTGAATGCTTCTGTTTTAGTTCTGTGCGGTTTATCCCGTTTCCAACGAAATCCTCAGAGAGGACCAAATATCCACTTGCAGTTTCTACAAAAAGAGTGTTTCAAAGCTGCACTATCAAAGAAAGGTTCAGCACTGTGAGTTGAATGCAAACATCACGAAGAGGGCTCTGAGAATTCTTCTGTTTAGTTCTGTGCGGTTTATCCCGTTTCCAACGAAATCCTCAGAGAGGACCAAATATCCACTTGCAGTTTCTACAAGAAGAGTGTTTCAAAGCTGAACTATCAAAGAAAGGTTCAGCACTGTGAGTTGAATGCAAACATCACGAAGAGGGTTCTGAGAATGCTTCTGTCTTCTTTCTATAGGAAGTTATTTCCTTTACTACGGTAGGCCTCAAAGAAGTGCAATTATCCCCTTGCAGTTTCTACAAAAAGAGTGTTTCAAACCTGAACTATCAAAGAAAGGTTCCACACTGTGAGTTGAATGCAGACATCACGAAGAAGGTTCTGAGAATGCTTCTGTTTAGTCAGCTGAAATTATCCCGTTTCCAACGAATTCCTCAGAGAGGTCCAAATATGCACTTGCAGATTCTGCAGAAAGTGTGTTTCTAAACTGCTCCATCGCAAGGAATGTTCAGCTCTGTGAGTTCCACTCAATCATCCCAAAGAATTTTCTGAGAAAGCTTCTGTCTAGATGTCGTGTGAAGATATACCCGTTTCGAACGAAGGACACAGAGTGGTCCAAATATCCACTTGTAGATCCTGCAAAAAGAGTGTTTCAAACGTGAACTTTGAAAGGAAAGTTCAACTCTGGGATTTGAATGCAAACATCACAAAGAAGATTCTGAGACTGCTTCTGTATAGTTTTTATGTGAAGATGATTCCGTTTCCAACGAAATCTTCAAAGAGGTCTACATGTCCCCTTGCAGATGCCACAGAAAGAGAGTTTCAAAACTGCGCTCTCAAAAGGAGTGTTCAACTCCGTGAGTTGAATGCAGTCATCACAGAGAAGCTTCTGAGAATGCTTCTATCTAGTATTTAGGTGAAGATATTTCCTTTTCCCCACAAACCACAAAGCCCTCCAAACGTCCACTTGCAGATTCTAGAAAAAGAGTGTTTCATAGCTGCTCTTTCCAAAGGAAAGTTCAACTCTGGGAGTTGAATACAAACATCACCAAAAAGTTCCTGAGAATGCATCTGTCTAGTTTTTCTATGAAGCTATTCCCTTTACTACCACAGGCCTCAAAGCGCTCCAAATCTCCACTTGCACATTCCACAACAAGAGTGTTTCCAAACTGCTCTATCAATAGGAATGTTCAACTCTGTGAGGTGAATGCAATCATCACAAAGCAGTTTCTGAGAATGCTTCCGTTTAGTTAGGGGCAGTTATCGCGTTTCCAACGAAATCCTCAGAGAGGTCCAAATATCCACTTGTAGATTCTACAAATGTGTGTCTCAAACCTGCTCCATCCAAAGGAATGTTCAGCTCTGTGAGTTAAACTCAATCATCACAAAGTATTTTCTGAGAATGCTTCTGTCTGGATTTTATGCGAAGATATACCCGTTTCGAACGAAGGCCACAGAGTGGTCCAAATATCCACTTGCAGATCCTACAAAAAGAGTGTTTCAAACCTGAACTATCAAAGGAAGGTTCAACTCTGGGATTTGAATGCAAACATCACCAAGAAGTTTCTGAGAATGCTTCTGTTTAGTTTTTATGTGAAGATATTCCCGTTTCCAAAGACATCTTCGGAGAGGTCCACATATCCACTTGCAGATTCCACAAAAAGAGAGTTTCAACACTGCTCTATCCATAGGAGGGTTCAACTCTGTGAGTTGAATGCAATCATCACAGAGAAGTTTCTGAGAAGGCTTCTCTCCAGTTTTTATGTGACCATAATTCGTTTTCCACCACAGGCCTGAAAGCGCTCCAAATGTCCACTTGTAGACACTACGAAAAGCATGTTTCAGAACTACTCTATGAAAAGCAATGTGAAACTCTGGGAGTTGAACACAAACATCACAGAGAAGTTTCTGAGAATGCTTCTGTTTAGCTTTTCTGTGAAGATTCTCCCGTTTCCAACGAAATCTTCAAAGAGGTCCAAACATCCACTTGCAGATTCCACAGAAAGAGTGTTTGGAAACTGCTGTTTGAAAAGGAACCTTCAACTCTGTGAGTTGAATGCAATCATCACAAAGAAGTTTCTGACAATGCTTCTATCTAGCTTTTACGGGAAGATAATTCCTTTTCCACCACAGGCCTCAAAGCCCTCCAAATGTCCACTTGCAGATTCTGGAAAAAGAGTGTTTCAAAGCTTCTCTCTCGAAAGGAAAGTTCAACATCTGTGAGTTGAATGCAAGCATCACAAAGAAGTTTCTGAGAATGCTACTGTCTAGCTTTTATATGAAGCTATTTCCTTTACTACCATAGTCCTCAAAGCATTCCATATCTCCACTTGCAGATTCTACACAAAGAGAGTTTCCAAACTGCTCTGTCAAAGGGAATGTTCAGCTCTGTGACTTGAATGCAATCATCACAAAGTAGTTTCTGAGAATGCTTCTGTTTTAGTTCTGTGCGGTTTATCCCGTTTCCAACGAAATCTTCAGAGAGGCCCACATATCCACTTGCAGATTCTACAAATAGTGTGTTTCGAAACTGCTCCATCCAAAGGAATGTTCAGCTCTGTGAGTTAAACTCAGTCGTCACCAAGAGTTTTCTGTGAATGCTTCTGTTTAGTTCTGTGCGGTTTATCCCGTTTCCAACGAAATCCTCAGAGAGGACAAAATATCCAGTTGCAGTTTCTACAAAAAGAGTGTTTCAAAGCTGAACTATCAAAGAAAGGTTCAGCACTGTGTGTTGAATGCAAACATCACGAAGAGGGTTCTGAGAATGCTTCTGTCTTCTTTTTATAGGAAGTTATTTCCTTTACTACGGTAGGCCTCAAAGAAGTGCAATTATCCCCTTGCAGTTTCCACAAAAAGAGTGTTTCAAACCTGAACTATCAAAGAAAGGTTCCACACTGTGAGTTGAATGCAGACATCACGAAGAAGGTTCTGAGAATGCTTCTGTTTAGTCAGCTGAAATTATCCCGTTTCCAACGAATTCCTCAGAGAGGTCCAAATATGCACTTGCAGATTCTGCAGAAAGTGTGTTTCTAAACTGCTCCATCGCAAGGAATGTTCAGCTCTGTGAGTTCAACTCAATCATCCCAAAGAATTTTCTGAGAAAGCTTCTGTCTAGATGTCATGTGAAGATATACCCGTTACGAACGAAGGACACAGAGTGGTCCAAATATCCACTTGTAGATCCAGCAAAAAGAGTGTTTCAAACCTGAACTTTGAAAGGAAAGTTCAACTCTGGGATTTGAATGCAAACATCACAAAGAAGATTCTGAGACTGCTTCTGTATAGTTTTGATGTGAGGATGATTCCGTTTCCAACGAAATCTTCAAAGAGGTCTACATGTCCCCTTGCAGATGCCACAGAAAGAGAGTTTCAAAACTGCGCTCTCAAAAGGAGTGTTCAACTCCGTGAGTTGAATGCAGTCATCACAGAGAAGCTTCTGAGAATGCTTCTATGTAGTATTTAGGTGAAGATATTTCCTTTTCCACCACAAACCACAAAGCCCTCCAAACGTCCACTTGCAGATTCTAGAAAAAGAGTGTTTCATAGCTGCTCTTTCCAAAGGAAAGTTCAACTCTGGGAGTTGAATACAAACATCACCAAAAAGTTCCTGAGAATGCATCTGTCTACTTTTTCTATGAAGCTATTCCCTTTACTACCATAGGCCTCAAAGCGCTCCAAATCTCCACTTGCACATTCCACAACAAGAGTGTTTCCAAACTGCTCTATCAATAGGAATGTTCAACTCTGTGAGGTGAATGCAATCATGAAAAAGCAGTTTCTGAGAATGCTTCCGTTTAGTTAGGTGCAGTTATCCCGTTTCCAACGAAATCCTCAGAGAGGTCCAAATATCCACTTGTAGATTCTACAAAAAGTGTGTCTCAAACCTGCTCCATCCAAAGGAATGTTCAGCTCTGTGAGTTCAACTCAATCATCACAAAGTATTTTCTGAGAATGCTTCTGTCTAGATATTATGCGAAGATGTACCCGTTTCGAACGAAGGCCACAGAGTGGTCCAAATATCCACTTGCAGATCCTACAAAAAGAGTGTTTCAAACCTGAACTATCAAAGGAAGGTTCAACTCTGGGATTTGAATGCAAACATCACCAAGAAGTTTCTGAGAATGCTTCTGTTTAGTTTTTATGTGAAGATATTCCCGTTTCCAAAGACATCTTCGGAGAGGTCCACATATCCACTTGCATATTCCACAAAAAGAGAGTTTCAACACTGCTCTATCCATAGGAGGGTTCAACTCTGTGAGTTGAATGCAATCATCACAGAGAAGTTTCTGAGAAGGCTTCTCTCCAGTTTTTATGTGACCATAATTCGTTTTCCACCACAGGCCTGAAAGCGCTCCAAATGTCCACTTGCAGACACTACGAAAAGCATGTTTCAGAACTACTCTATGAAAAGCAATGTGAAACTCTGGGAGTTGAACACAAACATCACAGAGAAGTTTCTGAGAATGCTTCTGTTTAGCTTTTCTGTGAAGATTCTCCCGTTTCCAATGAAATCTTCAAAGAGGTCCAAATATCCACTTGCAGATTCCACAGAAAGAGTGATTGGAACCTGCTGTTTGTAAAGGAACCTTCAACTCTGTGAGTTGAATGCAATCATCACAAAGAAGTTTCTGACAATGCTTCTATCTAGCTTTTACGGGAAGATAATTCCTTTTCCACCACAGGCCTCAAATCCCTCCAAATGTCCACTTGCAGATTCTGGAAAAAGAGTGTTTCAAAGCTTCTCTCTCGAAAGGAAAGTTCAACTCTGTGAGTTGAATGCAAGCATCACAAAGAAGTTTCTGAGAATGCTACTGTCTAGCTTTTATATGAAGCTATTTCCTTTACTACCATAGGCCTCAAAGCGGTCCATATCTCCACTTGCAGATTCTACACAAAGAGAGTTTCCAAACTGCTCTGTCAAAGGGAATGTTCAACTCTGTGACTTGAATGCAATCATCACAAAGTAGTTTCTGAGAATGCTTCTGTTTAGTTCTGTGCGGTTTATCCCGTTTCCAACGAAATCCTCAGAGAGGCCTAAATATCCACTTGCACATTCTACAAATAGTGTGTTTCGAAACTGCTCCATCCAAAGGGAATGTTCAGCTCTGTGAGTTAAACTCAGTCGTCACCAAGAGTTTTCTGTGAATGCTTCTGTTTTAGTTCTGTGCGGGTTATCCCGTTTCCAACGAAATCCTCAGAGAGGTCCAAATATCTACTTGCAGTTTCTACAGAAAGACCGTTTCAAACCTGAACTATCAAAGAAAGGTTCAACACTGTGAGTTGAATGCAAACATCACGAAGAAGGTTCTGAGAATGCTTCTGTTTAGTTCTGTGCAGTTTATCCCGTTTCCAACGAAATGCTCAGAGAGGACCAAATATCCACTTGCAGTTTCTACAAAAAGAGTGTTTCAAAGCTGAACTATCAAAGAAAGGTTCAGCACTGTGAGTTGAATGCAAACATCACGAAGAGGGTTCTGAGAATGCTTCTGTCTTCTTTTTATAGGAAGTTATTTCCTTTACTACGGTACTCCTCAAAGAGTGCAATTATCCCCTTGCAGTTTCTACAAAAAGAGTGTTTCAAACCTGAACTATCAAAGAAAGGTTCCACACTGTGAGTTGAATGCAGACATCACGAAGAAGGTTCTGAGAATGCTTCTGTTTAGTCAGCTGAAATTATCCCGTTTCCAACGAATTCCTCACAGAGGTCCAAATATGCACTTGCAGATTCTGCAGAAAGTGTGTTTCTAAACTGCTACATCGCAAGGAATGCTCAGCTCTGTGAGTTCAACTCAATCATCCCAAAGAATTTTCTGAGAAAGCTTCTGTCTAGATGTCATGTGAAGATATACCCGTTTCGAACGAAGGACACAGAGTGGTCCAAATATCCACTTGTAGATCCTGCAAAAAGAGTGTTTCAAACGTGAACTTTGAAAGGAAAGTTCAACTCGGGGATTTGAATGCAAACATCACAAAGAAGATTCTGAGACTGCTTCTGTATAGTTTTTATGTGAAGATGATTCCGTTTCCAACGAAATCTTCAAAGAGGTCTACATGTCCCCTTGCAGATGCCACAGAAAGAGAGTTTCAAAACTGCGCTCTCAAAAGGAGTGTTCAACTCCGTGAGTTGAATGCAGTCATCACAGAGAAGCTTCTGAGGATGCTTCTATCTAGTATTTAGGTGAAGATATTTCCTTTTCCACCACAAACCACAAAGCCCTCCAAACGTCCACTTGCAGATTCTAGAAAAACAGTGTTTCATAGCTGCTCTTTCCAAAGGAAAGTTCAACTCTGGGAGTTGAATACAAACATCACCAAAAAGTTCCTGAGAATGCATCTGTCTAGTTTTTCTATGAAGCTATTCCCTTTACTACCATAGACCTCAAAGCGCTCCAAATCTCCACTTGCACATTCCACAACAAGAGTGTTTCCAAACTGCTCTATCAATAGGAATGTTCAACTCTGTGAGGTGAATGCAATCATCACAAAGCAGTTTCTGAGAATGCTTCCGTTTAGTTAGGTGCAGTTATCCCGTTTCCAACGAAATCCTCAGAGAGGTCCAAATATCCACTTGTAGATTCTACAAAAAGTGTGTCTCAAACCTGCTCCATCCAAAGGAATGTTCAGCTCTGTGATTTTAACTCAATCATCACAAAGTATTTTCTGAGAATGCTTCTGTCTAGATTTTATGCGAAGATATACCCGTTTCGAACGAAGGCCACAGAGTGGTCCAAATAGCCACTTGCAGATCCTACAGAAAGAGTGTTTCAAACCTGAACTATCAAAGGAAGGTTCAACTCTGGGATTTGAATGCAAACATCACCAAGAAGTTTCTGAGAATGCTTCTGTTTAGTTTTTATGTGAAGATATTCCCGTTTCCAAAGACATCTTCGGAGAGGTCCACATATCCACTTGCAGGTTCCACAAAAAGAGAGTTTCAACACTGCTCTATCCATAGGAGGGTTCAACTCTGTGAGTTGAATGCAATCATCACAGAGAAGTTTCTGAGAAGGCTTCTCTCCAGTTTTTATGTGACCATAATTCGTTTTCCACCACAGGCCTGAAAGCGCTCCAAATGTCCACTTGCAGACACTACGAAAAGCATGTTTCAGAACTACTCTATGAAAAGCAACGTGAAACTCTGGGAGTTGAACACAAACATCACAGAGAAGTTTCTGAGAATGCTTCTGTTTTAGTTCTGTGCGTTTTATCCCGTTTCCAACGAAATCCTCAGAGAGGCCCAAATATCCACTTGCAGATTCCACAGAAAGAGTGATTGGAAACTGCTGTTTGAAAAGGAACCTTCAACTCTGTGAGTTGAATGCAATCATCACAAAGAAGTTTCTGACAATGCTTCTGTTTTAGTTCTGTGCGGTTTATCCCGTTTCCAACGAAATCCTCAGAGAGGACCAAACATCCACTTGCAGTTTCTACAAAAAGAGTGTTTCAAAGCTGCACTATCAAAGAAAGGTTCAGCACTGTGAGTTGAATGCAAACATCACGAAGAGGGCTCTGAGAATTCTTCTGTTTAGTTCTGTGCGGTTTATCCCGTTTCCAACGAAATCCTCAGAGAGGACCAAATATCCACTTGCAGTTTCTACAAGAAGAGTGTTTCAAAGCTGAACTATCAAAGAAAGGTTCAGCACTGTGAGTTGAATGCAAACATCACGAAGAGGGTTCTGAGAATGCTTCTGTCTTCTTTCTATAGGAAGTTATTTCCTTTACTACGGTAGGCCTCAAAGAAGTGCAATTATCCCCTTGCAGTTTCTACAAAAAGAGTGTTTCAAACCTGAACTATCAAAGAAAGGTTCCACACTGTGAGTTGAATGCAGACATCACGAAGAAGGTTCTGAGAATGCTTCTGTTTAGTCAGCTGAAATTATCCCGTTTCCAACGAATTCCTCAGAGAGGTCCAAATATGCACTTGCAGATTCTGCAGAAAGTGTGTTTCTAAACTGCTCCATCGCAAGGAATGTTCAGCTCTGTGAGTTCCACTCAATCATCCCAAAGAATTTTCTGAGAAAGCTTCTGTCTAGATGTCGTGTGAAGATATACCCGTTTCGAACGAAGGACACAGAGTGGTCCAAATATCCACTTGTAGATCCTGCAAAAAGAGTGTTTCAAACGTGAACTTTGAAAGGAAAGTTCAACTCTGGGATTTGAATGCAAACATCACAAAGAAGATTCTGAGACTGCTTCTGTATAGTTTTTATGTGAAGATGATTCCGTTTCCAACGAAATCTTCAAAGAGGTCTACATGTCCCCTTGCAGATGCCACAGAAAGAGAGTTTCAAAACTGCGCTCTCAAAAGGAGTGTTCAACTCCGTGAGTTGAATGCAGTCATCACAGAGAAGCTTCTGAGAATGCTTCTATCTAGTATTTAGGTGAAGATATTTCCTTTTCCACCACAAACCACAAAGCCCTCCAAACGTCCACTTGCAGATTCTAGAAAAAGAGTGTTTCATAGCTGCTCTTTCCAAAGGAAAGTTCAACTCTGGGAGTTGAATACAAACATCACCAAAAAGTTCCTGAGAATGCATCTGTCTAGTTTTTCTATGAAGCTATTCCCTTTACTACCATAGGCCTCAAAGCGCTCCAAATCTCCACTTGCACATTCCACAACAAGAGTGTTTAAAAACTGCTCTATCAATAGGAATGTTCAACTCTGTGAGGTGAATGCAATCATCACAAAGCAGTTTCTGAGAATGCTTCCGTTTAGTTAGGTGCAGTTATCCCGTTTCCAACGAAATCCTCAGAGAGGTCCAAATATCCACTTGTAGATTCTACAAAAAGTGTGTCTCAAACCTGCTCCATCCAAAGGAATGTTCAGCTCTGTGAGTTAAACTCAATCATCACAAAGTATTTTCTGAGAATGCTTCTCTCCAGTTTTTATGTGACCATAATTCGTTTTCCACCACAGGCCTGAAAGCGCTCCAAATGTCCACTTGCAGACACTACGAAGTTTCAAACCTGAACTATCAAAGGAAGGTTCAACTCTGGGATTTGAATGCAAACATCACCAAGAAGTTTCTGAGAATGCTTCTGTTTAGCTTTTCTGTGAAGATTCTCCCGTTTCCAACGAAATCTTCAAAGAGGTTGAAATATCCACTTGCAGATTCCACAGAAAGAGTGATTGGAAACTGCTGTTTGAAAAGGAACCTTCAACTCTGTGAGTTGAATGCAATCATCTCAAAGAAGTTTCTGACAATGCTTCTATCTAGCTTTTACGGGAAGACAATTCCTTTTCCACCACAGGCCTCAAAGCTCCCCAAATGTCCACTTGCACATTCTGGAAAAAGAGTGTTTCAAAGCTTCTCTCTCGAAAGGAAAGTTCAACTCTGTGAGTTGAATGCAAGCATCACAAAGAAGTTTCTGAGAATGCTACTGTCTAGCTTTTATATGAAGGTATTTCCTTTACTACCATAGGCCTCAAAGCGGTCCATATCTCCACTTGCAGATTCTACACAAAGAGAGTTTCCAAACTGCTCTGTCAAAGGGAATGTTCAACTCTGTGACTTGAATGCAATCATCACAAAGTAGTTTCTGAGAATGCTTCTGTTTTAGTTCTGTGCGTTTTATCCCGTTTCCAACGAAATCCTCAGAGAGGCCCAAATATCCACTTGCAGATTCTACAAATAGTGTGTTTCGAAACTGCTCCATCCAAAGGAATGTTCAGCTCTGTGAGTTAAACTCAGTCGTCACCAAGAGTTTTCTGTGAATGCTTCTGTTTTAGTTCTGTGCGGTTTATCCCGTTTCCAACGAAATCCTCAGAGAGGACCAAATATCCACTTGCAGTTTCTACAAAAAGAGTGTTTCAAAGCTGCACTATCAAAGAAAGGTTCAGCACTGTGAGTTGAATGCAAACACCACGAAGAGGGCTCTGAGAATTCTTCTGTTTAGTTCTGTGCGGTTTATCCCGTTTCCAACGAAATCCTCAGAGAGGACCAAATATCCACTTGCAGTTTCTACAAGAAGAGTGTTTCAAAGCTGAACTATCAAAGAAAGGTTCAGCACTGTGAGTTGAATGCAAACATCACGAAGAGGGTTCTGAGAATGCTTCTGTCTTCTTTTTATAAGAAGTTATTTCCTTTACTACGGTAGGCCTCAAAGAAGTGCTATTATCCCCTTGCAGTTTCCACAAAAAGAGTGTTTCAAACCTGAACTATCAAAGAAAGGTTCCACACTGTGAGTTGAATGCAGACATCACGAAGAAGGTTCTGAGAATGCTTCTGTTTAGTCAGCTGAAATTATCCCGTTTCCAACGAATTCCTCAGAGACGTCCAAATATGCACTTGCAGATTCTGCAGAAAGTGTGTTTCTAAACTGCTCCATCGCAAGGAATGTTCAGCTCTGTGAGTTCAACTCAATCATCCCAAAGAATTTTCTGAGAAAGCTTCTGTCTAGATGTCATGTGAAGATATACCCGTTTCGAACGAAGGACACAGAGTGGTCCAAATATCCACTTGTAGATCCTGCAAAAAGAGTGTTTCAAACGTGAACTTTGAAAGGGAAGTTCAACTCTGGGATTTGAATGCAAACATCACAAAGAAGATTCTGAGACTGCTTCTGTGTAGTTTTTATGTGAAGATGATTCCGTTTCCAACGAAATCTTCAAAGACGTCTACATGTCCCCTTGCAGATGCCACAGAAAGAGAGTTTCAAAACTGCGCTCTCAAAAGGAGTGTTCAACTCCGTGAGTTGAATGCAGTCATCACAGAGAAGCTTCTGAGGATGCTTCTATCTAGTATTTAGGTGAAGATATTTCCTTTTCCACCACAAACCACAAAGCCCTCCAAACGTCCACTTGCAGATTCTAGAAAAAGAGTGTTTCATAGCTGCTCTTTCCAAAGGAAAGTTCAACTCTGGGAGTTGAATACAAACATCACCAAAAAGTTCCTGAGAATGCATCTGTCTAGTTTTTCTATGAAGCTATTCCCTTTACTACCATAGGCCTCAAAGCGCTCCAAATCTCCACTTGCACATTCCACAACAAGAGTGTTTCCAAACTGCTCTATCAATAGGAATGTTCAACTCTGTGAGGTGAATGCAATCATCACAAAGCAGTTTCTGAGAATGCTTCCGTTTAGTTAGGTGCAGTTATCCCGTTTCCAACGAAATCCTCAGAGAGGTCCAAATATCCACTTGTAGATTCTACAAAAAGTGTGTCTCAAACCTGCTCCATCCAAAGGAATGGTCAGCTCTGTGATTTAAACTCAATCATCACAAAGTATTTTCTGAGAATGCTTCTGTCTAGATTTTATGCGAAGATATACCCGTTTCGAACGAAGGCCACAGAGTGGTCCAAATAGCCACTTGCAGATCCTACAGAAAGAGTGTTTCAAACCTGAACTATCAAAGGAAGGTTCAACTCTGGGATTTGAATGCAAACATCACCAAGAAGTTTCTGAGAATGCTTCTGTTTAGTTTTTATGTGAAGATATTCCCGTTTCCAAAGACATCTTCGGAGAGGTCCACATATCCACTTGCAGATTCCACAAAAAGAGAGTTTCAACACTGCTCTATCCATAGGAGGGTTCAACTCTGTGAGTTGAATGCAATCATCACAGAGAAGTTTCTGAGAAGGCTTCTCTCCAGTTTTTATGTGACCATAATTCGTTTTCCACCACAGGCCTGAAAGCGCTCCAAATGTCCACTTGCAGACACTACGAAAAGCATGTTTCAGAACTACTCTATGAAAAGCAACGTGAAACTCTGGGAGTTGAACACAAACATCACAGAGAAGTTTCTGAGAATGCTTCTGTTTTAGTTCTGTGCGTTTTATCCCGTTTCCAACGAAATCCTCAGAGAGGCCCAAATATCCACTTGCAGATTCCACAGAAAGAGTGATTGGAAACTGCTGTTTGAAAAGGAACCTTCAACTCTGTGAGTTGAATGCAATCATCACAAAGAAGTTTCTGACAATGCTTCTGTTTTAGTTCTGTGCGGTTTATCCCGTTTCCAACGAAATCCTCAGAGAGGACCAAACATCCACTTGCAGTTTCTACAAAAAGAGTGTTTCAAAGCTGCACTATCAAAGAAAGGTTCAGCACTGTGAGTTGAATGCAAACATCACGAAGAGGGCTCTGAGAATTCTTCTGTTTAGTTCTGTGCGGTTTATCCCGTTTCCAACGAAATCCTCAGAGAGGACCAAATATCCACTTGCAGTTTCTACAAGAAGAGTGTTTCAAAGCTGAACTATCAAAGAAAGGTTCAGCACTGTGAGTTGAATGCAAACATCACGAAGAGGGTTCTGAGAATGCTTCTGTCTTCTTTCTATAGGAAGTTATTTCCTTTACTACGGTAGGCCTCAAAGAAGTGCAATTATCCCCTTGCAGTTTCTACAAAAAGAGTGTTTCAAACCTGAACTATCAAAGAAAGGTTCCACACTGTGAGTTGAATGCAGACATCACGAAGAAGGTTCTGAGAATGCTTCTGTTTAGTCAGCTGAAATTATCCCGTTTCCAACGAATTCCTCAGAGAGGTCCAAATATGCACTTGCAGATTCTGCAGAAAGTGTGTTTCTAAACTGCTACATCGCAAGGAATGTTCAGCTCTGTGAGTTCCACTCAATCATCCCAAAGAATTTTCTGAGAAAGCTTCTGTCTAGATGTCATGTGAAGATATACCCGTTTCGAACGAAGGACACAGAGTGGTCCAAATATCCACTTGTAGATCCTGCAAAAAGAGTGTTTCAAACGTGAACTTTGAAAGGAAAGTTCAACTCGGGGATTTGAATGCAAACATCACAAAGAAGATTCTGAGACTGCTTCTGTATAGTTTTTATGTGAAGATGATTCCGTTTCCAACGAAATCTTCAAAGAGGTCTACATGTCCCCTTGCAGATGCCACAGAAAGAGAGTTTCAAAACTGCGCTCTCAAAAGGAGTGTTCAACTCCGTGAGTTGAATGCAGTCATCACAGAGAAGCTTCTGAGGATGCTTCTATCTAGTATTTAGGTGAAGATATTTCCTTTTCCACCACAAACCACAAAGCCCTCCAAACGTCCACTTGCAGATTCTAGAAAAAGAGTGTTTCATAGCTGCTCTTTCCAAAGGGAAAGTTCAACTCTGGGAGTTGAATACAAACATCACCAAAAAGTTCCTGAGAATGCATCTGTCTAGTTTTTCTATGAAGCTATTCCCTTTACTACCATAGGCCTCAAAGCACTCCAAATCTCCACTTGCACATTCCACAACAAGAGTGTTTCCAAACTGCTCTATCAATAGGAATGTTCAACTCTGTGAGGTGAATGCAATCATCACAAAGCAGTTTCTGGGAATGCTTCCGTTTAGTTAGGTGCAGTTATCCCGTTTCCAACGAAATCCTCAGAGAGGTCCAAATATCCTCTTGTAGATTCTACAAAAAGTGTGTCTCAAACCTGCTCCATCCAAAGGAATGTTCAGCTCTGTGAGTTCAACTCAATCATCACAAAGTATTTTCTGAGAATGCTTCTGTCTAGATTTTATGCGAAGATATACCCGTTTCGAACGAAGGCCACAGAGTGGTCCAAATATCCACTTGCAGATCCTACAAAAAGAGTGTTTCAAACCTGAACTATCAAAGGAAGGTTCAACTCTGGGATTTGAATGCAAACATCACCAAGAAGTTTCTGAGAATGCTTCTGTTTAGTTTTTATGTGAAGATATTCCCGTTTCCAAAGACATCTTCGGAGAGGTCCACATATCCACTTGCAGATTCCACAAAAAGAGAGTTTCAACACTGCTCTATCCATAGGAGGGTTCAACTCTGTGAGTTGAATGCAATCATCACAGAGAAGTTTCTGAGAAGGCTTCTCTCCAGTTTTTATGTGACCATAATTCGTTTTCCACCACAGGCCTGAAAGCGCTCCAAATGTCCACTTGTAGACACTACGAAAAGCATGTTTCAGAACTACTCTATGAAAAGCAATGTGAAACTCTGGGAGTTGAACACAAACATCACAGAGAAGTTTCTGAGAATGCTTCTGTTTAGCTTTCCTGTGAAGATTCTCCCGTTTCCAACGAAATCTTCAAAATAGGTCCAAATATCCACTTGCAGATTCCACAGAAAGAGTGATTGGAAACTGCTCTTTGAAAAGGAACCTTCAACTCTGTGAGTTGAATGCAATCATCACAAAGAAGTTTCTGACAATGCTTCTATCTAGCTTTTACGGGAAGATAATTCCTTTTCCACCACAGGCCTCAAAGCCCTCCAAATGTCCACTTGCAGATTCTGGAAAAAGAGTGTTTCAAAGCTTCTCTCTCGAAAGGAAAGTTCAACTCTGTGAGTTGAATGCAAGCATCACAAAGAAGTTTCTGAGAATGCTACTGTCTAGCTTTTATATGAAGCTATTTCCTTTACTACCATAGGCTTCAAAGCGGTCCATATCTCCACTTGCAGATTCTACACAAAGAGAGTTTCCAAACTGCTCTGTCAAAGGGAATGTTCAACTCTGTGACTTGAATGCAATCATCACAAAGTAGTTTCTGAGAATGCTTCTGTTTAGTTCTGGGCAGTTTATCCCGTTTCCAACAAAATCCTCAGAGAGGCCCAAATATCCACTTGCACATTCTACAAATAGTGTGTTTCGAAACTGCTCCATCCAAAGGAATGTTCAGCTCTGTGGGTTAAACTCAGTCGTCACCAAGAGTTTTCTGTGAATGCTTCTGTTTTAGTTCTGTGCGGGTTATCCCGTTTCCAACGAAATCCTCAGAGAGGTCCAAATATCTACTTGCAGTTTCTACAGAAAGACCGTTTCAAACCTGAACTATCAAAGAAAGGTTCAACACTGTGAGTTGAATGCAAACATCACGAAGAAGGTTCTGAGAATGCTTCTGTTTAGTTCTGTGCGTTTTATCCCGTTTCCAACGAAATCCTCAGAGAGGACCAAATATCCACTTGCAGTTTCTACAAAAAGAGTGTTTCAAAGCTGAACTATCAAAGAAAGGTTCAGCACTGTGAGTTGAATGCAAACATCACGAAGAGGGTTCTGAGAATTCTTCTGTTTTAGTTCTGTGGGGTTTATCCCGTTTCCAACGAAATCCTCAGAGAGGTCCAAATATCTACTTGCAGTTTCTACAGAAAGACCGTTTCAAACCTGAACTATCAAAGAAAGGTTCAACACTGTGAGTTGAATGCAAACATCACGAAGAAGGTTCTGAGAATGCTTCTGTTTAGTTCTGTGCGGTTTATCCCGTTTCCAACGAAATCCTCAGAGAGGACCAAATATCCACTTGCAGTTTCTACAAGAAGAGTGTTTCAAAGCTGAACTATCAAAGAAAGGTTCAGCACTGTGAGTTGAATGCAAACATCACGAAGAGGGTTCTGAGAATGCTTCTGTCTTCTTTCTATAGGAAGTTATTTCCTTTACTACGGTAGGCCTCAAAGAAGTGCAATTATCCCCTTGCAGTTTCTACAAAAAGAGTGTTTCAAACCTGAACTATCAAAGAAAGGTTCCACACTGTGAGTTGAATGCAGACATCACGAAGAAGGTTCTGAGAATGCTTCTGTTTAGTCAGCTGAAATTATCCCGTTTCCAACGAATTCCTCAGAGAGGTCCAAATATGCACTTGCAGATTCTGCAGAAAGTGTGTTTCTAAACTGCTCCATCGCAAGGAATGTTCAGCTCTGTGAGTTCCACTCAATCATCCCAAAGAATTTTCTGAGAAAGCTTCTGTCTAGATGTCGTGTGAAGATATACCCGTTTCGAACGAAGGACACAGAGTGGTCCAAATATCCACTTGTAGATCCTGCAAAAAGAGTGTTTCAAACGTGAACTTTGAAAGTAAAGTTCAACTCTGGGATTTGAATGCAAACATCACAAAGAAGATTCTGAGACTGCTTCTGTATAGTTTTTATGTGAAGATGATTCCGTTTCCAACGAAATCTTCAAAGAGGTCTACATGTCCCCTTGCAGATGCCACAGAAAGAGAGTTTCAAAACTGCGCTCTCAAAAGGAGTGTTCAACTCCGTGAGTTGAATGCAGTCATCACAGAGAAGCTTCTGAGAATGCTTCTATCTAGTATTTAGGTGAAGATATTTCCTTTTCCACCACAAACCACAAAGCCCTCCAAACGTCCACTTGCAGATTCTAGAAAAAGAGTGTTTCATAGCTGCTCTTTCCAAAGGAAAGTTCAACTCTGGGAGTTGAATACAAACATCACCAAAAAGTTCCTGAGAATGCATCTGTCTAGTTTTCTATGAAGCTATTCCCTTTACTACCATAGGCCTCAAAGCGCTCCAAATCTCCACTTGCACATTCCACAACAAGAGTGTTTCCAAACTGCTCTATCAATAGGAATGTTCAACTCTGTGAGGTGAATGCAATCATCACAAAGCAGTTTCTGAGAATGCTTCCGTTTAGCTTAGGTGCAGTTATCCCGTTTCCAACGAAATCCTCAGAGAGGTCCAAATATCCACTTGTAGATTCTACAAAAAGTGTGTCTCAAACCTGCTCCATCCAAAGGAATGTTCAGCTCTGTGATTTAAACTCAATCATCACAAAGTATTTTCTGAGAATGCTTCTGTCTAGATTTTATGCGAAGATATACCCGTTTCGAACAAAGGCCACAGAGTGGTCCAAATAGCCACTTGCAGATCCTACAAAAAGAGTGTTTCAAACCTGAACTATCAAATGAAGGTTCAACTCTGGGATTTGAATGCAAACATCACCAAGAAGTTTCTGAGAATGCTTCTGTTTAGTTTTTATGTGAAGATATTCCCGTTTCCAAAGACATCTTCGGAGAGATCCACATATCCACTTGCAGATTCCACAAAAAGAGAGTTTCAACACTGCTCTATCCATAGGAGGGTTCAACTCTGTGAGTTGAATGCAATCATCACAGAGAAGTTTCTGAGAAGGCTTCTCTCCAGTTTTTATGTGACCATAATTCGTTTTCCACCACAGGCCTGAAAGCGCTCCAAATGTCCACTTGCAGACACTACGAAAAGCATGTTTCAGAACTACTCTATGAAAAGCAACGTGAAACTCTGGGAGTTGAACACAAACATCACAGAGAAGTTTCTGAGAATGCTTCTGTTTAGCTTTTCTGTGAAGATTCTCCCGTTTCCAATGAAATCTTCAAAGAGGTCAAAATATCCACTTGCAGATTCCACAGAAAGAGTGATTGGAAACTGCTGTTTGAAAAGGAACCTTCAACTCTGTGAGTTGAATGCAATCATCACAAAGAAGTTTCTGACAATGCTTCTATCTAGCTTTTACGGGAAGATAATTCCTTTTCCACCACAGGCCTCAAAGCTCCCCAAATGTCCACTTGCACATTCTGGAAAAAGAGTGTTTCAAAGCTTCTCTCTCGAAAGGAAAGTTCAACTCTGTGAGTTGAATGCAAGCATCACAAAGAAGTTTCTGAGAATGCTACTGTCTAGCTTTTATATGAAGCTATTTCCTTACTACCATAGGCCTCAAAGCGGTCCATATCTCCACTTGCAGATTCTACACAAAGAGAGTTTCCAAACTGCTCTGTCAAAGGGAATGTTCAACTCTGTGACTTGAATGCAATCATCACAAAGTAGTTTCTGAGAATGCTCTGTTTAGTTCTGTGCGGTTTATCCCGTTTCCAACGAAATCCTCAGAGAGGCCCAAATATCCACTTGCACATTCTACAAATAGTGTGTTTCGAAACTGCTCCATCCAAAGGGATGTTCAGCTCTGTGAGTTAAACTCAGTCGTCACCAAGAGTTTTCTGTGAATGCTATCTGTTTTAGTTCTGTGCGGGTTATCCCGTTTCCAACGAAATCCTCAGAGCGGTCCAAATATCTACTTGCAGTTTCTACAGAAAGACCGTTTCAAACCTGAACTATCAAAGAAAGGTTCAACACTGTTGAGTTGAATGCAAACATCACGAAGAAGGTTCTGAGAATGCTTCTGTTTAGTTCTGGGCAGTTTATCCCGTTTCCAACGAAATCCTCAGAGAGGACCAAATATCCACTTGCAGTTTCTACAAAAAGAGTGTTTCAAAGCTGAACTATCAAAGAAAGGTTCAGCACTGTGAGTTGAATGCAAACATCACGAAGAGGGTTCTGAGAATGCTTCTGTCTTCTTTTTATAGGAAGTTATTTCCTTTACTACGGTACTCCTCAAAGAGTGCAATGATCCCCTTGCAGTTTCTACGAAAAGAGTGTTTCAAACCTGAACTATCAAAGAAAGGTTCCACACTGTGAGTTGAATGCAGACATCACGAAGAAGGTTCTGAGAATGCTTCTGTTTAGTCAGCTGAAATTATCCCGTTTCCAACGAATTCCTCAGAGAGGTCCAAATATGCACTTGCAGATTCTGCAGAAAGTGTGTTTCTAAACTGCTACATCGCAAGGAATGCTCAGCTCTGTGAGTTCAACTCAATCATCCCAAAGAATTTTCTGAGAAAGCTTCTGTCTAGATGTCATGTGAAGATATACCCGTTTCGAACGAAGGACACAGAGTGGTCCAAATATCCACTTGTAGATCCTGCAAAAAGAGTGTTTCAAACGTGAACTTTGAAAGGAAAGTTCAACTCGGGGATTTGAATGCAAACATCACAAAGAAGATTCTGAGACTGCTTCTGTATAGTTTTTATGTGAAGATGATTCCGTTTCCAACGAAATCTTCAAAGAGGTCTACATGTCCCCTTGCAGATGCCACAGAAAGAGAGTTTCAAAACTGCGCTCTCAAAAGGAGTGTTCAACTCCGTGAGTTGAATGCAGTCATCACAGAGAAGCTTCTGAGAATGCTTCTGTCTAGTATTTAGGTGAAGATATTTCCTTTTCCACCACAAACCACAAAGCCCTCCAAACGTCCACTTGCAGATTCTAGAAAAAGTGTGTTTCATAGCTGCTCTTTACAAAGGAAAGTTCAACTCTGGGAGTTGAATACAAACATCACCAAAAAGTTCCTGAGAATGCATCTGTCTAGTTTTTCTATGAAGCTATTCCCTTTGCTACCACAGGCCTCAAAGCGCTCCAAATCTCCACTTGCACATTCCACAACAAGAGTGTTTCCAAACTGCTCTATCAATAGGAATGTTCAACTCTGTGAGGTGAATGCAATCATCACAAAGCAGTTTCTGAGAATGCTTCCGTTTAGTTAGGTGCAGTTATCCCGTTTCCAACGAAATCCTCAGAGAGGTCCAAATATCCACTTGTAGATTCTACAAAAAGTGTGTCTCAAACCTGCTCCATCCAAAGGAATGGTCAGCTCTGTGATTTAAACTCAATCATCACAAAGTATTTTCTGAGAATGCTTCTGTCTAGATTTTATGCGAAGATATACCCGTTTCGAACGAAGGCCACAGAGTGGTCCAAATAGCCACTTGCAGATCCTACAGAAAGAGTGTTTCAAACCTGAACTATCAAAGGAAGGTTCAACTCTGGGATTTGAATGCAAACATCACCAAGAAGTTTCTGAGAATGCTTCTGTTTAGTTTTTATGTGAAGATATTCCCGTTTCCAAAGACATCTTCGGAGAGGTCCACATATCCACTTGCAGATTCCACAAAAAGAGAGTTTCAACACTGCTCTATCCATAGGAGGGTTCAACTCTGTGAGTTGAATGCAATCATCACAGAGAAGTTTCTGAGAAGGCTTCTCTCCAGTTTTTATGTGACCATAATTCGTTTTCCACCACAGGCCTGAAAGCGCTCCAAATGTCCACTTGCAGACACTACGAAAAGCATGTTTCAGAACTACTCTATGAAAAGCAACGTGAAACTCTGGGAGTTGAACACAAACATCACAGAGAAGTTTCTGAGAATGCTTCTGTTTAGCTTTTCTGTGAAGATTCTCCCGTTTCCAACGAAATCTTCAAAGAGGTCGAAATATCCACTTGCAGATTCCACAGAAAGAGTGATTGGAAACTGCTGTTTGAAAAGGAACCTTCAACTCTGTGAGTTGAATGCAATCATCTCAAAGAAGTTTCTGACAATGCTTCTATCTAGCTTTTACGGGAAGATAATTCCTTTTCCACCACAGGCCTCAAAGCTCCCCAAATGTCCACTTGCACATTCTGGAAAAAGAGTGTTTCAAAGCTTCTCTCTCGAAAGGAAAGTTCAACTCTGTGAGTTGAATGCAAGCATCACAAAGAAGTTTCTGAGAATGCTACTGTCTAGCTTTTATATGAAGCTATTTCCTTTACTACCATAGGCCTCAAAGCGGTCCATATCTCCACTTGCAGATTCTACACAAAGAGAGTTTCCAAACTGCTCTGTCAAAGGGAATGTTCAACTCTGTGACTTGAATGCAATCATCACAAAGTAGTTTCTGAGAATGCTTCTGTTTAGTTCTGTGCGGTATATCCGGTTTCCAACGAAATCCTCAGAGAGGACCAAATATCCACTTGCAGGTTCTACAAAGAGTGTGATTCGAAACTGCTCCATCCAAAGGAATGTTCAGCCCTGTGAGTTAAACTCAGTCATCACAAAGAATTTTCTGAGAATGCTTCTGTCTTCTTTTTGTAGGAAGTTATCTACTTTACTACGGTAGGCCTCAAAGAAGTGCAATGATCCCCTTGCAGTTTCTACAAAAAGAGTGTTTCAAACCTGAACTATCAAAGAAAGGTTCCACACTGTGAGTTGAATGCAGACATCACGAAGATGGTTCTGAGAATGCTTCTGTTTAGTCAGCTGAAATTATCCCGTTTCCAACGAATTCCTCAGAGAGGTCCACATATGCACTTGCAGATTCTGCAGAAAGTGTGTTTCTAAACTGCTACATCGCAAGGAATGTTCAGCTTCTGTGAGTTCCACTCAATCATCCCAAAGAATTTTCTGAGAAAGCTTCTGTCTAGATGTCATGTGAAGATATACCCGTTTCGAACGAAGGACACAGAGTGGTCCAAATATCCACTTGTAGATCCTGCAAAAAGAGTGTTTCAAACGTGAACTTGGAAAGGAAAGTTCAACTCTGGGATTTGAATGCGAAACATCACAAAGAAGATTCTGAGACTGCTTCTGTATAGTTTTGATGTGAAGATGATTCCGTTTCCAACGAAATCTTCAAAGAGGTCTACATGTCCCCTTGCAGATGCCACAGAAAGAGAGTTTCAAAACTGCGCTCTCAAAAGGAGTGTTCAACTCCGTGAGTCGAATGCAGTCATCACAGAGAAGCTTCTGAGAATGCTTCTATCTAGTATTTAGGTGAAGATATTTCCTTTTCCACCACAAACCACAAAGCCCTCCAACGTCCACTTGCAGATTCTAGAAAAAGAGTGTTTCATAGCTGCTCTTTCCAAAGGAAAGTTCAACTCTGGGAGTTGAATACAAACATCACCAAAAAGTTCCTGAGAATGCATCTGTCTAGTTTTTCTATGAAGCTATTCCCTTTACTACCATAGGCCTCAAAGCGCTTCAAATCTCCACTTGCACATTCCACAACAAGAGTTTTTCCAAACTGCTCTATCAATAGGAATATTCAACTCTGTGAGGTGAATGCAATCATCACAAAGCAGTTTCTGAGAATGCTTCCGTTTAGTTAGGTGCAGTTATCCCGTTTCCAACGAAATCCTCAGGAGTAGGTCCAAATATCCACTTGTAGATTCTACAAAAAGTGTGTCTCAAACCTGCTCCATCCAAAGGAATGGTCAGCTCTGTGATTTAAACTCAATCATCACAAAGTATTTTCTGAGAATGCTTCTGTCTAGATTTTATGCGAAGATATACCCGTTTCGAACGAAGGCCACAGAGTGGTCCAAATAGCCACTTGCAGATCCTACAGAAAGAGTGTTTCAAACCTGAACTATCAAAGGAAGGTTCAACTCTGGGATTTGAATGCAAACATCACCAAGAAGTTTCTGAGAATGCTTCTGTTTAGTTTTTATGTGAAGATATTCCCGTTTCCAAAGACATCTTCGGAGAGGTCCACATATCCACTTGCAGATTCCACAAAAAGAGAGTTTCAACACTGCTCTATCCATAGGAGGGTTCAACTCTGTGAGTTGAATGCAATCATCACAGAGAAGTTTCTGAGAAGGCTTCTCTCCAGTTTTTATGTGACCATAATTCGTTTTCCACCACAGGCCTGAAAGCGCTCCAAATGTCCACTTGCAGACACTACGAAAAGCATGTTTCAGAACTACTCTATGAAAAGCAACGTGAAACTCTGGGAGTTGAACACAAACATCACAGAGAAGTTTCTGAGAATGCTTCTGTTTTAGTTCTGTGCGTTTTATCCCGTTTCCAACGAAATCCTCAGAGAGGCCCAAATATCCACTTGCAGATTCCACAGAAAGAGTGATTGGAAACTGCTGTTTGAAAAGGAACCTTCAACTCTGTGAGTTGAATGCAATCATCACAAAGAAGTTTCTGACAATGCTTCTGTTTTAGTTCTGTGCGGTTTATCCCGTTTCCAACGAAATCCTCAGAGAGGACCAAACATCCACTTGCAGTTTCTACAAAAAGAGTGTTTCAAAGCTGCACTATCAAAGAAAGGTTCAGCACTGTGAGTTGAATGCAAACATCACGAAGAGGGCTCTGAGAATTCTTCTGTTTAGTTCTGTGCGGTTTATCCCGTTTCCAACGAAATCCTCAGAGAGGACCAAATATCCACTTGCAGTTTCTACAAGAAGAGTGTTTCAAAGCTGAACTATCAAAGAAAGGTTCAGCACTGTGAGTTGAATGCAAACATCACGAAGAGGGTTCTGAGAATGCTTCTGTCTTCTTTCTATAGGAAGTTATTTCCTTTACTACGGTAGGCCTCAAAGAAGTGCAATTATCCCCTTGCAGTTTCTACAAAAAGAGTGTTTCAAACCTGAACTATCAAAGAAAGGTTCCACACTGTGAGTTGAATGCAGACATCACGAAGAAGGTTCTGAGAATGCTTCTGTTTAGTCAGCTGAAATTATCCCGTTTCCAACGAATTCCTCAGAGAGGTCCAAATATGCACTTGCAGATTCTGCAGAAAGTGTGTTTCTAAACTGCTACATCGCAAGGAATGTTCAGCTCTGTGAGTTCCACTCAATCATCCCAAAGAATTTTCTGAGAAAGCTTCTGTCTAGATGTCGTGTGAAGATATACCCGTTTCGAACGAAGGACACAGAGTGGTCCAAATATCCACTTGTAGATCCTGCAAAAAGAGTGTTTCAAACGTGAACTTTGAAAGGAAAGTTCAACTCTGGGATTTGAATGCAAACATCACAAAGAAGATTCTGAGACTGCTTCTGTATAGTTTTTATGTGAAGATGATTCCGTTTCCAACGAAATCTTCAAAGAGGTCTACATGTCCCCTTGCAGATGCCACAGAAAGAGAGTTTCAAAACTGCGCTCTCAAAAGGAGTGTTCAACTCCGTGAGTTGAATGCAGTCATCACAGAGAAGCTTCTGAGAATGCTTCTATCTAGTATTTAGGTGAAGATATTTCCTTTTCCACCACAAACCACAAAGCCCTCCAAACGTCCACTTGCAGATTCTAGAAAAAGAGTGTTTCATAGCTGCTCTTTCCAAAGGGAAAGTTCAACTCTGGGAGTTGAATACAAACATCACCAAAAAGTTCCTGAGAATGCATCTGTCTAGTTTTTCTATGAAGCTATTCCCTTTACTACCATAGGCCTCAAAGCGCTCCAAATCTCCACTTGCACATTCCACAACAAGAGTGTTTCCAAACTGCTCTATCAATAGGAATGTTCAACTCTGGTGAGGTGAATGCAATCATCACAAAGCAGTTTCTGAGAATGCTTCCGTTTAGTTAGGTGCAGTTATCCCGTTTCCAACGAAATCCTCAGAGAGGTCCAAATATCCACTTGTAGATTCTACAAAAAGTGTGTCTCAAACCTGCTCCATCCAAAGGAATGTTCAGCTCTGTGATTTAAACTCAATCATCACAAAGTATTTTCTGAGAATGCTTCTGTCTAGATTTTATGCGAAGATATACCCGTTTCGAACGAAGGCCACAGAGTGGTCCAAATATCCACTTGCAGATCCTACAAAAAGAGTGTTTCAAACCTGAACTATCAAAGGAAGGTTCAACTCTGGGATTTGAATGCAAACATCACCAAGAAGTTTCTGAGAATGCTTCTGTTTAGTTTTTATGTGAAGATATTCCCGTTTCCAAAGACATCTTCGGAGAGGTCCACGTATCCACTTGCAGATTCCACAAAAAGAGAGTTTCAACACTGCTCTATCCATAGGAGGGTTCAACTCTGTGAGTTGAATGCAATCATCACAGAGAAGTTTCTGAGAAGGCTTCTCTCCAGTTTTTATGTGACCATAATTCGTTTTCCACCACAGGCCTGAAAGCGCTCCAAATGTCCACTTGTAGACACTACGAAAAGCATGTTTCAGAACTACTCTATGAAAAGCAATGTGAAACTCTGGGAGTTGAACACAAACATCACAGAGAAGTTTCTGAGAATGCTTCTGTTTAGCTTTCCTGTGAAGATTCTCCCGTTTCCAACAAAATCTTCAAAATAGGTCCGAATATCCACTTGCAGATTCCACAGAAAGAGTGATTGGAAACTGCTCTTTGAAAAGGAACCTTCAACTCTGTGAGTTGAATGCAATCATCACAAAGAAGTTTCTGACAATGCTTCTATCTAGCTTTTACGGGAAGATAATTCCTTTTCCACCACAGGCCTCAAAGCCCTCCAAATGTCCACTTGCAGATTCTGGAAAAAGAGTGTTTCAAAGCTTCTCTCTCGAAAGGAAAGTTCAACTCTGTGAGTTGAATGCAAGCATCACAAAGAAGTTTCTGAGAATGCTACTGTCTAGCTTTTATATGAAGCTATTTCCTTTACTACCATAGGCCTCAAAGCGGTCCATATCTCCACTTGCAGATTCTACACAAAGAGAGTTTCCAAACTGCTCTGTCAAAGGGAATGTTCAACTCTGTGACTTGAATGCAATCATCACAAAGTAGTTTCTGAGAATGCTTCTGTTTAGTTCTGTGCGGTTTACCCCGTTTCCAACGAAATCCTCAGAGAGGCCTAAATATCCACTTGCACATTCTACAAATAGTGTGTTTCGAAACTGCTCCATCCAAAGGAATGTTCAGCTCTGTGAGTTAAACTCAGTCGTCACCAAGAGTTTTCTGTGAATGCTTCTGTTTTAGTTCTGTGCGGGTTATCCCGTTTCCAACGAAATCCTCAGAGAGGTCCAAATATCTACTTGCAGTTTCTACAGAAAGACCGTTTCAAACCTGAACTATCAAAGAAAGGTTCAACACTGTGAGTTGAATGCAAACATCACGAAGAAGGTTCTGAGAATGCTTCTGTTTTAGTTCTGTGCGGTTTATCCCGTTTCCAACGAAATCCTCAGAGAGGACCAAACATCCACTTGCAGTTTCTACAAAAAGAGTGTTTCAAAGCTGCACTATCAAAGAAAAGTTCAGCACTGTGAGTTGAATGCAAACATCACGAAGAGGGCTCTGAGAATTCTTCTGTTTAGTTCTGTGCGGTTTATCCCGTTTCCAACGAAATCCTCAGAGAGGACCAAATATCCACTTGCAGTTTCTACAAGAAGAGTGTTTCAAAGCTGAACTATCAAAGAAAGGTTCAGCACTGTGAGTTGAATGCAAACATCACGAAGAGGGTTCTGAGAATGCTTCTGTCTTCTTTCTATAGGAAGTTATTTCCTTTACTACGGTAGGCCTCAAAGAAGTGCAATTATCCCCTTGCAGTTTCTACAAAAAGAGTGTTTCAAACCTGAACTATCAAAGAAAGGTTCCACACTGTGAGTTGAATGCAGACATCACGAAGAAGGTTCTGAGAATGCTTCTGTTTAGTCAGCTGAAATTATCCCGTTTCCAACGAATTCCTCAGAGAGGTCCAAATATGCACTTGCAGATTCTGCAGAAAGTGTGTTTCTAAACTGCTACATCGCAAGGAATGTTCAGCTCTGTGAGTTCCACTCAATCATCCCAAAGAATTTTCTGAGAAAGCTTCTGTCTAGATGTCATGTGAAGATATACCCGTTTCGAACGAAGGACACAGTAGTGGTCCAAATATCCACTTGTAGATCCTGCAAAAAGAGTGTTTCAAACGTGAACTTTGAAAGGAAAGTTCAACTCTGGGATTTGAATGCAAACATCACAAAGAAGATTCTGAGACTGCTTCTGTATAGTTTTTATGTGAAGATGATTCCGTTTCCAACGAAATCTTCAAAGAGGTCTACATGTCCCCTTGCAGATGCCACAGAAAGAGAGTTTCAAAACTGCGCTCTCAAAAGGAGTGTTCAACTCCGTGAGTTGAATGCAGTCATCACAGAGAAGCTTCTGAGAATGCTTCTATCTAGTATTTAGGTGAAGATATTTCCTTTTCCACCACAAACCACAAAGCCCTCCAAACGTCCACTTGCAGATTCTAGAAAAAGAGTGTTTCATAGCTGCTCTTTCCAAAGGAAAGTTCAACTCTGGGAGTTGAATACAAACATCACCAAAAAGTTCCTGAGAATGCATCTGTCTAGTTTTTCTATGAAGCTATTCCCTTTACTACCATAGGCCTCAAAGCGCTCCAAATCTCCACTTGCACATTCCACAACAAGAGTGTTTCCAAACTGCTCTATCAATAGGAATGTTCAACTCTGTGAGGTGAATGCAATCATCACAAAGCAGTTTCTGAGAATGCTTCCGTTTAGTTAGGTGCAGTTATCCCGTTTCCAACGAAATCCTCAGAGAGGTCCAAATATCCACTTGTAGATTCTACAAAAAGTGTGTCTCAAACCTGCTCCATCCAAAGGAATGGTCAGCTCTGTGATTTAAACTCAATCATCACAAAGTATTTTCTGAGAATGCTTCTGTCTAGATTTTATGCGAAGATATACCCGTTTCGAACGAAGGCCACAGAGTGGTCCAAATAGCCACTTGCAGATCCTACAGAAAGAGTGTTTCAAACCTGAACTATCAAAGGAAGGTTCAACTCTGGGATTTGAATGCAAACATCACCAAGAAGTTTCTGAGAATGCTTCTGTTTAGTTTTTATGTGAAGATATTCCCGTTTCCAAAGACATCTTCGGAGAGGTCCACATATCCACTTGCAGATTCCACAAAAAGAGAGTTTCAACACTGCTCTATCCATAGGAGGGTTCAACTCTGTGAGTTGAATGCAATCATCACAGAGAAGTTTCTGAGAAGGCTTCTCTCCAGTTTTTATGTGACCATAATTCGTTTTCCACCACAGGCCTGAAAGCGCTCCAAATGTCCACTTGCAGACACTACGAAAAGCATGTTTCAGAACTACTCTATGAAAAGCAACGTGAAACTCTGGGAGTTGAACACAAACATCACAGAGAAGTTTCTGAGAATGCTTCTGTTTTAGTTCTGTGCGTTTTATCCCGTTTCCAACGAAATCCTCAGAGAGGCCCAAATATCCACTTGCAGATTCCACAGAAAGAGTGATTGGAAACTGCTGTTTGAAAAGGAACCTTCAACTCTGTGAGTTGAATGCAATCATCACAAAGAAGTTTCTGACAATGCTTCTGTTTTAGTTCTGTGCGGTTTATCCCGTTTCCAACGAAATCCTCAGAGAGGACCAAACATCCACTTGCAGTTTCTACAAAAAGAGTGTTTCAAAGCTGCACTATCAAAGAAAGGTTCAGCACTGTGAGTTGAATGCAAACATCACGAAGAGGGCTCTGAGAATTCTTCTGTTTAGTTCTGTGCGGTTTATCCCGTTTCCAACGAAATCCTCAGAGAGGACCAAATATCCACTTGCAGTTTCTACAAGAAGAGTGTTTCAAAGCTGAACTATCAAAGAAAGGTTCAGCACTGTGAGTTGAATGCAAACATCACGAAGAGGGTTCTGAGAATGCTTCTGTCTTCTTTCTATAGGAAGTTATTTCCTTTACTACGGTAGGCCTCAAAGAAGTGCAATTATCCCCTTGCAGTTTCTACAAAAAGAGTGTTTCAAACCTGAACTATCAAAGAAAGGTTCCACACTGTGAGTTGAATGCAGACATCACGAAGAAGGTTCTGAGAATGCTTCTGTTTAGTCAGCTGAAATTATCCCGTTTCCAACGAATTCCTCAGAGAGGTCCAAATATGCACTTGCAGATTCTGCAGAAAGTGTGTTTCTAAACTGCTACATCGCAAGGAATGTTCAGCTCTGTGAGTTCCACTCAATCATCCCAAAGAATTTTCTGAGAAAGCTTCTGTCTAGATGTCGTGTGAAGATATACCCGTTTCGAACGAAGGACACAGAGTGGTCCAAATATCCACTTGTAGATCCTGCAAAAAGAGTGTTTCAAACGTGAACTTTGAAAGGAAAGTTCAACTCTGGGATTTGAATGCAAACATCACAAAGAAGATTCTGAGACTGCTTCTGTATAGTTTTTATGTGAAGATGATTCCGTTTCCAACGAAATCTTCAAAGAGGTCTACATGTCCCCTTGCAGATGCCACAGAAAGAGAGTTTCAAAACTGCGCTCTCAAAAGGAGTGTTCAACTCCGTGAGTTGAATGCAGTCATCACAGAGAAGCTTCTGAGAATGCTTCTGTCTAGTATTTAGGTGAAGATATTTCCTTTTCCACCACAAACCACAAAGCCCTCCAAACGTCCACTTGCAGATTCTAGAAAAAGAGTGTTTCATAGCTGCTCTTTCCAAAGGAAAGTTCAACTCTGGGAGTTGAATACAAACATCACCAAAAGGTTCCTGAGAATGCATCTGTCTAGTTTTTCTATGAAGCTATTCCCTTTACTACCACAGGCCTCAAAGCGCTCCAAATCTCCACTTGCACATTCCACAACAAGAGTGTTTCCAAACTGCTCTATCAATAGGAATGTTCAACTCTGTGAGGTGAATGCAATCATCACAAAGCAGTTTCTGAGAATGCTTCCGTTTAGTTAGGTGCAGTTATCCCGTTTCCAACGAAATCCTCAGAGAGGTCCAAATATCCACTTGTAGATTCTACAAAAAGTGTGTCTCAAACCTGCTCCATCCAAAGGAATGGTCAGCTCTGTGATTTAAACTCAATCATCACAAAGTATTTTCTGAGAATGCTTCTGTCTAGATTTTATGCGAAGATATACCCGTTTCGAACGAAGGCCACAGAGTGGTCCAAATAGCCACTTGCAGATCCTACAGAAAGAGTGTTTCAAACCTGAACTATCAAAGGAAGGTTCAACTCTGGGATTTGAATGCAAACATCACCAAGAAGTTTCTGAGAATGCTTCTGTTTAGTTTTTATGTGAAGATATTCCCGTTTCCAAAGACATCTTCGGAGAGGTCCACATATCCACTTGCAGATTCCACAAAAAGAGAGTTTCAACACTGCTCTATCCATAGGAGGGTTCAACTCTGTGAGTTGAATGCAATCATCACAGAGAAGTTTCTGAGAAGGCTTCTCTCCAGTTTTTATGTGACCATAATTCGTTTTCCACCACAGGCCTGAAAGCGCTCCAAATGTCCACTTGCAGACACTACGAAAAGCATGTTTCAGAACTACTCTATGAAAAGCAACGTGAAACTCTGGGAGTTGAACACAAACATCACAGAGAAGTTTCTGAGAATGCTTCTGTTTAGCTTTTCTGTGAAGATTATCCCGTTTCCAACGAAATCTTCAAAATAGGTCCAAATATCCACTTGCAGATTCCACAGAAAGAGTGATTGGAAACTGCTGTTTGAAAAGGAACCTTCAACTCTGTGAGTTGAATGCAATCATCACAAAGAAGTTTCTGACAATGCTTCCATCTAGCTTTTACGGGAAGATAATTCCTTTTCCACCACAGGCCTCAAAGCCCTCCAAATGTCCACTTGCAGATTCTGGAAAAAGAGTATTTCAAAGCTTCTCTCTCGAAAGGAAAGTTCAACTCTGTGAGTTGAATGCAAGCATCACAAAGAAGTTTCTGAGAATGCTACTGTCTAGCTTTTATATGAAGCTATTTCCTTTACTACCATAGGCCTCAAAGCGGTCCATATCTCCACTTGCAGATTCTACACAAAGAGAGTTTCCAAACTGCTCTGTCAAAGGGAATGTTCAACTCTGTGACTTGAATGCAATCATCACAAAGTAGTTTCTGAGAATGCTTCTGTTTTAGTTCTGTGCGGTTTATCCCGTTTCCAACGAAATCCTCAGAGAGGCCCAAATATCCACTTGCAGATTCTACAAATAGTGTGTTTCGAAACTGCTCCATCCAAAGGAATGTTCAGCTCTGTGAGTTAAACTCAGTCGTCACCAAGAGTTTTCTGTGAATGCTTCTGTTTTAGTTCTGTGCGGTTTATCCCGTTTCCAACGAAATCCTCAGGGAGGACAAAACATCCACTTGCAGTTTCTACAAAAAGAGTGTTTCAAAGCTGCACTATCAAAGAAAGGTTCAGCACTGTGAGTTGAATACAAACATCACGAAGAGGGCTCTGAGAATGCTTCTGTTTAGTTCTGTGCGGTTTATCCCGTTTCCAACGAAATCCTCAGAGAGGACCAAATATCCACTTGCAGTTTCTACAAGAAGAGTGTTTCAAAGCTGAACTATCAAAGAAAGGTTCAGCACTGTGAGTTGAATGCAAACATCACGAAGAGGGTTCTGAGAATGCTTCTGTCTTCTTTCTATAGGGAAGTTATTTCCTTTACTACGGTAGGCCTCAAAGAAGTGCAATTATCCCCTTGCAGTTTCTACAAAAAGAGTGTTTCAAACCTGAACTATCAAAGAAAGGTTCCACACTGTGAGTTGAATGCAGACATCACGAAGAAGGTTCTGAGAATGCTTCTGTTTAGTCAGCTGAAATTATCCCGTTTCCAACGAATTCCTCAGAGAGGTCCAAATATGCACTTGCAGATTCTGCAGAAAGTGTGTTTCTAAACTGCTACATCGCAAGGAATGTTCAGCTCTGTGAGTTCCACTCAATCATCCCAAAGAATTTTCTGAGAAAGCTTCTGTCTAGATGTCATGTGAAGATATACCCGTTTCGAACGAAGGACACAGAGTGCTCCAAATATCCACTTGTACATCCTGCAAAAAGAGTGTTTCAAACGTGAACTTTGAAAGGGAAGTTCAACTCTGGGATTTGAATGCAAACATCACAAAGAAGATTCTGAGACTGCTTCTGTATAGTTTTTATGTGAAGATGATTCCGTTTCCAACGAAATCTTCAAAGAGGTCTACATGTCCCCTTGCAGATGCCACAGAAAGAGAGTTTCAAAACTGCGCTCTCAAAAGGAGTGTTCAACTCCGTGAGTTGAATGCAGTCATCACAGAGAAGCTTACTGAGAATGCTTTCTATCTAGTATTTAGGTGAAGATATTTCCTTTTCCACCACAAACCACAAAGCCCTCCAAACGTCCACTTGCAGATTCTAGAAAAAGAGTGTTTCATAGCTGCTCTTTCCAAAGGAAAGTTCAACTCTGGGAGTTGAATACAAACATCACCAAAAAGTTCCTGAGAATGCATCTGTCTAGTTTTTCTATGAAGCTATTCCCTTTACTACCACAGGCCTCAAAGCGCTCCAAATCTCCACTTGCACATTCCGCAACAAGAGTGTTTCCAAACTGCTCTATCAATAGGAATGTTCAACTCTGTGAGGTGAATGCAATCATCACAAAGCAGTTTCTGAGAATGCTTCCGTTTAGTTAGGTGCAGTTATCCCGTTTCCAACGAAATCCTCAGAGAGGTCCAAATATCCACTTGTAGATTCTACAAAAAGTGTGTCTCAAACCTGCTCCATCCAAAGGAATGGTCAGCTCTGTGATTTAAACTCAATCATCACAAAGTATTTTCTGAGAATGCTTCTGTCTAGATTTTATGCGAAGATATACCCGTTTCGAACGAAGGGCCACAGAGTGGTCCAAATAGCCACTTGCAGATCCTACAGAAAGAGTGTTTCAAACCTGAACTATCAAAGGAAGGTTCAACTCTGGGATTTGAATGCAAACATCACCAAGAAGTTTCTGAGAATGCTTCTGTTTAGTTTTTATGTGAAGATATTCCCGTTTCCAAAGACATCTTCGGAGAGGTCCACATATCCACTTGCAGATTCCACAAAAAGAGAGTTTCAACACTGCTCTATCCATAGGAGGGTTCAACTCTGTGAGTTGAATGCAATCATCACAGAGAAGTTTCTGAGAAGGCTTCTCTCCAGTTTTTATGTGACCATAATTCGTTTTCCACCACAGGCCTGAAAGCGCTCCAAATGTCCACTTGCAGACACTACGAAAAGCATGTTTCAGAACTACTCTATGAAAAGCAACGTGAAACTCTGGGAGTTGAACACAAACATCACAAAGAAGTTTCTGAGAATGCTTCTGTTTTAGTTCTGTGCGTTTTATCCCGTTTCCAACGAAATCCTCAGAGAGGCCCAAATATCCACTTGCAGATTCCACAGAAAGAGTGATTGGAAACTGCTGTTTGAAAAGGAACCTTCAACTCTGTGAGTTGAATGCAATCATCACAAAGAAGTTTCTGACAATGCTTCTGTTTTAGTTCTGTGCGGTTTATCCCGTTTCCAACAAAATCCTCAGAGAGGACCAAACATCCACTTGCAGTTTCTACAAAAAGAGTGTTTCAAAGCTGCACTATCAAAGAAAGGTTCAGCACTGTGAGTTGAATGCAAACATCACGAAGAGGGCTCTGAGAATTCTTCTGTTTAGTTCTGTGCGGTTTATCCCGTTTCCAACGAAATCCTCAGAGAGGACCAAATATCCACTTGCAGTTTCTACAAGAAGAGTGTTTCAAAGCTGAACTATCAAAGAAAGGTTCAGCACTGTGAGTTGAATGCAAACATCACGAAGAGGGTTCTGAGAATGCTTCTGTCTTCTTTCTATAGGAAGTTATTTCCTTTACTACGGTAGGCCTCAAAGAAGTGCAATTATCCCCTTGCAGTTTCTACAAAAAGAGTGTTTCAAACCTGAACTATCAAAGAAAGGTTCCACACTGTGAGTTGAATGCAGACATCACGAAGAAGGTTCTGAGAATGCTTCTGTTTAGTCAGCTGAAATTATCCCGTTTCCAACGAATTCCTCAGAGAGGTCCAAATATGCACTTGCAGATTCTGCAGAAAGTGTGTTTCTAAACTGCTACATCGCAAGGAATGTTCAGCTCTGTGAGTTCCACTCAATCATCCCAAAGAATTTTCTGAGAAAGCTTCTGTCTAGATGTCATGTGAAGATATACCCGTTTCGAACGGAGGACACAGAGTGGTCCAAATATCCACTTGTAGATCCTGCAAAAAGAGTGTTTCAAACGTGAACTTTGAAAGGAAAGTTCAACTCTGGGATTTGAATGCAAACATCACAAAGAAGATTCTGAGACTGCTTCTGTATAGTTTTTATGTGAAGATGATTCCGTTTCCAACGAAATCTTCAAAGAGGTCCACATGTCCCCTTGCGGATGCCACAGAAAGAGAGTTTCAAAACTGCGCTCTCAAAAGGAGTGTTCAACTCCGTGAGTTGAATGCAGTCATCACAGAGAAGCTTCTGAGAATGCTTCTATCTAGTATTTAGGTGAAGATATTTCCTTTTCCACCACAAACCACAAAGCCCTCCAAACGTCCACTTGCAGATTCTAGAAAAAGAGTGTTTCATAGCTGCTCTTTCCAAAGGAAAGTTCAACTCTGGGAGTTGAATACAAACATCACCAAAAAGTTCCTGAGAATGCATCTGTCTAGTTTTTCTATGAAGCTATTCCCTTTACTACCACAGGCCTCAAAGCGCTCCAAATCTCCACTTGCACATTCCACAACAAGAGTGTTTCCAAACTGCTCTATCAATAGGAATGTTCAACTCTGTGAGGTGAATGCAATCATCACAAAGCAGTTTCTGAGAATGCTTCCGTTTAGTTAGGTGCAGTTATCCCGTTTCCAACGAAATCCTCAGAGAGGTCCAAATATCCACTTGTAGATTCTACAAAAAGTGTGTCTCAAACCTGCTCCATCCAAAGGAATGGTCAGCTCTGTGATTTAAACTCAATCATCACAAAGTATTTTCTGAGAATGCTTCTGTCTAGATTTTATGCGAAGATATACCCGTTTCGAACGAAGGCCACAGAGTGGTCCAAATAGCCACTTGCAGATCCTACAGAAAGAGTGTTTCAAACCTGAACTATCAAAGGAAGGTTCAACTCTGGGATTTGAATGCAAACATCACCAAGAAGTTTCTGAGAATGCTTCTGTTTAGTTTTTATGTGAAGATATTCCCGTTTCCAAAGACATCTTCGGAGAGGTCCACATATCCACTTGCAGATTCCACAAAAAGAGAGTTTCAACACTGCTCTATCCATAGGAGGGTTCAACTCTGTGAGTTGAATGCAATCATCACAGAGAAGTTTCTGAGAAGGCTTCTCTCCAGTTTTTATGTGACCATAATTCGTTTTCCACCACAGGCCTGAAAGCGCTCCAAATGTCCACTTGCAGACACTACGAAAAGCATGTTTCAGAACTACTCTATGAAAAGCAACGTGAAACTCTGGGAGTTGAACACAAACATCACAGAGAAGTTTCTGAGAATGCTTCTGTTTTAGTTCTGTGCGTTTTATCCCGTTTCCAACGAAATCCTCAGAGAGGCCCAAATATCCACTTGCAGATTCCACAGAAAGAGTGATTGGAAACTGCTGTTTGAAAAGGAACCTTCAACTCTGTGAGTTGAATGCAATCATCACAAAGAAGTTTCTGACAATGCTTCTGTTTTAGTTCTGTGCGGTTTATCCCGTTTCCAACGAAATCCTCAGAGAGGACCAAACATCCACTTGCAGTTTCTACAAAAAGAGTGTTTCAAAGCTGCACTATCAAAGAAAGGTTCAGCACTGTGAGTTGAATGCAAACATCACGAAGAGGGCTCTGAGAATTCTTCTGTTTAGTTCTGTGCGGTTTATCCCGTTTCCAACGAAATCCTCAGAGAGGACCAAATATCCACTTGCAGTTTCTACAAGAAGAGTGTTTCAAAGCTGAACTATCAAAGAAAGGTTCAGCACTGTGAGTTGAATGCAAACATCACGAAGAGGGTTCTGAGAATGCTTCTGTCTTCTTTCTATAGGAAGTTATTTCCTTTACTACGGTAGGCCTCAAAGAAGTGCAATTATCCCCTTGCAGTTTCTACAAAAAGAGTGTTTCAAACCTGAACTATCAAAGAAAGGTTCCACACTGTGAGTTGAATGCAGACATCACGAAGAAGGTTCTGAGAATGCTTCTGTTTAGTCAGCTGAAATTATCCCGTTTCCAACGAATTCCTCAGAGAGGTCCAAATATGCACTTGCAGATTCTGCAGAAAGTGTGTTTCTAAACTGCTACATCGCAAGGAATGTTCAGCTCTGTGAGTTCCACTCAATCATCCCAAAGAATTTTCTGAGAAAGCTTCTGTCTAGATGTCGTGTGAAGATATACCCGTTTCGAACGAAGGACACAGAGTGGTCCAAATATCCACTTGTAGATCCTGCAAAAAGAGTGTTTCAAACGTGAACTTTGAAAGGAAAGTTCAACTCTGGGATTTGAATGCAAACATCACAAAGAAGATTCTGAGACTGCTTCTGTATAGTTTTTATGTGAAGATGATTCCGTTTCCAACGAAATCTTCAAAGAGGTCTACATGTCCCCTTGCAGATGCCACAGAAAGAGAGTTTCAAAACTGCGCTCTCAAAAGGAGTGTTCAACTCCGTGAGTTGAATGCAGTCATCACAGAGAAGCTTCTGAGAATGCTTCTATCTAGTATTTAGGTGAAGATATTTCCTTTTCCACCACAAACCACAAAGCCCTCCAAACGTCCACTTGCAGATTCTAGAAAAAGAGTGTTTCATAGCTGCTCTTTCCAAAGGAAAGTTCAACTCTGGGAGTTGAATACAAACATCACCAAAAAGTTCCTGAGAATGCATCTGTCTAGTTTTTCTATGAAGCTATTCCCTTTACTACCATAGGCCTCAAAGCGCTCCAAATCTCCACTTGCACATTCCACAACAAGAGTGTTTCCAAACTGCTCTATCAATAGGAATGTTCAACTCTGTGAGGTGAATGCAATCATCACAAAGCAGTTTCTGAGAATGCTTCCGTTTAGTTAGGTGCAGTTATCCCGTTTCCAACGAAATCCTCAGAGAGGTCCAAATATCCACTTGTAGATTCTACAAAAAGTGTGTCTCAAACCTGCTCCATCCAAAGGAATGGTCAGCTCTGTGATTTAAACTCAATCATCACAAAGTATTTTCTGAGAATGCTTCTGTCTAGATTTTATGTGAAGATGTACCCGTTTCGAACGAAGGCCACAGAGTGGTCCAAATATCCACTTGCAGATCCTACAAAAAGAGTGTTTCAAACCTGAACTATCACAGGAAGGTTCAACTACTGGGATTTGAATGCAAACATCACCAAGAAGTTTCTGAGAATGCTTCTGTTTAGTTTTTATGTGAAGATATTCCCGTTTCCAAAGACATCTTCGGAGAGGTCCACATATCCACTTGCAGATTCCACAAAAAGAGAGTTTCAAGAATGCTCTATCCATAGGAGGGTTCAAATCTGTGAGTTGAATGCAATCATCACAGAGAAGTTTCTGAGAAGGCTTCTCTCCAGTTTTTATGGGACCATAATTCGTTTTCCACCACAGGCCTGAAAGCGCTCCAAATGTCCACTTGCAGACACTACGAAAAGCATGTTTCAGAACTACTCTATGAAAAGCAATGTGAAACTCTGGGAGTTGAACACAAACATCACAGAGAAGTTTCTGAGAATGCTTCTGTTTAGCTTTTCTGTGAAGATTCTCCCGTTTCCAACGAAATCTTCAAAGAGGTCCAAATATCCACTTGCAGATTCCACAGAAAGAGTGTTTGGAAACTGCTGTTTGTAAAGGAATCTTCATCTCTGTGAGTTGAATGCAATCATCACAAAGAAGTTTCTGACAATGCTTCTATCTAGCTTTTACGGGAAGTTAATTCCTTTTCCACCACAGGCCTCAAAGCCCTCCAAATGTCCACTTGCAGATTCTGGAAAAAGAGTGTTTCAAAGCTTCTCTCTCGAAAGGAAAGTTCAACTCTGTGAGTTGAATGCAAGCATCACAAAGAAGTTTCTGAGAATGCTACTGTCTAGCTTTTATATGAAGCTATTTCCTTTACTACCATAGGCCTCAAAGCGGTCCATATCTCCACTTGCAGATTCTACACAAAGAGAGTTTCCAAACTGCTCTGTCAAAGGGAATGTTCAACTCTGTGACTTGAATGCAATCATCACAAAGTAGTTTCTGAGAATGCTTCTGTTTAGTTCTGTGCGGTTTATCCCGTTTCCAACGAAATCCTCAGAGAGGCCCAAATATCCACTTGCACATTCTACAAATAGTGTGTTTCGAAACTGCTCCATCCAAAGGAATGTTCAGCTCTGTGAGTTAAACTCAGTCGTCACCAAGAGTTTTCTGTGAATGCTTCTGTTTTAGTTCTGTGCGGTTTATCCCGTTTCCAACGAAATCCTCAGAGAGGTCCAAATATCTACTTGCAGTTTCTACAGAAAGACCGTTTCAAACCTGAACTATCAAAGAAAGGTTCAACACTGTGAGTTGAATGCAAACATCACGAAGTAGGTTCTGAGAATGCTTCTGTTTAGTTCTGTGCGGTTTATCCCGTTTCCAACGAAATCCTCAGAGAGGACCAAATATCCACTTGCAGTTTCTACAAGAAGAGTGTTTCAAAGCTGAACTATCAAAGAAAGGTTCAGCACTGTGAGTTGAATGCAAACATCACGAAGAGGGTTCTGAGAATGCTTCTGTCTTCTTTCTATAGGAAGTTATTTCCTTTACTACGGTAGGCCTCAAAGAAGTGCAATTATCCCCTTGCAGTTTCTACAAAAAGAGTGTTTCAAACCTGAACTATCAAAGAAAGGTTCCACACTGTGAGTTGAATGCAGACATCACGAAGAAGGTTCTGAGAATGCTTCTGTTTAGTCAGCTGAAATTATCCCGTTTCCAACGAATTCCTCACAGAGGTCCAAATATGCACTTGCAGATTCTGCAGAAAGTGTGTTTCTAAACTGCTACATCGCAAGGAATGTTCAGCTCTGTGAGTTCCACTCAATCATCCCAAAGAATTTTCTGAGAAAGCTTCTGTCTAGATGTCATGTGAAGATATACCCGTTTCGAACGAAGGACACAGAGTGGTCCAAATATCCACTTGTAGATCCTGCAAAAAGAGTGTTTCAAACGTGAACTTTGAAAGGAAAGTTCAACTCTGGGATTTGAATGCAAACATCACAAAGAAGATTCTGAGACTGCTTCTGTATAGTTTTTATGTGAAGATGATTCCGTTTCCAACGAAATCTTCAAAGAGGTCTACATGTCCCCTTGCAGATGCCACAGAAAGGGAGTTTCAAAACTGCGCTCTCAAAAGGAGTGTTCAACTCCGTGAGTTGAATGCAGTCATCACAGAGAAGCTTCTGAGAATGCTTCTATCTAGTATTTAGGTGAAGATATTTCCTTTTCCACCACAAACCACAAAACCCTCCAAACGTCCACTTGCAGATTCTAGAAAAAGAGTGTTTCATAGCTGCTCTTTCCAAAGGAAAGTTCAACTCTGGGAGTTGAATACAAACATCACCAAAAAGTTCCTGAGAATGCATCTGTCTAGTTTTTCTATGAAGCTATTCCCTTTACTACCATAGGCCTCAAAGCGCTCCAAATCTCCACTTGCACATTCCACAACAAGAGTGTTTCCAAACTGCTCTATCAATAGGAATGTTCAACTCTGTGAGGTGAATGCAATCATCACAAAGCAGTTTCTGAGAATGCTTCCGTTTAGTTAGGTGCAGTTATCCCGTTTCCAACGAAATCCTCAGAGAGGTCCAAATATCCACTTGTAGATTCTACAAAAAGTGTGTCTCAAACCTGCTCCATCCAAAGGAATGTTCAGCTCTGTGAGTTAAACTCAATCATCACAAAGTATTTTCTGAGAATGCTTCTGTCTAGATTTTATGCGAAGATATACCCGTTTCGAACGAAGGCCACAGAGTGGTCCAAATAGCCACTTGCAGATCCTACAGAAAGAGTGTTTCAAACCTGAACTATCAAAGGAAGGTTCAACTCTGGGATTTGAATGCAAACATCACCAAGAAGTTTCTGAGAATGCTTCTGTTTAGTTTTTATGTGAAGATATTCCCGTTTCCAAAGACATCTTCGGAGAGGTCCACATATCCACTTGCAGATTCCACAAAAAGAGAGTTTCAACACTGCTCTATCCATAGGAGGGTTCAACTCCTGTGAGTTGAATGCAATCATCACAGAGAAGTTTCTGAGAAGGCTTCTCTCCAGTTTTTATGTGACCATAATTCGTTTTCCACCACAGGCCTGAAAGCGCTCCAAATGTCCACTTGCAGACACTACGAAAAGCATGTTTCAGAACTACTCTATGAAAAGCAACGTGAAACTCTGGGAGTTGAACACAAACATCACAGAGAAGTTTCTGAGAATGCTTCTGTTTTAGTTCTGTGCGTTTTATCCCGTTTCCAACGAAATCCTCAGAGAGGCCCAAATATCCACTTGCAGATTCCACAGAAAGAGTGATTGGAAACTGCTGTTTGAAAAGGAACCTTCAACTCTGTGAGTTGAATGCAATCATCACAAAGAAGTTTCTGACAATGCTTCTGTTTTAGTTCTGTGCGGTTTATCCCGTTTCCAACGAAATCCTCAGAGAGGACCAAACATCCACTTGCAGTTTCTACAAAAAGAGTGTTTCAAAGCTGCACTATCAAAGAAAGGTTCAGCACTGTGAGTTGAATGCAAACATCACGAAGAGGGCTCTGAGAATTCTTCTGTTTAGTTCTGTGCGGTTTATCCCGTTTCCAACGAAATCCTCAGAGAGGACCAAATATCCACTTGCAGTTTCTACAAGAAGAGTGTTTCAAAGCTGAACTATCAAAGAAAGGTTCAGCACTGTGAGTTGAATGCAAACATCACGAAGAGGGTTCTGAGAATGCTTCTGTCTTCTTTCTATAGGAAGTTATTTCCTTTACTACGGTAGGCCTCAAAGAAGTGCAATTATCCCCTTGCAGTTTCTACAAAAAGAGTGTTTCAAACCTGAACTATCAAAGAAAGGTTCCACACTGTGAGTTGAATGCAGACATCACGAAGAAGGTTCTGAGAATGCTTCTGTTTAGTCAGCTGAAATTATCCCGTTTCCAACGAATTCCTCAGAGAGGTCCAAATATGCACTTGCAGATTCTGCAGAAAGTGTGTTTCTAAACTGCTACATCGCAAGGAATGTTCAGCTCTGTGAGTTCCACTCAATCATCCCAAAGAATTTTCTGAGAAAGCTTCTGTCTAGATGTCGTGTGAAGATATACCCGTTTCGAACGAAGGACACAGAGTGGTCCAAATATCCACTTGTAGATCCTGCAAAAAGAGTGTTTCAAACGTGAACTTTGAAAGGAAAGTTCAACTCTGGGATTTGAATGCAAACATCACAAAGAAGATTCTGAGACTGCTTCTGTATAGTTTTTATGTGAAGATGATTCCGTTTCCAACGAAATCTTCAAAGAGGTCTACATGTCCCCTTGCAGATGCCACAGAAAGAGAGTTTCAAAACTGCGCTCTCAAAAGGAGTGTTCAACTCCGTGAGTTGAATGCAGTCATCACAGAGAAGCTTCTGAGAATGCTTCTATCTAGTATTTAGGTGAAGATATTTCCTTTTCCACCACAAACCACAAAGCCCTCCAAACGTCCACTTGCAGATTCTAGAAAAAGAGTGTTTCATAGCTGCTCTTTCCAAAGGAAAGTTCAACTCTGGGAGTTGAATACAAACATCACCAAAAAGTTCCTGAGAATGCATCTGTCTAGTTTTTCTATGAAGCTATTCCCTTTACTACCATAGGCCTCAAAGCGCTCCAAATCTCCACTTGCACATTCCACAACAAGAGTGTTTCCAAACTGCTCTATCAATAGGAATGTTCAACTCTGTGAGGTGAATGCAATCATCACAAAGCAGTTTCTGAGAATGTTTCCGTTTAGTTAGGTGCAGTTATCCCGTTTCCAACGAAATCCTCAGAGAGGTCCAAATATCCACTTGTAGATTCTACAAAAAGTGTGTCTCAAACCTGCTCCATCCAAAGGAATGGTCAGCTCTGTGATTTAAACTCAATCATCACAAAGTATTTTCTGAGAATGCTTCTGTCTAGATTTTATGCGAAGATATACCCGTTTCGAACGAAGGCCACAGAGTGGTCCAAATAGCCACTTGCAGATCCTACAAAAAGAGTGTTTCAAACCTGAACTATCAAAGGAAGGTTCAACTCTGGGATTTGAATGCAAACATCACCAAGAAGTTTCTGAGAATGCTTCTGTTTAGTTTTTATGTGAAGATATTCCCGTTTCCAAAGACATCTTCGGAGAGGTCCACATATCCACTTGCAGATTCCACAAAAAGAGAGTTTCAACACTGCTCTATCCATAGGAGGGTTCAACTCTGTGAGTTGAATGCAATCATCACAGAGAAGTTTCTGAGAAGGCTTCTCTCCAGTTTTTATGTGACCATAATTCGTTTTCCACCACAGGCCTGAAAGCGCTCCAAATGTCCACTTGCAGACACTACGAAAAGCATGTTTCAGAACTACTCTATGAAAAGCAACGTGAAACTCTGGGAGTTGAACACAAACATCACAGAGAAGTTTCTGAGAATGCTTCTGTTTTAGTTCTGTGCGTTTTATCCCGTTTCCAACGAAATCCTCAGAGAGGCCCAAATATCCACTTGCAGATTCCACAGAAAGAGTGATTGGAAACTGCTGTTTGAAAAGGAACCTTCAACTCTGTGAGTTGAATGCAATCATCACAAAGAAGTTTCTGACAATGCTTCTGTTTTAGTTCTGTGCGGTTTATCCCGTTTCCAACGAAATCCTCAGAGAGGACCAAACATCCACTTGCAGTTTCTACAAAAAGAGTGTTTCAAAGCTGCACTATCAAAGAAAGGTTCAGCACTGTGAGTTGAATGCAAACATCACGAAGAGGGCTCTGAGAATTCTTCTGTTTAGTTCTGTGCGGTTTATCCCGTTTCCAACGAAATCCTCAGAGAGGACCAAATATCCACTTGCAGTTTCTACAAGAAGAGTGTTTCAAAGCTGAACTATCAAAGAAAGGTTCAGCACTGTGAGTTGAATGCAAACATCACGAAGAGGGTTCTGAGAATGCTTCTGTCTTCTTTCTATAGGAAGTTATTTCCTTTACTACGGTAGGCCTCAAAGAAGTGCAATTATCCCCTTGCAGTTTCTACAAAAAGAGTGTTTCAAACCTGAACTATCAAAGAAAGGTTCCACACTGTGAGTTGAATGCAGACATCACGAAGAAGGTTCTGAGAATGCTTCTGTTTAGTCAGCTGAAATTATCCCGTTTCCAACGAATTCCTCAGAGAGGTCCAAATATGCACTTGCAGATTCTGCAGAAAGTGTGTTTCTAAACTGCTACATCGCAAGGAATGTTCAGCTCTGTGAGTTCCACTCAATCATCCCAAAGAATTTTCTGAGAAAGCTTCTGTCTAGATGTCGTGTGAAGATATACCCGTTTCGAACGAAGGACACAGAGTGGTCCAAATATCCACTTGTAGATCCTGCAAAAAGAGTGTTTCAAACGTGAACTTTGAAAGGAAAGTTCAACTCTGGGATTTGAATGCAAACATCACAAAGAAGATTCTGAGACTGCTTCTGTATAGTTTTTATGTGAAGATGATTCCGTTTCCAACGAAATCTTCAAAGAGGTCTACATGTCCCCTTGCAGATGCCACAGAAAGAGAGTTTCAAAACTGCGCTCTCAAAAGGAGTGTTCAACTCCGTGAGTTGAATGCAGTCATCACAGAGAAGCTTCTGAGAATGCTTCTATCTAGTATTTAGGTGAAGATATTTCCTTTTCCACCACAAACCACAAAGCCCTCCAAACGTCCACTTGCAGATTCTAGAAAAAGAGTGTTTCATAGCTGCTCTTTCCAAAGGAAAGTTCAACTCTGGGAGTTGAATACAAACATCACCAAAAAGAAGTTCCTGAGAATGCATCTGTCTAGTTTTTCTATGAAGCTATTCCCTTTGCTACCACAGGCCTCAAAGCGCTCCAAATCTCCACTTGCACATTCCACAACAAGAGTGTTTCCAAACTGCTCTATCAATAGGAATGTTCAACTCTGTGAGGTGAATGCAATCATCACAAAGCAGTTTCTGAGAATGCTTCCGTTTAGTTAGGTGCAGTTATCCCGTTTCCAACGAAATCCTCAGAGAGGTCCAAATATCCACTTGTAGATTCTACAAAAAGTGTGTCTCAAACCTGCTCCATCCAAAGGAATGGTCAGCTCTGTGATTTAAACTCAATCATCACAAAGTATTTTCTGAGAATGCTTCTGTCTAGATTTTATGCGAAGATATACCCGTTTCGAACGAAGGCCACAGAGTGGTCCAAATAGCCACTTGCAGATCCTACAGAAAGAGTGTTTCAAACCTGAACTATCAAAGGAAGGTTCAACTCTGGGATTTGAATGCAAACATCACCAAGAAGTTTCTGAGAATGCTTCTGTTTAGTTTTTATGTGAAGATATTCCCGTTTCCAAAGACATCTTCGGAGAGGTCCACATATCCACTTGCAGATTCCACAAAAAGAGAGTTTCAACACTGCTCTATCCATAGGAGGGTTCAACTCTGTGAGTTGAATGCAATCATCACAGAGAAGTTTCTGAGAAGGCTTCTCTCCAGTTTTTATGTGACCATAATTCGTTTTCCACCACAGGCCTGAAAGCGCTCCAAATGTCCACTTGCAGACACTACGAAAAGCATGTTTCAGAACTACTCTATGAAAAGCAACGTGAAACTCTGGGAGTTGAACACAAACATCACAGAGAAGTTTCTGAGAATGCTTCTGTTTTAGTTCTGTGCGTTTTATCCCGTTTCCAACGAAATCCTCAGAGAGGCCCAAATATCCACTTGCAGATTCCACAGAAAGAGTGATTGGAAACTGCTGTTTGAAAAGGAACCTTCAACTCTGTGAGTTGAATGCAATCATCACAAAGAAGTTTCTGACAATGCTTCTGTTTTAGTTCTGTGCGGTTTATCCCGTTTCCAACGAAATCCTCAGAGAGGACCAAACATCCACTTGCAGTTTCTACAAAAAGAGTGTTTCAAAGCTGCACTATCAAAGAAAGGTTCAGCACTGTGAGTTGAATGCAAACATCACGAAGAGGGCTCTGAGAATTCTTCTGTTTAGTTCTGTGCGGTTTATCCCGTTTCCAACGAAATCCTCAGAGAGGACCAAATATCCACTTGCAGTTTCTACAAGAAGAGTGTTTCAAAGCTGAACTATCAAAGAAAGGTTCAGCACTGTGAGTTGAATGCAAACATCACGAAGAGGGTTCTGAGAATGCTTCTGTCTTCTTTCTATAGGAAGTTATTTCCTTTACTACGGTAGGCCTCAAAGAAGTGCAATTATCCCCTTGCAGTTTCTACAAAAAGAGTGTTTCAAACCTGAACTATCAAAGAAAGGTTCCACACTGTGAGTTGAATGCAGACATCACGAAGAAGGTTCTGAGAATGCTTCTGTTTAGTCAGCTGAAATTATCCCGTTTCCAACGAATTCCTCAGAGAGGTCCAAATATGCACTTGCAGATTCTGCAGAAAGTGTGTTTCTAAACTGCTACATCGCAAGGAATGTTCAGCTCTGTGAGTTCCACTCAATCATCCCAAAGAATTTTCTGAGAAAGCTTCTGTCTAGATGTCGTGTGAAGATATACCCGTTTCGAACGAAGGACACAGAGTGGTCCAAATATCCACTTGTAGATCCTGCAAAAAGAGTGTTTCAAACGTGAACTTTGAAAGGAAAGTTCAACTCTGGGATTTGAATGCAAACATCACAAAGAAGATTCTGAGACTGCTTCTGTATAGTTTTTATGTGAAGATGATTCCGTTTCCAACGAAATCTTCAAAGAGGTCTACATGTCCCCTTGCAGATGCCACAGAAAGAGAGTTTCAAAACTGCGCTCTCAAAAGGAGTGTTCAACTCCGTGAGTTGAATGCAGTCATCACAGAGAAGCTTCTGAGAATGCTTCTATCTAGTATTTAGGTGAAGATATTTCCTTTTCCACCACAAACCACAAAGCCCTCCAAACGTCCACTTGCAGATTCTAGAAAAAGGGTGTTTCATAGCTGCTCTTTCCAAAGGAAAGTTCAACTCTGGGAGTTGAATACAAACATCACCAAAAAGTTCCTGAGAATGCATCTGTCTAGTTTTTCTATGAAGCTATTCCCTTTACTACCATAGGCCTCAAAGCGCTCCAAATCTCCACTTGCACATTCCACAACAAGAGTGTTTCCAAACTGCTCTATCAATAGGAATGGTCAACTCTGTGAGGTGAATGCAATCATCACAAAGCAGTTTCTGAGAATGCTTCCGTTTAGTTAGGTGCAGTTATCCCGTTTCCAACGAAATCCTCAGAGAGGTCCAAATATCCACTTGTAGATTCTACAAAAAGTGTGTCTCAAACCTGCTCCATCCAAAGGAATGGTCAGCTCTGTGATTTAAACTCAATCATCACAAAGTATTTTCTGAGAATGCTTCTGTCTAGATTTTATGCGAAGATATACCCGTTTCGAACGAAGGCCACAGAGTGGTCCAAATAGCCACTTGCAGATCCTACAGAAAGAGTGTTTCAAACCTGAACTATCAAAGGAAGGCTCAACTCTGGGATTTGAATGCAAACATCACCAAGAAGTTTCTGAGAATGCTTCTGTTTAGTTTTTATGTGAAGATATTCCCGTTTCCAAAGACATCTTCGGAGAGGTCCACATATCCACTTGCAGATTCCACAAAAAGAGAGTTTCAACACTGCTCTATCCATAGGAGGGTTCAACTCTGTGAGTTGAATGCAATCATCACAGAGAAGTTTCTGAGAAGGCTTCTCTCCAGTTTTTATGTGACCATAATTCGTTTTCCACCACAGGCCTGAAAGCGCTCCAAATGTCCACTTGCAGACACTACGAAAAGCATGTTTCAGAACTACTCTATGAAAAGCAACGTGAAACTCTGGGAGTTGAACACAAACATCACAGAGAAGTTTCTGAGAATGCTTCTGTTTTAGTTCTGTGCGTTTTATCCCGTTTCCAACGAAATCCTCAGAGAGGCCCAAATATCCACTTGCAGATTCCACAGAAAGAGTGATTGGAAACTGCTGTTTGAAAAGGAACCTTCAACTCTGTGAGTTGAATGCAATCATCACAAAGAAGTTTCTGACAATGCTTCTGTTTTAGTTCTGTGCGGTTTATCCCGTTTCCAACGAAATCCTCAGAGAGGACCAAACATCCACTTGCAGTTTCTACAAAAAGAGTGTTTCAAAGCTGCACTATCAAAGAAAGGTTCAGCACTGTGAGTTGAATGCAAACATCACGAAGAGGGCTCTGAGAATTCTTCTGTTTAGTTCTGTGCGGTTTATCCCGTTTCCAACGAAATCCTCAGAGAGGACCAAATATCCACTTGCAGTTTCTACAAGAAGAGTGTTTCAAAGCTGAACTATCAAAGAAAGGTTCAGCACTGTGAGTTGAATGCAAACATCACGAAGAGGGTTCTGAGAATGCTTCTGTCTTCTTTTTATAGGAAGTTATTTCCTTTACTACGGTAGGCCTCAAAGAAGTGCAATTATCCCCTTGCAGTTTCTACAAAAAGAGTGTTTCAAACCTGAACTATCAAAGAAAGGTTCCACACTGTGAGTTGAATGCAGACATCACGAAGAAGGTTCTGAGAATGCTTCTGTTTCAGTTCTGTGCGGTTTATCCCGTTTCCAACGAAATCCTCAGAGAGGCCGAAATATCCACTTGCAGATTTTACAAAGAGTGTGTTTCGAAACTGCTCCATCCAAAGGAATGTTCAGCTCTGTGAGTTCTACTCAATCATCCCAAAGAATTTTCTGAGAAAGCTTCTGTCTAGATGTCGTGTGAAGATATACCCGTTTCGAACGAAGGACACAGAGTGGTCCAAATATCCACTTGTAGATCCTGCAAAAAGAGTGTTTCAAACGTGAACTTTGAAAGGAAAGTTCAACTCTGGGATTTGAATGCAAACATCACAAAGAAGATTCTGAGACTACTTCTGTATAGTTTTTATGTGAAGATGATTCCGTTTCCAACGAAATCTTCAAAGAGGTCTACATGTCCCCTTGCAGATGCCACAGAAAGGGAGTTTCAAAACTGCGCTCTCAAAAGGAGTGTTCAACTCCGTGAGTTCAATGCAGTCATCACAGAGAAGCTTCTGAGAAAGCTTCTATCTAGTATTTAGGTGAAGATATTTCCTTTTCCACCACAAACCACAAAGCCCTCCAAACGTCCACTTGCAGATTCTAGAAAAAGAGTGTTTCATAGCTGCTCTTTCCAAAGGAAAGTTCAACTCTGGGAGTTGAATACAAACATCACCAAAAAGTTCCTGAGAATGCATCTGTCTTGTTTTTCTATGAAGCTCTTCCCTTTACTACCATAGGCCTCAAAGCGCTCCAAATCTCCACTTGCACATTCCACAACAAGAGTGTTTCCAAACTGCTCTATCAATAGGAATGTTCAACTCTGTGAGGTGAATGCAATCATCACAAAGCAGTTTCTGAGAAGGCTTCCGTTTAGTTAGGTGCAGTTATCCCGTTTCCAACGAAATCCTCAGAGAGGTCCAAATATCCACTTGCAGATTCTACAAAAAGTGTGTCTCAAACCTGCTCCATCCAAAGGAATGTTCAGCTCTGTGAGTTAAACTCAATCATCACAAAGTATTTTCTGAGAATGCTTCTGTCTAGATTTTATGCGAAGATATACCCGTTTCGAACGAAGGCCACAGAGTGGTCCAAATAGCCACTTGCAGATCCTACAAAAAGAGTGTTTCAAACCTGAACTATCAAAGGAAGGTTCAACTCTGGGATTTGAATGCAAACATCACCAAGAAGTTTCTGAGAATGCTTCTGTTTAGTTTTTATGTGAAGATATTCCCGTTTCCAAAGACATCTTCGGAGAGGTCCACATATCCACTTGCAGATTCCACAAAAAGAGAGTTTCAACACTGCTCTATCCATAGGAGGGTTCAACTCTGTGAGTTGAATGCAATCATCACAGAGAAGTTTCTGAGAAGGCTTCTCTCCAGTTTTTATGTGACCATAATTCGTTTTCCACCACAGGCCTGAAAGCGCTCCAAATGTCCACTTGCAGACACTACGAAAAGCATGTTTCAGAACTACTCTATGAAAAGCAACGTGAAACTCTGGGAGTTGAACACAAACATCACAGGAGAAGTTTCTGAGAATGCTTCTGTTTAGCTTTCCTGTGAAGATTCTCCCGTTTCCAACGAAATCTTCAAAATAGGTCCAAATATCCACTTGCAGATTCCACAGAAAGAGTGATTGGAAACTGCTCTTTGAAAAGGAACCTTCAACTCTGTGAGTTGAATGCAATCATCACAAAGAAGTTTCTGACAATGCTTCTATCTAGCTTTTACGGGAAGATAATTCCTTTTCCACCACAGGCCTCAAAGCCCTCCAAATGTCCACTTGCAGATTCTGGAAAAAGAGTGTTTCAAAGCTTCTCTCTCGAAAGGAAAGTTCAACTCTGTGAGTTGAATGCAAGCATCACAAAGAAGTTTCTGAGAATGCTACTGTCTAGCTTTTATATGAAGCTATTTCCTTTACTACCATAGGCCTCAAAGCGGTCCATATCTCCACTTGCAGATTCTACACAAAGAGAGTTTCCAAACTGCTCTGTCAAAGGGAATGTTCAACTCTGTGACTTGAATGCAATCATCACAAAGTAGTTTCTGAGAATGCTTCTGTTTAGTTCTGTGCGGTTTATCCCGTTTCCAACGAAATCCTCAGAGAGGCCTAAATATCCACTTGCACATTCTACAAATAGTGTGTTTCGAAACTGCTCCATCCAAAGGAATGTTCAGCTCTGTGAGTTAAACTCAGTCGTCACCAAGAGTTTTCTGTGAATGCTTCTGTTTTAGTTCTGTGCGGTTTATCCCGTTTCCAACGAAATCCTCAGAGAGGTCCAAATATCTACTTGCAGTTTCTACATAAAGACCGTTTCCAACCTGAACTATCAAAGAAAGGTTCAACACTGTGAGTTGAATGCAAACATCACGAAGAAGGTTCTGAGAATGCTTCTGTTTAGTTCTGTGCGGTTTATCCCGTTTCCAACGAAATCCTCAGAGAGGACCAAATATCCACTTGCAGTTTCTACAAGAAGAGTGTTTCAAAGCTGAACTATCAAAGAAAGGTTCAGCACTGTGAGTTGAATGCAAACATCACGAAGAGGGTTCTGAGAATGCTTCTGTCTTCTTTCTATAGGAAGTTATTTCCTTTACTACGGTAGGCCTCAAAGAAGTGCAATTATCCCCTTGAAGTTTCTACAAAAAGAGTGTTTCAAACCTGAACTATCAAAGAAAGGTTCCACACTGTGAGTTGAATGCAGACATCACGAAGAAGGTTCTGAGAATGTTTCTGTTTAGTCAGCTGAAATTATCCCGTTTCCAACGAACTCCTCAGAGAGGTCCAAATATGCACTTGCAGATTCTGCAGAAAGTGTGTTTCTAAACTGCTACATCACAAGGAATGTTCAGCTCTGTGAGTTCCACTCAATCATCCCAAAGAATTTTCTGAGAAAGCTTCTGTCTAGATGTCATGTGAAGATATACCCGTTACGAACGAAGGACACAGAGTGGTCCAAATATCCACTTGTAGATCCTGCAAAAAGAGTGTTTCAAACGTGAACTTTGAAAGGAAAGTTCAACTCTGGGATTTGAATGCAAACATCACAAAGAAGATTCTGAGACTGCTTCTGTATAGTTTTTATGTGAAGATGATTCCGTTTCCAACGAAATCTTCAAAGGAGGTCCACATGTCCCCTTGCGGATGCCACAGAAAGAGAGTTTCAAAACTGCGCTCTCAAAAGGAGTGTTCAACTCCGTGAGTTGAATGCAGTCATCACAGAGAAGCTTCTGAGAATGCTTCTCTCTAGTATTTAGGTGAAGATATTTCCTTTTCCACCACAAACCACAAAGCCCTCCAAACGTCCACTTGCAGATTCTAGAAAAAGAGTGTTTCATAGCTGCTCTTTCCAAAGGAAAGTTCAACTCTGGGAGTTGAATACAAACATCACCAAAAAGTTCCTGAGAATGCATCTGTCTAGTTTTTCTATGAAGCTATTCCCTTTACTACCATAGGCCTCAAAGCGCTCCAAATCTCCACTTGCACATTCCACAACAAGAGTGTTTCCAAACTGCTCTATCAATAGGAATGTTCAACTCTGTGAGGTGAATGCAATCATCACAAAGCAGTTTCTGAGAATGCTTCCGTTTAGTTCGGTGCAGTTATCCCGTTTCCAACGAAATCCTCAGAGAGGTCCAAATATCCACTTGTGGATTCTACAAAAAGTGTGTCTCAAGCCTGCTCCATCCAAAGGAATGTTCAGCTCTGTGAGTTAAACTCAATCATCACAAAGTATTTTCTGAGAATGCTTCTGTCTAGATTTTATGCGAAGATATACCCGTTTCGAACGAAGGCCACAGAGTGGTCCAAATATCCACTTGCAGATCCTACAAAAAGAGTGTTTCAAACCTGAACTATCAAAGGAAGGTTCAACTCTGGGATTTGAATGCAAACATCACCAAGAAGTTTACTGAGAATGCTTCTGTTTAGTTTTTATGTGAAGATATTCCCGTTTCCAAAGACATCTTCGGAGAGGTCCACATATCCACTTGCAGATTCCACAAAAAGAGAGTTTCAACACTGCTCTATCCATAGGAGGGTTCAACTCTGTGAGTTGAATGCAATCATCACAGAGAAGTTTCTGAGAAGGCTTCTCTCCAGTTTTTATGTGACCATAATTCGTTTTCCACCACAGGCCTGAAAGCGCTCCAAATGTCCACTTGCAGACACTACGAAAAGCATGTTTCAGAACTACTCTATGAAAAGCAACGTGAAACTCTGGGAGTTGAACACAAACATCACAGAGAAGTTTCTGAGAATGCTTCTGTTTTAGTTCTGTGCGTTTTATCCCGTTTCCAACGAAATCCTCAGAGAGGCCCAAATATCCACTTGCAGATTCCACAGAAAGAGTGATTGGAAACTGCTGTTTGAAAAGGAACCTTCAACTCTGTGAGTTGAATGCAATCATCACAAAGAAGTTTCTGACAATGCTTCTGTTTTAGTTCTGTGCGGTTTATCCCGTTTCCAACGAAATCCTCAGAGAGGACCAAACATCCACTTGCAGTTTCTACAAAAAGAGTGTTTCAAAGCTGCACTATCAAAGAAAGGTTCAGCACTGTGAGTTGAATGCAAACATCACGAAGAGGGCTCTGAGAATTCTTCTGTTTAGTTCTGTGCGGTTTATCCCGTTTCCAACGAAATCCTCAGAGAGGACCAAATATCCACTTGCAGTTTCTACAAGAAGAGTGTTTCAAAGCTGAACTATCAAAGAAAGGTTCAGCACTGTGAGTTGAATGCAAACATCACGAAGAGGGTTCTGAGAATGCTTCTGTCTTCTTTCTATAGGAAGTTATTTCCTTTACTACGGTAGGCCTCAAAGAAGTGCAATTATCCCCTTGCAGTTTCTACAAAAAGAGTGTTTCAAACCTGAACTATCAAAGAAAGGTTCCACACTGTGAGTTGAATGCAGACATCACGAAGAAGGTTCTGAGAATGCTTCTGTTTAGTCAGCTGAAATTATCCCGTTTCCAACGAATTCCTCAGAGAGGTCCAAATATGCACTTGCAGATTCTGCAGAAAGTGTGTTTCTAAACTGCTACATCGCAAGGAATGTTCAGCTCTGTGAGTTCCACTCAATCATCCCAAAGAATTTTCTGAGAAAGCTTCTGTCTAGATGTCATGTGAAGATATACCCGTTTCGAACGAAGGACACAGAGTGCTCCAAATATCCACTTGTAGATCCTGCAAAAAGAGTGTTTCAAACGTGAACTTTGAAAGGAAAGTTCAACTCTGGGATTTGAATGCAAACATCACAAAGAAGATTCTGAGACTGCTTCTGTATAGTTTTTATGTGAAGATGATTCCGTTTCCAACGAAATCTTCAAAGAGGTCTACATGTCCCCTTGCAGATGCCACAGAAAGAGAGTTTCAAAACTACGCTCTCAAAAGGAGTGTTCAACTCCGTGAGTTGAATGCAGTCATCACAGAGAAGCTTCTGAGAATGCTTCTATCTAGTATTTAGGTGAAGATATTTCCTTTTCCACCACAAACCACAAAGCCCTCCAAACGTCCACTTGCAGATTCTAGAAAAAGAGTGTTTCATAGCTGCTCTTTCCAAAGGAAAGTTCAACTCTGGGAGTTGAATACAAACATCACCAAAAAGTTCCTGAGAATGCATCCTGTCTAGTTTTTCTATGAAGCTATTCCCTTTACTACCATAGGCCTCAAAGCGCTCCAAATCTCCACTTGCACATTCCACAACAAGAGTGTTTCCAAACTGCTCTATCAATAGGAATGTTCAACTCTGTGAGGTGAATGCAATCATCACAAAGCAGTTTCTGAGAATGCTTCCGTTTAGTTAGGTGCAGTTATCCCGTTTCCAACGAAATCCTCAGAGAGGTCCAAATATCCACTTGTAGATTCTACAAAAAGTGTGTCTCAAACCTGCTCCATCCAAAGGAATGTTCAGCTCTGTGAGTTCAACTCAATCATCACAAAGTATTTTCTGAGAATGCTTCTGTCTAGATTTTATGCGAAGATGTACCCGTTTCGAACGAAGGCCACAGAGTGGTCCAAATATCCACTTGCAGATCCTACAAAAAGAGTGTTTCAAACCTGAACTATCAAAGGAAGGTTCAACTCTGGGATTTGAATGCAAACATCACCAAGAAGTTTCTGAGAATGCTTCTGTTTAGTTTCTATGTGAAGATATTCCCGTTTCCAAAGACATCTTCGGAGAGGTCCACATATCCACTTGCAGATTCCACAAAAAGAGAGTTTCAACACTGCTCTATCCATAGGAGGGTTCAACTCTGTGAGTTGAATGCAATCATCGCAGAGAAGTTTCTGAGAAGGCTTCTCTCCAGTTTTTATGTGACCATAATTCGTTTTCCACCACAGGCCTGAAAGCGCTCCAAATGTCCACTTGCAGACACTACGAAAAGCATGTTTCAGAACTACTCTATGAAAAGCAATGTGAAACTCTGGGAGTTGAACACAAACATCACAGAGAAGTTTCTGAGAATGCTTCTGTTTAGCTTTTCTGTGAAGATTCTCCCGTTTCCAACGAAATCTTCAAAGAGGTCCAAATATCCACTTGCAGATTCCACAGAAAGAGTGATTGGAAACTGCTGTTTGAAAAGGAACCTTCAACTCTGTGAGTTGAATGCAATCATCACAAAGAAGTTTCTGACAATGCTTCTATCTAGCTTTTACGGGAAGATAATTCCTTTTCCACCACAGGCCTCAAAGCCCTTCAAATGTCCACTTGCAGATTCTGGAAAAAGAGTGTTTCAAAGCTTCTCTCTCGAAAGGAAAGTTCAACTCTGTGAGTTGAATGCAAGCATCACAAAGAAGTTTCTGAGAATGCTACTGTCTAGCTTTTATATGAAGCTATTTCCTTTACTACCATAGGCCTCAAAGCGGTCCATATCTCCACTTGCAGATTCTACACAAAGAGAGTTTCCAAACTGCTCTGTCAAAGGGAATGTTCAACTCTGTGACTTGAATGCAATCATCACAAAGTAGTTTCTGAGAATGCTTCTGTTTAGTTCTGTGCGGTTTATCCCGTTTCCAACGAAATCCTCAGAGAGGCCTAAATATCCACTTGCACATTCTACAAATAGTGTGTTTCGAAACTGCTCCATCCAAAGGAATGTTCAGCTCTGTGAGTTAAACTCAGTCGTCACCAAGAGTTTTCTGTGAATGCTTCTGTTTTAGTTCTGTGCGGGTTATCCCGTTTCCAACGAAATCCTCAGAGAGGTCCAAATATCTACTTGCAGTTTCTACAGAAAGACCGTTTCAAACCTGAACTATCAAAGAAAGGTTCAACACTGTGAGTTGAATGCAAACATCACGAAGAAGGTTCTGAGAATGCTTCTGTTTAGTTCTGTGCAGTTTATCCCGTTTCCAACGAAATCCTCAGAGAGGACCAAATATCCACTTGCAGTTTCTACAAAAAGAGTGTTTCAAAGCTGAACTATCAAAGAAAGGTTCAGCACTGTGAGTTGAATGCAAACATCACGAAGAGGGTTCTGAGAATGCTTCTGTCTTCTTTTTATAGGAAGTTATTTCCTTTACTACGGTACTCCTCAAAGAGTGCAATTATCCCCTTGCAGTTTCTACAAAAAGAGTGTTTCAAACCTGAACTATCAAAGAAAGGTTCCACACTGTGAGTTGAATGCAGACATCACGAAGAAGGTTCTGAGAATGCTTCTGTTTAGTCAGCTGAAATTATCCCGTTTCCAACGAATTCCTCACAGAGGTCCAAATATGCACTTGCAGATTCTGCAGAAAGTGTGTTTCTAAACTGCTACATCGCAAGGAATGCTCAGCTCTGTGAGTTCAACTCAATCATCCCAAAGAATTTTCTGAGAAAGCTTCTGTCTAGATGTCATGTGAAGATATACCCGTTTCGAACGAAGGACACAGAGTGGTCCAAATATCCACTTGTAGATCCTGCAAAAAGAGTGTTTCAAACGTGAACTTTGAAAGGAAAGTTCAACTCCTGGGATTTGAATGCAAACATCACAAAGAAGATGCTGAGACTGCTTCTGTATAGTTTTTATGTGAAGATGATTCCGTTTCCAACGAAATCTTCAAAGAGGTCTACATGTCCCCTTGCAGATGCCACAGAAAGAGAGTTTCAAAACTGCGCTCTCTAAAGGAGTGTTCAACTCCGTGAGTTGAATGCAGTCATCACAGAGAAGCTTCTGAGAATGCTTCTATCTAGTATTTAGGTGAAGATATTTCCTTTTCCACCACAAACCACAAAGCCCTCCAAACGTCCACTTGCAGATTCTAGAAAAAGAGTGTTTCATAGCTGCTCTTTCCAAAGGAAAGTTCAACTCTGGGAGTTGAATACAAACATCACCAAAAAGTTCCTGAGAATGCATCTGTCTAGTTTTTCTATGAAGCTATTCCCTTTACTACCATAGGCCTCAAAGCGCTCCAAATCTCCACTTGCACATTCCACAACAAGAGTGTTTCCAAACTGCTCTATCAATAGGAATGTTCAACTCTGTGAGGTGAATGCAATCATCACAAAGCAGTTTCTGAGAATGCTTCCGTTTAGTTAGGTGCAGTTATCCCGTTTCCAACGAAATCCTCAGAGAGGTCCAAATATCCACTTGTAGATTCTACAAAAAGTGTGTCTCAAACCTGCTCCATCCAAAGGAATGGTCAGCTCTGTGATTTAAACTCAATCATCACAAAGTATTTTCTGAGAATGCTTCTGTCTAGATTTTATGCGAAGATATACCCGTTTCGAACGAAGGCCACAGAGTGGTCCAAATAGCCACTTGCAGATCCTACAGAAAGAGTGTTTCAAACCTGAACTATCAAAGGAAGGTTCAACTCTGGGATTTGAATGCAAACATCACCAAGAAGTTTCTGAGAATGCTTCTGTTTAGTTTTTATGTGAAGATATTCCCGTTTCCAAAGACATCTTCGGAGAGGTCCACATATCCACTTGCAGGTTCCACAAAAAGAGAGTTTCAACACTGCTCTATCCATAGGAGGGTTCAACTCTGTGAGTTGAATGCAATCATCACAGAGAAGTTTCTGAGAAGGCTTCTCTCCAGTTTTTATGTGACCATAATTCGTTTTCCACCACAGGCCTGAAAGCGCTCCAAATGTCCACTTGCAGACACTACGAAAAGCATGTTTCAGAACTACTCTATGAAAAGCAACGTGAAACTCTGGGAGTTGAACACAAACATCACAGAGAAGTTTCTGAGAATGCTTCTGTTTTAGTTCTGTGCGTTTTATCCCGTTTCCAACGAAATCCTCAGAGAGGCCCAAATATCCACTTGCAGATTCCACAGAAAGAGTGATTGGAAACTGCTGTTTGAAAAGGAACCTTCAACTCTGTGAGTTGAATGCAATCATCACAAAGAAGTTTCTGACAATGCTTCTGTTTTAGTTCTGTGCGGTTTATCCCGTTTCCAACGAAATCCTCAGAGAGGACCAAACATCCACTTGCAGTTTCTACAAAAAGAGTGTTTCAAAGCTGCACTATCAAAGAAAGGTTCAGCACTGTGAGTTGAATGCAAACATCACGAAGAGGGCTCTGAGAATTCTTCTGTTTAGTTCTGTGCGGTTTATCCCGTTTCCAACGAAATCCTCAGAGAGGACCAAATATCCACTTGCAGTTTCTACAAGAAGAGTGTTTCAAAGCTGAACTATCAAAGAAAGGTTCAGCACTGTGAGTTGAATGCAAACATCACGAAGAGGGTTCTGAGAATGCTTCTGTCTTCTTTCTATAGGAAGTTATTTCCTTTACTACGGTAGGCCTCAAAGAAGTGCAATTATCCCCTTGCAGTTTCTACAAAAAGAGTGTTTCAAACCTGAACTATCAAAGAAAGGTTCCACACTGTGAGTTGAATGCAGACATCACGAAGAAGGTTCTGAGAATGCTTCTGTTTAGTCAGCTGAAATTATCCCGTTTCCAACGAATTCCTCACAGAGGTCCAAATATGCACTTGCAGATTCTGCAGAAAGTGTGTTTCTAAACTGCTACATCGCAAGGAATGTTCAGCTCTGTGAGTTCCACTCAATCATCCCAAAGAATTTTCTGAGAAAGCTTCTGTCTAGATGTCGTGTGAAGATATACCCGTTTCGAACGAAGGACACAGAGTGGTCCAAATATCCACTTGTAGATCCTGCAAAAAGAGTGTTTCAAACGTGAACTTTGAAAGGAAAGTTCAACTCTGGGATTTGAATGCAAACATCACAAAGAAGATTCTGAGACTGCTTCTGTATAGTTTTTATGTGAAGATGATTCCGTTTCCAACGAAATCTTCAAAGAGGTCTACATGTCCCCTTGCAGATGCCACAGAAAGAGAGTTTCAAAACTGCGCTCTCAAAAGGAGTGTTCAACTCCGTGAGTTGAATGCAGTCATCACAGAGAAGCTTCTGAGAATGCTTCTATCTAGTATTTAGGTGAAGATATTTCCTTTTCCACCACAAACCACAAAGCCCTCCAAACGTCCACTTGCAGATTCTAGAAAAAGAGTGTTTCATAGCTGCTCTTTCCAAAGGAAAGTTCAACTCTGGGAGTTGAATACAAACATCACCAAAAAGTTCCTGAGAATGCATCTGTCTAGTTTTTCTATGAAGCTATTCCCTTTACTACCATAGGCCTCAAAGCGCTCCAAATCTCCACTTGCACATTCCACAACAAGAGTGTTTCCAAACTGCTCTATCAATAGGAATGTTCAACTCTGTGAGGTGAATGCAATCATCACAAAGCAGTTTCTGAGAATGCTTCCGTTTAGTTAGGTGCAGTTATCCCGTTTCCAACGAAATCCTCAGAGAGGTCCAAATATCCACTTGTAGATTCTACAAAAAGTGTGTCTCAAACCTGCTCCATCCAAAGGAATGTTCAGCTCTGTGAGTTCAACTCAATCATCACAAAGTATTTTCTGAGAATGCTTCTGTCTAGATTTTATGCGAAGATATACCCGTTTCGAACGAAGGCCACAGAGTGGTCCAAATAGCCACTTGCAGATCCTACAAAAAGAGTGTTTCAAACCTGAACTATCAAAGGAAGGTTCAACTCTGGGATTTGAATGCAAACATCCCCAAGAAGTTTCTGAGAATGCTTCTGTTTAGTTTTTATGTGAAGATATTCCCGTTTCCAAAGACATCTTCGGAGAGGTCCACATATCCACTTGCAGATTCCACAAAAAGAGAGTTTCAACACTGCTCTATCCATAGGAGGGTTCAACTCTGTGAGTTGAATGCAATCATCACAGAGAAGTTTCTGAGAAGGCTTCTCTCCAGTTTTTATGTGACCATAATTCGTTTTCCACCACAGGCCTGAGAGCGCTCCAAATGTCCACTTGCAGACACTACGAAAAGCATGTTTCAGAAGTACTCTATGAAAAGCAATGTGAAACTCTGGGAGTTGAACACAAACATCACAGAGAAGTTTCTGAGAATGCTTCTGTTTAGCTTTTCTGTGAAGATTATCCCGTTTCCAACGAAATCTTCAAAATAGGTCCAAATATCCACTTGCAGATTCCACACAAAGAGTGATTGGAAACTGCTGTTTGAAAAGGAACCTTCAACTCTGTGAGTTGAATGCAATCATCACACAGAAGTTTCTGACAATGCTTCTATCTAGCTTTTACGGGAAGATAATTCCTTTTCCACCACAGGCCTCAAAGCCCTCCAAATCTCCACTTGCACATTCTGGAAAAAGAGTGTTTCAAAGCTTCTCTCTCGAAAGGAAAGTTCAACTCTGTGAGTTGAATGCAAGCATCACAAAGAAGTTTCTGAGAATGCTACTGTCTAGCTTTATATGAAGCTATTTCCTTTACTACCATAGGCCTCAAAGCGGTCCATATCTCCACTTGCAGATTCTACACAAAGAGAGTTTCCAAACTGCTCTGTCAAAGGGAATGTTCAACTCTGTGACTTGAATGCAATCATCACAAAGTAGTTTCTGAGAATGCTTCTGTTTAGTTCTGTGCGGTTTATCCCGTTTCCAACGAAATCCTCAGAGAGGCCCATATATCCACTTGCACATTATACAAATAGTGTGTTTCGAAACTGCTCCATCCAAAGGAATGTTCAGCTCTGTGAGTTAAACTCAGTCGTCACCAAGAGTTTTCTGTGAATGCTTCTGTTTTAGTTCTGTGCGGTTTATCCCGTTTCCAACGAAATCCTCAGAGAGGTCCAAATATCTACTTGCAGTTTCTACAGAAAGACCGTTTCAAACCTGAACTATCAAAGAAAGGTTCAACACTGTGAGTTGAATGCAAACATCACGAAGAAGGTTCTGAGAATGCTTCTGTTTAGTTCTGTGCGTTTTATCCCATTTCCAACGAAATCCTCAGAGAGGACCAAATATTCACTTGCAGTTTCTACAAAAAGAGTGTTTCAAAGCTGAACTATCAAAGAAAGGTTCAGCACTGTGAGTTGAATGCAAACATCACGAAGAGGGTTCTGAGAATGCTTCTGTCTTCTTTTTATAGGAAGATATTTCCTTTACTACGGTACTCCTCAAAGAGTGCAATTATCCCCTTGCAGTTTCTACAAAAAGAGTGTTTCAAACCTGAACTATCAAAGAAAGGTTCCACACTGTGACTTGAATGCAGACATCACGAAGAAGGTTCTGAAAATGCTTCTGTTTAGTCAGCTGAAATTATCCCGTTTCCAACGAATTCCTCAGAGAGGTCCAAATATGCACTTGCAGATTCTGCAGAAAGTGTGTTTCTAAACTGCTACATCGCAAGGAATGTTCAGCTCTGTGAGTTCCACTCAATCATCCCAAAGGATTTTCTGAGAAAGCTTCTGTCTAGATGTCATGTGAAGATATACCCGTTTCGAACGAAGGACACAGAGTGGTCCAAATATCCACTTGTAGATCCTGCAAAAAGAGTGTTTCAAACGTGAACTTTGAAAGGAAAGTTCAACTCTGGGATTTGAATGCAAACACCACAAAGAAGATTCTGAGACTGCTTCTGTATAGTTTTTATGTGAAGATGATTCCGTTTCCAACGAAATCTTCAAAGAGGTCTACATGTCCCCTTGCGGATGCCACAGAAAGAGAGTTTCAAAACTGCGCTCTCAAAAGGAGTGTTCAACTCCGTGAGTTGAATGCAGTCATCACAGAGAAGCTTCTGAGAATGCTTCTCTCTAGTATTTAGGTGAAGATATTTCCTTTTCCACCACAAACCACAAAGCCCTCCAAACGTCCACTTGCAGATTCTAGAAAAAGAGTGTTTCATAGCTGCTCTTTCCAAAGGAAAGTTCAACTCTGGGAGTTGAATACAAACATCACCAAAAAGTTCCTGAGAATGCATCTGTCTAATTTTTCTATGACGCTATTCCCTTTACTACCATAGGCCTCAAAGCGCTCCAAATCTCCACTTGCACATTCCACAACAAGAGTGTTTCCAAACTGCTCTATCAATAGGAATGTTCAACTCTGTGAGGTGAATGCAATCATCACAAAGCAGTTTCTGAGAATGCTTCCGTTTAGTTAGGTGCAGTTATCCCGTTTCCAACGAAATCCTCAGAGAGGTCCAAATATCCACTTGTAGATTCTACAAAAAGTGTGTCTCAAACCTGCTCCATCCAAAGGAATGTTCAGCTCTGTGAGTTCAACTCAATCATCACAAAGTATTTTCTGAGAATGCTTCTGTCTAGATTTTATGCGAAGATATACCCGTTTCGAACGAAGGCCACAGAGTGGTCCAAATAGCCACTTGCAGATCCTACAAAAAGAGTGTTTCAAACCTGAACTATCAAAGGAAGGTTCAACTCTGGGATTTGAATGCAAACATCACCAAGAAGTTTCTGAGAATGCTTCTGTTTAGTTTTTATGTGAAGATATTCCCGTTTCCAAAGACATCTTCGGAGAGGTCCACATATCCACTTGCAGATTCCACAAAAAGAGAGTTTCAACACTGCTCTATCCATAGGAGGGTTCAACTCTGTGAGTTGAATGCAATCATCACAGAGAAGTTTCTGAGAAGGCTTCTCTCCAGTTTTTATGTGACCATAATTCGTTTTCCACCACAGGCCTGAAAGCGCTCCAAATGTCCACTTGCAGACACTACGAAAAGCATGTTTCAGAACTACTCTATGAAAAGCAACGTGAAACTCTGGGAGTTGAACACAAACATCACAGAGAAGTTTCTGAGAATGCTTCTGTTTAGCTTTTCTGTGAAGATTCTCCCGTTTCCAACGAAATCTTCAAAGAGGTCGAAATATCCACTTGCAGATTCCACAGAAAGAGTGATTGGAAACTGCTGTTTGAAAAGGAACCTTCAACTCTGTGAGTTGAATGCAATCATCTCAAAGAAGTTTCTGACAATGCTTCTATCTAGCTTTTACGGGAAGATAATTCCTTTTCCACCCCAGGCCTCAAAGCTCCCCAAATGTCCACTTGCACATTCTGGAAAAAGAGTGTTTCAAAGCTTCTCTCTCGAAAGGAAAGTTCAACTCTGTGAGTTGAATGCAAGCATCACAAAGAAGTTTCTGAGAATGCTACTGTCTAGCTTTTATATGAAGCTATTTCCTTTACTACCATAGGCCTCAAAGCGGTCCATATCTCCACTTGCAGATTCTACACAAAGAGAGTTTCCAAACTGCTCTGTCAAAGGGAATGTTCAACTCTGTGACTTGAATGCAATCATCACAAAGTAGTTTCTGAGAATGCTTCTGTTTTAGTTCTGTGCGTTTTATCCCGTTTCCAACGAAATCCTCAGAGAGGCCCAAATATCCACTTGCAGATTCTACAAATAGTGTGTTTCGAAACTGCTCCATCCAAAGGAATGTTCAGCTCTGTGAGTTAAACTCAGTCGTCACCAAGAGTTTTCTGTGAATGCTTCTGTTTTAGTTCTGTGCGTTTTATCCCGTTTCCAACGAAATCCTCAGAGAGGACCAAATATCCACTTGCAGTTTCTACAAAAAGAGTGTTTCAAAGCTGCACTATCAAAGAAAGGTTCAGCACTGTGAGTTGAATGCAAACATCACGAAGAGGGCTCTGAGAGTTCTTCTGTCTTCTTTCTATAGGAAGTTATTTCCTTTACTACGGTAGGCCTCAAAGAAGTGCAATTATCCCCTTGCAGTTTCTACAAAAAGAGTGTTTCAAACCTGAACTATCAAAGAAAGGTTCCACACTTGTGAGTTGAATGCAGACATCACGAAGAAGGTTCTGAGAATGCTTCTGTTTAGTCAGCTGAAATTATCCCGTTTCCAACGAATTCCTCAGAGAGGTCCAAATATGCACTTGCAGATTCTGCAGAAAGTGTGTTTCTAAAGTGCTACATCGCAAGGAATGTTCAGCTCTGTGAGTTCCACTCAATCATCCCAAAGAATTTTCTGAGAAAGCTTCTGTCTAGATGTCGTGTGAAGATATACCCGTTTCGAACGAAGGACACAGAGTGGTCCAAATATCCACTTGTAGATCCTGCAAAAAGAGTGTTTCAAACGTGAACTTTGAAAGGAAAGTTCAACTCTGGGATTTGAATGCAAACATCACAAAGAAGATTCTGAGACTGCTTCTGTATAGTTTTTATGTGAAGATGATTCCGTTTCCAACGAAATCTTCAAAGAGGTCTACATGTCCCCTTGCAGATGCCACAGAAAGAGAGTTTCAAAACTGCGCTCTCAAAAGGAGTGTTCAACTCCGTGAGTTGAATGCAGTCATCACAGAGAAGCTTCTGAGAATGCTTCTATCTAGTATTTAGGTGAAGATATTTCCTTTTCCACCACAAACCACAAAGCCCTCCAAACGTCCACTTGCAGATTCTAGAAAAAGAGTGTTTCATAGCTGCTCTTTCCAAAGGAAAGTTCAACTCTGGGAGTTGAATACAAACATCACCAAAAAGTTCCTGAGAATGCATCTGTCTAGTTTTTCTATGAAGCTATTCCCTTTACTACCATAGGCCTCAAAGCGCTCCAAATCTCCACTTGCACATTCCACAACAAGAGTGTTTCCAAACTGCTCTATCAATAGGAATGTTCAACTCTGTGAGGTGAATGCAATCATCACAAAGCAGTTTCTGAGAATGCTTCCGTTTAGTTAGGTGCAGTTATCCCGTTTCCAACGAAATCCTCAGAGAGGTCCAAATATCCACTTGTAGATTCTACAAAAAGTGTGTCTCAAACCTGCTCCATCCAAAGGAATGGTCAGCTCTGTGATTTAAACTCAATCATCACAAAGTATTTTCTGAGAATGCTTCTGTCTAGATTTTATGCGAAGATATACCCGTTTCGAACGAAGGCCACAGAGTGGTCCAAATAGCCACTTGCAGATCCTACAGAAAGAGTGTTTCAAACCTGAACTATCAAAGGAAGGTTCAACTCTGGGATTTGAATGCAAACATCACCAAGAAGTTTCTGAGAATGCTTCTGTTTAGTTTTTATGTGAAGATATTCCCGTTTCCAAAGACATCTTCGGAGAGGTCCACATATCCACTTGCAGATTCCACAAAAAGAGAGTTTCAACACTGCTCTATCCATAGGAGGGTTCAACTCTGTGAGTTGAATGCAATCATCACAGAGAAGTTTCTGAGAAGGCTTCTCTCCAGTTTTTATGTGACCATAATTCGTTTTCCACCACAGGCCTGAAAGCGCTCCAAATGTCCACTTGCAGACACTACGAAAAGCATGTTTCAGAACTACTCTATGAAAAGCAACGTGAAACTCTGGGAGTTGAACACAAACATCACAGAGAAGTTTCTGAGAATGCTTCTGTTTTAGTTCTGTGCGTTTTATCCCGTTTCCAACGAAATCCTCAGAGAGGCCCAAATATCCACTTGCAGATTCCACAGAAAGAGTGATTGGAAACTGCTGTTTGAAAAGGAACCTTCAACTCTGTGAGTTGAATGCAATCATCACAAAGAAGTTTCTGACAATGCTTCTATCTAGCTTTTACGGGAAGTTAATTCCTTTTCCACCACAGGCCTCAAAGCCCTCCAAATGTCCACTTGCAGATTCTGGAAAAAGAGTGTTTCAAAGCTTCTCTCTCGAAAGGAAAGTTCAACTCTGTGAGTTGAATGCAAGCATCACAAAGAAGTTTCTGAGAATGCTACTGTCTAGCTTTTATATGAAGCTATTTCCTTTACTACCATAGGCCTCAAAGCGGTCTATATCTCCACTTGCAGATTCTACACAAAGAGAGTTTCCAAACTGCTCTGTCAAAGGGAATGTTCAACTCTGTGACTTGAATGCAATCATCACAAAGTAGTTTCTGAGAATGCTTCTGTTTTAGTTCTGTGCGGTTTATCCCTTTTCCAACGAAATCCTCAGAGAGGCCCAAATATCCACTTGCACATTCTACAAATAGTGTGTTTCGAAACGGCTCCATCCAAAGGAATGTTCAGCTCTGTGAGTTGAACTCAGTCGTCACCAAGAGTTTTCTGTGAATGCTTCTGTTTTAGTTCTGTGCGGTTTATCCCGTTTCCAACGAAATCCTCAGAGAGGTCCAAATATCTACTTGCAGTTTCTACAGAAAGACCGTTTCCAACCTGAACTATCAAAGAAAAGTTCAACACTGTGAGTTGAATGCAAACATCACGAAGAAGGTTCTGAGAATGCTTCTGTTTAGTTCTGTGCGGTTTATCCCATTTCCAACGAAATCCTCAGAGAGGACCAAATATCCACTTGCAGTTTCTACAAGAAGAGTGTTTCAAAGCTGAACTATCAAAGAAAGGTTCAGCACTGTGAGTTGAATGCAAACATCACGAAGAGGGTTCTGAGAATGCTTCTGTCTTCTTTCTATAGGAAGTTATTTCCTTTACTACGGTAGGCCTCAAAGAAGTGCAATTATCCCCTTGCAGTTTCTACAAAAAGAGTGTTTCAAACCTGAACTATCAAAGAAAGGTTCCACACTGTGAGTTGAATGCAGACATCACGAAGAAGGTTCTGAGAATGCTTCTGTTTAGTCAGCTGAAATTATCCCGTTTCCAACGAATTCCTCAGAGAGGTCCAAATATGCACTTGCAGATTCTGCAGAAAGTGTGTTTCTAAACTGCTACATCGCAAGGAATGTTCAGCTCTGTGAGTTCCACTCAATCATCCCAAAGAATTTTCTGAGAAAGCTTCTGTCTAGATGTCGTGTGAAGATATACCCGTTTCGAACGAAGGACACAGAGTGGTCCAAATATCCACTTGTAGATCCTGCAAAAAGAGTGTTTCAAACGTGAACTTTGAAAGGAAAGTTCAACTCTGGGATTTGAATGCAAACATCACAAAGAAGATTCTGAGACTGCTTCTGTATAGTTTTGATGTGAAGATGATTCCGTTTCCAACGAAATCTTCAAAGAGGTCTACATGTCCCCTTGCAGATGCCAGAGAAAGGGAGTTTCATAACTGCGCTCTCAAAAGGAGTGTTCAACTCCGTGAGTTGAATGCAGTCATCACAGAGAAGCTTCTGAGAATGCTTCTATCTAGTATTTAGGTGAAGATATTTCCTTTTCCACCACAAACCACAAAGCCCTCCAAACGTCCACTTGCAGATTCTAGAAAAAGAGTGTTTCATAGCTGCTCTTTCCAAAGGAAAGTTCAACTCTGGGAGTTGAATACAAACATCACCAAAAAGTTCCTGAGAATGCATCTGTCTAGTTTTTCTATGAAGCTATTCCCTTTACTACCATAGGCCTCAAAGTGCTCCAAATCTCCACTTGCACATTCCACAACAAGAGTGTTTCCAAACTGCTCTATCAATAGGAATGTTCAACTCTGTGAGGTGAATGCAATCATCACAAAGCAGTTTCTGAGAATGCTTCCGTTTAGTTAGGTGCAGTTATCCCGTTTCCAACGAAATCCTCAGAGAGGTCCAAATATCCACTTGTAGATTCTACAAAAGGTGTGTCTCAAACCTGCTCCATCCAAAGGAATGTTCAGCTCTGTGAGTTAAACTCAATCATCACAAAGTATTTTCTGAGAATGCTTCTGTCTAGATTTTATGCGAAGATATACCCGTTTCGAACGAAGGCCACAGAGTGGTCCAAATAGCCACTTGCAGATCCTACAGAAAGAGTGTTTCAAACCTGAACTATCAAAGGAAGGTTCAACTGCTGGGATTTGAATGCAAACATCACCAAGAAGTTTCTGAGAATGCTTCTGTTTAGTTTTTATGTGAAGATATTCCCGTTTCCAAAGACATCTTCGGAGAGGTCCACATATCCACTTGCAGATTCCACAAAAAGAGAGTTTCAACACTGCTCTATCCATAGGAGGGTTCAACTCTGTGAGTTGAATGCAATCATCACAGAGAAGTTTCTGAGAAGGCTTCTCTCCAGTTTTTATGTGACCATAATTCGTTTTCCACCACAGGCCTGAAAGCGCTCCAAATGTCCACTTGCAGACACTACGAAAAGCATGTTTCAGAACTACTCTATGAAAAGCAATGTGAAACTCTGGGAGTTGAACACAAACATCACAGAGAAGTTTCTGAGAATGCTTCTGTTTAGCTTTTCTGTGAAGATTCTCCCGTTTCCAACGAAATCTTCAAAGAGGTCCAAATATCCACTTGCAGATTCCACAGAAAGAGTGATTGGAAACTGCTCTTTGAAAAGGAACCTTCAACTCTGTGACTTGAATGCAATCATCACAAAGAAGTTTCTGACAATGCTTCTATCTAGCTTTTACGGGAAGATAATTCCTTTTCCACCACAGGCCTCAAAGCCCTCCAAATGTCCACTTGCACATTCTGGAAAAAGAGTGTTTCAAAGCTTCTCTCTCGAAAGGAAAGTTCAACTCTGTGAGTTGAATGCAAGCATCACAAAGAAGTTTCTGAGAATGCTACTGTCTAGCTTTTATATGAAGCTATTTCCTTTACTACCATAGGCCTCAAAGCGGTCCATATCTCCACTTTCAGATTCTACACAAAGAGAGTTTCCAAACTGCTCTGTCAAAGGGAATGTTCAACTCTGTGACTTGAATGCAATCATCACAAAGTAGTTTCTGAGAATGCTTCTGTTTTAGTTCTGTGCGGTTTATCCCGTTTCCAACGAAATCCTCAGAGAGGCCCACATATCCACTTGCAGATTCTACAAATAGTGTGTTTTGAAACTGCTCCATCCAAAGGAATGTTCAGCTCTGTGAGTTAAACTCAGTCGTCACCAAGAGTTTTCTGTGAATGCTTCTGTTTAGTTCTGTGCGTTTTATCCCTTTTCCAACGAAATCCTCAGAGAGGACCAAATATCCACTTGCAGTTTCTACAAAAAGAGTGTTTCAAAGCTGAACTATCAAAGAAAGGTTCAGCACTGTGAGTTGAATGCAAACATCACGAAGAGGGTTCTGAGAATGCTTCTGTCTTCTTTTTATAGGAAGTTATTTCCTTTACTACGGTACTCCTCAAAGAGTGCAATTATCCCCTTACAGTTTCTACAAAAAGAGTGTTTCAAACCTGAACTATCAAAGAAAGGTTCCACACTGTGAGTTGAATGCAGACATCACGAAGAAGGTTCTGAGAATGCTTCTGTTTAGTCAGCTGAAATTATCCCGTTTCCAACGAATTCCTCAGAGAGGTCCAAATATGCACTTGCAGATTCTGCAGAAAGTGTGTTTCTAAACTGCTACATCGCAAGGAATGCTCAGCTCTGTGAGTTCAAATCAATCATCCCAAACAATTTTCTGAGAAAGCTTCTGTCTAGATGTCATGTGAAGATATACCCGTTTCGAACGAAGGACACAGAGTGGTCCAAATATCCACTTGTAGATCCTGCAAAAAGAGTGTTTCAAACGTGAACTTTGAAAGGAAAGTTCAACTCTGGGATTTGAATGCAAACATCACAAAGAAGATTCTGAGACTGCTTCTGTATAGTTTTTATGTGAAGATGATTCCGTTTCCAACGAAATCTTCAAAGAGGTCTACATGTCCCCTTGCAGATGCCACAGAAAGAGAGTTTCAAAACTGCGCTCTCAAAAGGAGTGTTCAACTCCGTGAGTTGAATGCAGTCATCACAGAGAAGCTTCTGAGAATGCTTCTATCTAGTATTTAGGTGAATATATTTCCTTTTCCACCACAAACCACAAAGCCCTCCAAACGTCCACTTGCAGATTCTAGAAAAAGAGTGTTTCATAGCTGCTCTTTCCAAAGGAAAGTTCAACTCTGGGAGTTGAATACAAACATCACCAAAAAGTTCCTGAGAATGCATCTGTCTAGTTTTTCTATGAAGCTATTCCCTTTACTACCATAGGCCTCAAAGCGCTCCAAATCTCCACTTGCACATTCCACAACAAGAGTGTTTCCAAACTGCTCTATCAATAGGAATGTTCAACTCTGTGAGGTGAATGCAATCATCACAAAGCAGTTTCTGAGAATGCTTCCGTTTAGTTAGGTGCAGTTATCCCGTTTCCAACGAAATCCTCAGAGAGGTCCAAATATCCACTTGTAGATTCTACAAAAAGTGTGTCTCAAACCTGCTCCATCCAAAGGAATGGTCAGCTCTGTGATTTAAACTCAATCATCACAAAGTATTTTCTGAGAATGCTTCTGTCTAGATTTTATGCGAAGATATACCCGTTTCGAACGAAGGCCACAGAGTGGTCCAAATAGCCACTTGCAGATCCTACAGAAAGAGTGTTTCAAACCTGAACTATCAAAGGAAGGTTCAACTCTGGGATTTGAATGCAAACATCACCAAGAAGTTTCTGAGAATGCTTCTGTTTAGTTTTTATGTGAAGATATTCCCGTTTCCAAAGACATCTTCGGAGAGGTCCACATATCCACTTGCAGATTCCACAAAAAGAGAGTTTCAACACTGCTCTATCCATAGGAGGGTTCAACTCTGTGAGTTGAATGCAATCATCACAGAGAAGTTTCTGAGAAGGCTTCTCTCCAGTTTTTATGTGACCATAATTCGTTTTCCACCACAGGCCTGAAAGCGCTCCAAATGTCCACTTGCAGACACTACGAAAAGCATGTTTCAGAACTACTCTATGAAAAGCAACGTGAAACTCTGGGAGTTGAACACAAACATCACAGAGAAGTTTCTGAGAATGCTTCTGTTTTAGTTCTGTGCGTTTTATCCCGTTTCCAACGAAATCCTCAGAGAGGCCCAAATATCCACTTGCAGATTCCACAGAAAGAGTGATTGGAAACTGCTGTTTGAAAAGGAACCTTCAACTCTGTGAGTTGAATGCAATCATCACAAAGAAGTTTCCTGACAATGCTTCTGTTTTAGTTCTGTGCGGTTTATCCCGTTTCCAACGAAATCCTCAGAGAGGACCAAACATCCACTTGCAGTTTCTACAAAAAGAGTGTTTCAAAGCTGCACTATCAAAGAAAGGTTCAGCACTGTGAGTTGAATGCAAACATCACGAAGAGGGCTCTGAGAATGCTTCTGTTTAGTTCTGTGCGGTTTATCCCGTTTCCAACGAAATCCTCAGAGAGGACCAAATATCCACTTGCAGTTTCTACAAGAAGAGTGTTTCAAAGCTGAACTATCAAAGAAAGGTTCAGCACTGTGAGTTGAATGCAAACATCACGAAGAGGGTTCTGAGAATGCTTCTGTCTTCTTTCTATAGGAAGTTATTTCCTTTACTACGGTAGGCCTCAAAGAAGTGCAATTATCCCCTTGCAGTTTCTACAAAAAGAGTGTTTCAAACCTGAACTATCAAAGAAAGGTTCCACACTGTGAGTTGAATGCAGACATCACGAAGAAGGTTCTGAGAATGCTTCTGTTTAGTCAGCTGAAATTATCCCGTTTCCAACGAATTCCTCAGAGAGGTCCAAATATGCACTTGCAGATTCTGCAGAAAGTGTGTTTCTAAACTGCTACATCGCAAGGAATGTTCAGCTCTGTGAGTTCCACTCAATCATCCCAAAGAATTTTCTGAGAAAGCTTCTGTCTAGATGTCGTGTGAAGATATACCCGTTTCGAACGAAGGACACAGAGTGGTCCAAATATCCACTTGTAGATCCTGCAAAAAGAGTGTTTCAAACGTGAACTTTGAAAGGAAAGTTCAACTCTGGGATTTGAATGCAAACATCACAAAGAAGATTCTGAGACTGCTTCTGTATAGTTTTTATGTGAAGATGATTCCGTTTCCAACGAAATCTTCAAAGAGGTCTACATGTCCCCTTGCAGATGCCACAGAAAGAGAGTTTCAAAACTGCGCTCTCAAAAGGAGTGTTCAACTCCGTGAGTTGAATGCAGTCATCACAGAGAAGCTTCTGAGAATGCTTCTATCTAGTATTTAGGTGAAGATATTTCCTTTTCCACCACAAACCACAAAGCCCTCCAAACGTCCACTTGCAGATTCTAGAAAAAGAGTGTTTCATAGCTGCTCTTTCCAAAGGAAAGTTCAACTCTGGGAGTTGAATACAAACATCACCAAAAAGTTCCTGAGAATGCATCTGTCTAGTTTTTCTATGAAGCTATTCCCTTTACTACCATAGGCCTCAAAGCGCTCCAAATCTCCACTTGCACATTCCACAACAAGAGTGTTTCCAAACTGCTCTATCAATAGGAATGTTCAACTCTGTGAGGTGAATGCAATCATCACAAAGCAGTTTCTGAGAATGCTTCCGTTTAGTTAGGTGCAGTTATCCCGTTTCCAACGAAATCCTCAGAGAGGTCCAAATATCCACTTGTAGATTCTACAAAAAGTGTGTCTCAAACCTGCTCCATCCAAAGGAATGGTCAGCTCTGTGATTTAAACTCAATCATCACAAAGTATTTTCTGAGAATGCTTCTGTCTAGATTTTATGCGAAGATATACCCGTTTCGAACGAAGGCCACAGAGTGGTCCAAATAGCCACTTGCAGATCCTACAAAAAGAGTGTTTCAAACCTGAACTATCAAAGGAAGGTTCAACTCTGGGATTTGAATGCAAACATCACCAAGAAGTTTCTGAGAATGCTTCTGTTTAGTTTTTATGTGAAGATATTCCCTTTTCCAAAGACATCTTCGGAGAGGTCCACATATCCACTTGCAGATTCCACAAAAAGAGAGTTTCAACACTGCTCTATCCATAGGAGGGTTCAACTCTGTGAGTTGAATGCAATCATCACAGAGAAGTTTCTGAGAAGGCTTCTCTCCAGTTTTTATGTGACCATAATTCGTTTTCCACCACAGGCCTGAAAGCGCTCCAAATGTCCACTTGCAGACACTACGAAAAGCATGTTTCAGAACTACTCTATGAAAAGCAACGTGAAACTCTGGGAGTTGAACACAAACATCACAGAGAAGTTTCTGAGAATGCTTCTGTTTAGCTTTTCTGTGAAGATTCTCCCGTTTCCAACGAAATCTTCAAAGAGGTCCAAATATCCACTTGCAGATTCCACAGAAAGTGTGATTGGAAACTGCTCTTTGAAAAGGAACCTTCAACTCTGTGACTTGAATGCAATCATCACAAAGAAGTTTCTGACAATGCTTCTATCTAGCTTTTACGGGAAGATAATTCCTTTTCCACCACAGGCCTCAAAGCCCTCCAAATGTCCACTTGCAGATTCTGGAAAAAGAGTGTTTCAAAGCTTCTCTCTCGAAAGGAAAGTTCAACTCTGTGAGTTGAATGCAAGCATCACAAAGAAGTTTCTGAGAATGCTACTGTCTAGCTTTTATATGAAGCTATTTCCTTTACTACCATAGGCCTCAAAGCGGTCCATATCTCCACTTGCAGATTCTACACAAAGAGAGTTTCCAAACTGCTCTGTCAAAGGGAATGTTCAACTCTGTGACTTGAATGCAATCATCACAAAGTAGTTTCTGAGAATGCTTCTGTTTAGTTCTGTGCGGTTTATCCCGTTTCCAACGAAATCCTCAGAGAGGCCTAAATATCCACTTGCACATTCTACAAATAGTGTGTTTCGAAACTGCTCCATCCAAAGGAATGTTCAGCTCTGTGAGTTAAACTCAGTCGTCACCAAGAGTTTTCTGTGAATGCTTCCGTTTAGTTAGGTGCAGTTATCCCGTTTCCAACGAAATCCTCAGAGAGGTCCAAATATCTACTTGCAGTTTCTACAGAAAGACCGTTTGAAACCTGAACTATCAAAGAAAGGTTCAACACTGTGAGTTGAATGCAAACATCACGAAGAAGGTTCTGAGAATGCTTCTGTCTAGATTTTATGCGAAGATATACCCGTTTCGAACGAAGGCCACAGAGTGGTCCAAATATCCACTTGCAGATCCTACAAAAAGAGTGTTTCAAACCTGAACTATCAAAGGAAGGTTCAACTCTGGGATTTGAATGCAAACATCACCAAGAAGTTTCTGAGAATGCTTCTGTTTAGTTTTTATGTGAAGATATTCCCGTTTCCAAAGACATCTTCGGAGAGGTCCACATATCCACTTGCAGATTCCACAAAAAGAGAGTTTCAACACTGCTCTATCCATAGGAGGGTTCAACTCTGTGAGTTGAATGCAATCATCACAGAGAAGTTTCTGAGAAGGCTTCTCTCCAGTTTTTATGTGACCATAATTCGTTTTCCACCACAGGCCTGAAAGCGCTCCAAATGTCCCCTTGCAGACACTACGAAAAGCATGTTTCAGAACTACTCTATGAGAAGCAATGTGACACTCTGGGAGTTGAACTCAAACATCACAGAGAAGTTTCTGAGAATGCTTCTGTTTAGCTTTTCTGTGAAGGTTATAACGTTTCCAACGAAATCTTCAAAGAGGTCCAAATATCCACTTGCAGATTCCACAGAAAGAGTGTTTGGAAACTGCTGTTTGAAAAGGAACCTTCAACTCTGTGAGTTGAATGCAATCATCACAAAGAAGTTTCTGACAATGCTTCTATCCAGCTTTTACAGGAAGATAATTGCTTTTCCACCACAGGCCTCAAAGCCCTCCAAATGTCCACTTGCAGATTCTGGAAAAAGAGTGTTTCAAAGCTTCTCTCTCGAAAGGAAAGTTCAACTCTGTGATTTGAATGCAAGCATCACAAAGAAGTTTCTGAGAATGCTACTGTCTAGCTTTTATATGAAGCTATTTCCTTTACTACCATAGTCCTCAAAGCATTCCATATCTCCACTTGCAGATTCTACACAAAGAGAGTTTCCAAACTGCTCTGTCAAAGAGAATGTTCAGCTCTGTGACTTGAATGCAATCATCACAAAGTAGTTTCTCAGAATGCTTCTGTTTTAGTTCTGTGCGGTTTATCCCGTTTCCAACGAAATCCTCAGAGAGGCCCAAATATCCACTTGCACATTCTACAAAGAGTGTGTTTCGAAACTGCTCCATCCAAAGGAATGTTCAGCTCTGTGAGTTAAACTCAGTCGTCACCAAGAGTTTTCTGTGAATGCTTCTGTTTTAGTTCTGTGCGGTTTATCCCGTTTCCAACGAAATCCTCAGAGAGGACCAAACATCCACTTGCAGTTTCTACAAAAAGAGTGTTTCAAAGCTGCACTATCAAAGAAAGGTTCAGCACTGTGAGTTGAATGCAAACATCACGAAGAGGGCTCTGAGAATTCTTCTGTTTAGTTCTGTGCGGTTTATCCCGTTTCCAACGAAATCCTCAGAGAGGACCAAATATCCACTTGCAGTTTCTACAAGAAGAGTGTTTCAAAGCTGAACTATCAAAGAAAGGTTCAGCACTGTGAGTTGAATGCAAACATCACGAAGAGGGTTCTGAGAATGCTTCTGTCTTCTTTCTATAGGAAGTTATTTCCTTTACTACGGTAGGCCTCAAAGAAGTGCAATTATCCCCTTGCAGTTTCTACAAAAAGAGTGTTTCAAACCTGAACTATCAAAGAAAGGTTCCACACTGTGAGTTGAATGCAGACATCACGAAGAAGGTTCTGAGAATGCTTCTGTTTAGTCAGCTGAAATTATCCCGTTTCCAACGAATTCCTCAGAGAGGTCCAAATATGCACTTGCAGATTCTGCAGAAAGTGTGTTTCTAAACTGCTACATCGCAAGGAATGTTCAGCTCTGTGAGTTCCACTCAATCATCCCAAAGAATTTTCTGAGAAAGCTTCTGTCTAGATGTCGTGTGAAGATATACCCGTTTCGAACGAAGGACACAGAGTGGTCCAAATATCCACTTGTAGATCCTGCAAAAAGAGTGTTTCAAACGTGAACTTTGAAAGGAAAGTTCAACTCTGGGATTTGAATGCAAACATCACAAAGAAGATTCTGAGACTGCTTCTGTATAGTTTTTATGTGAAGATGATTCCGTTTCCAACGAAATCTTCAAAGAGGTCTACATGTCCCCTTGCAGATGCCACAGAAAGAGAGTTTCAAAACTGCGCTCTCAAAAGGAGTGTTCAACTCCGTGAGTTGAATGCAGTCATCACAGAGAAGCTTCTGAGAATGCTTCTATCTAGTATTTAGGTGAAGATATTTCCTTTTCCACCACAAACCACAAAGCCCTCCAAACGTCCACTTGCAGATTCTAGAAAAAGAGTGTTTCATAGCTGCTCTTTCCAAAGGAAAGTTCAACTCTGGGAGTTGAATACAAACATCACCAAAATGTTCCTGAGAATGCATCTGTCTAGTTTTTCTATGAAGCTATTCCCTTTACTACCATAGGCCTCAAAGCGCTCCAAATCTCCACTTGCACATTCCACAACAAGAGTGTTTCCAAACTGCTCTATCAATAGGAATGTTCAACTCTGTGAGGTGAATGCAATCATCACAAAGCAGTTTCTGAGAATGCTTCCGTTTAGTTAGGTGCAGTTATCCCGTTTCCAACGAAATCCTCAGAGAGGTCCAAATATCCACTTGTAGATTCTACAAAAAGTGTGTCTCAAACCTGCTCCATCCAAAGGAATGGTCAGCTCTGTGATTTAAACTCAATCATCACAAAGTATTTTCTGAGAATGCTTCTGTCTAGATTTTATGCGAAGATATACCCGTTTCGAACGAAGGCCACAGAGTGGTCCAAATAGCCACTTGCAGATCCTACAGAAAGAGTGTTTCAAACCTGAACTATCAAAGGAAGGTTCAACTCTGGGATTTGAATGCAAACATCACCAAGAAGTTTCTGAGAATGCTTCTGTTTAGTTTTTATGTGAAGATATTCCCGTTTCCAAAGACATCTTCGGAGAGGTCCACATATCCACTTGCAGATTCCACAAAAAGAGAGTTTCAACACTGCTCTATCCATAGGAGGGTTCAACTCTGTGAGTTGAATGCAATCATCACAGAGAAGTTTCTGAGAAGGCTTCTCTCCAGTTTTTATGTGACCATAATTCGTTTTCCACCACAGGCCTGAAAGCGCTCCAAATGTCCACTTGCAGACACTACGAAAAGCATGTTTCAGAACTACTCTATGAAACGCAACGTGAAACTCTGGGAGTTGAACACAAACATCACAGAGAAGTTTCTGAGAATGCTTCTGTTTTAGTTCTGTGCGTTTTATCCCGTTTCCAACGAAATCCTCAGAGAGGCCCAAATATCCACTTGCAGATTCCACAGAAAGAGTGATTGGAAACTGCTGTTTGAAAAGGAACCTTCAACTCTGTGAGTTGAATGCAATCATCACAAAGAAGTTTCTGACAATGCTTCTGTTTTAGTTCTGTGCGGTTTATCCCGTTTCCAACGAAATCCTCAGAGAGGACCAAACATCCACTTGCAGTTTCTACAAAAAGAGTGTTTCAAAGCTGCACTATCAAAGAAAGGTTCAGCACTGTGAGTTGAATGCAAACATCACGAAGAGGGCTCTGAGAATGCTTCTGTCTTCTTTCTATAGGAAGTTATTTCCTTTACTACGGTAGGCCTCAAAGAAGTGCAATTATCCCCTTGCAGTTTCTACAAAAAGAGTGTTTCAAACCTGAACTATCAAAGAAAGGTTCCACACTGTGAGTTGAATGCAGACATCACGAAGAAGGTTCTGAGAATGCTTTCTGTTTAGTCAGCTGAAATTATCCCGTTTCCAACGAATTCCTCAGAGAGGTCCAAATATGCACTTGCAGATTCTGCAGAAAGTGTGTTTCTAAACTGCTACATCGCAAGGAATGTTCAGCTCTGTGAGTTCCACTCAATCATCCCAAAGAATTTTCTGAGAAAGCTTCTGTCTAGATGTCATGTGAAGATATACCCGTTTCGAACGAAGGACACAGAGTGGTCCAAATATCCACTTGTAGATCCTGCAAAAAGAGTGTTTCAAACGTGAACTTGGAAAGGAAAGTTCAACTCTGGGATTTGAATGCAAACATCACAAAGAAGATTCTGAGACTGCTTCTGTATAGTTTTTATGTGAAGATGATTCCGTTTACAACGAAATCTTCAAAGAGGTCTACATGTCCCCTTGCAGATGCCACAGAAAGAGAGTTCCAAAACTGCGCTCTCAAAAGGAGTGTTCAACTCCGTGAGTTGAATGCAGTCATCACAGAGAAGCTTCTGAGAATGCTTCTATCTAGTATTTAGGTGAAGTATATTTCCTTTTCCACCACAAACCACAAAGCCCTCCAAACGTCCACTTGCAGATTCTAGAAAAAGAGTGTTTCATAGCTGCTCTTTCCAAAGGAAAGTTCAACTCTGGGAGTTGAATACAAACATCACCAAAAAGTTCCTGAGAATGCACTGTCTAGTTTTTCTATGAAGCTATTCCCTTTACTACCACAGGCCTCAAAGCGCTCCAAATCTCCACTTGCACATTCCACAACAAGAGTGTTTCCAAACTGCTCTATCAATAGGAATGTTCAACTCTGTGAGGTGAATGCAATCATCACAAAGCAGTTTCTGAGAATGCTTTCCGTTTAGTTAGGTGCAGTTATCCCGTTTCCAACGAAATCCTCAGAGAGGTCCAAATATCCACTTGTAGATTCTACAAAAAGTGTGTCTCAAACCTGCTCCATCCAAAGGAATGGTCAGCTCTGTGATTTAAACTCAATCATCACAAAGTATTTTCTGAGAATGCTTCTGTCTAGATTTTATGCGAAGATATACCCGTTTCGAACGAAGGCCACAGAGTGGTCCAAATAGCCACTTGCAGATCCTACAGAAAGAGTGTTTCAAACCTGAACTATCAAAGGAAGGTTCAACTCTGGGATTTGAATGCAAACATCACCAAGAAGTTTCTGAGAATGCTTCTGTTTAGTTTTTATGTGAAGATATTCCCGTTTCCAAAGACATCTTCGGAGAGGTCCACATATCCACTTGCAGATTCCACAAAAAGAGAGTTTCAACACTGCTCTATCCATAGGAGGGTTCAACTCTGTGAGTTGAATGCAATCATCACAGAGAAGTTTCTGAGAAGGCTTCTCTCCAGTTTTTATGTGACCATAATTCGTTTTCCACCACAGGCCTGAAAGCGCTCCAAATGTCCACTTGCAGACACTACGAAAAGCATGTTTCAGAACTACTCTATGAAAAGCAACGTGAAACTCTGGGAGTTGAACACAAACATCACAGAGAAGTTTCTGAGAATGCTTCTGTTTTAGTTCTGTGCGTTTTATCCCGTTTCCAACGAAATCCTCAGAGAGGCCCAAATATCCACTTGCAGATTCCACAGAAAGAGTGATTGGAAACTGCTGTTTGAAAAGGAACCTTCAACTCTGTGAGTTGAATGCAATCATCACAAAGAAGTTTCTGACAATGCTTCTGTTTTAGTTCTGTGCGGTTTATCCCGTTTCCAACGAAATCCTCAGAGAGGACCAAACATCCACTTGCAGTTTCTACAAAAAGAGTGTTTCAAAGCTGCACTATCAAAGAAAGGTTCAGCACTGTGAGTTGAATGCAAACATCACGAAGAGGGCTCTGAGAATTCTTCTGTTTAGTTCTGTGCGGTTTATCCCGTTTCCAACGAAATCCTCAGAGAGGACCAAATATCCACTTGCAGTTTCTACAAGAAGAGTGTTTCAAAGCTGAACTATCAAAGAAAGGTTCAGCACTGTGAGTTGAATGCAAACATCACGAAGAGGGTTCTGAGAATGCTTCTGTCTTCTTTCTATAGGAAGTTATTTCCTTTACTACGGTAGGCCTCAAAGAAGTGCCATTATCCCCTTGCAGTTTCTACAAAAAGAGTGTTTCAAACCTGAACTATCAAAGAAAGGTTCCACACTGTGAGTTGAATGCAGACATCACGAAGAAGGTTCTGAGAATGCTTCTGTTTAGTCAGCTGAAATTATCCCGTTTCCAACGAATTCCTCAGAGAGATCCAAATATGCACTTGCAGATTCTGCAGAAAGTGTGTTTCTAAACTGCTACATCGCAAGGAATGTTCAGCTCTGTGAGTTCAACTCAATCATCCCAAAGAATTTTCTGAGAAAGCTTCTGTCTAGATGTCATGTGAAGATATACCCGTTTCGCACGAAGGACACAGAGTGGTCCAAATATCCACTTGTACATCCTGCAAAAAGAGTGTTTCAAACGTGAACTTTGAAAGGAAAGTTCAACTCTGGGATTTGAATGCAAACATCACAAAGAAGATTCTGAGACTGCTTCTGTATAGTTTTTATGTGAAGATGATTCCGTTTCCAACGAAATATTCAAAGAGGTCCACATGTCCCCTTGCGGATGCCACAGAAAGAGAGTTTCAAAACTGCGCTCTCAAAAGGAGTGTTCAACTCCGTGAGTTGAATGCAGTCATCACAGAGAAGCTTTTGAGAATGCTTCTATCTAGTATTTAGGTGAAGATATTTCCTTTTCCACCACAAACCACAAAGCCCTCCAAACGTCCACTTGCAGATTCTAGAAAAAGAGTGTTTCATAGCTGCTCTTTCCAAAGGAAAGTTCAACTCTGGGAGTTGAATACAAACATCACCAAAAAGTTCCTGAGAATGCATCTGTCTAGTTTTTCTATGAAGCTATTCCCTTTACTACCATAGGCCTCAAAGCGCTCCAAATCTCCACTTGCACATTCCACAACAAGAGTGTTTCCAAACTGCTCTATCAATAGGAATGTTCAACTCTGTGAGGTGAATGCAATCATCACAAAGCAGTTTCTGAGAATGCTTCCGTTTAGTTAGGTGCAGTTATCCCGTTTCCAACGAAATCCTCAGAGAGGTCCAAATATCCACTTGTAGATTCTACAAAAAGTGTGTCTCAAACCTGCTCCATCCAAAGGAATGGTCAGCTCTGTGATTTAAACTCAATCATCACAAAGTATTTTCTGAGAATGCTTCTGTCTAGATTTTATGCGAAGATATACCCGTTTCGAACGAAGGCCACAGAGTGGTCCAAATATCCACTTGCAGATCCTACAAAAAGAGTGTTTCAAACCTGAACTATCAAAGGAAGGTTCGACTCTGGGATTTGAATGCAAACATCACCAAGAAGTTTGCTGAGAATGCTTCTGTTTAGTTTTTATGTGAAGATATTCCCGTTTCCAAAGACATCTTCGGAGAGGTCCACATATCCACTTGCAGATTCCACAAAAAGAGAGTTTCAACACTGCTCTATCCATAGGAGGGTTCAACTCTGTGAGTTGAATGCAATCATCACAGAGAAGTTTCTGAGAAGGCTTCTCTCCAGTTTTTATGTGACCATAATTCGTTTTCCACCACAGGCCTGAAAGCGCTCCAAATGTCCACTTGTAGACACTACGAAAAGCATGTTTCAGAACTACTCTATGAAAAGCAATGTGAAACTCTGGGAGTTGAACACAAACATCACAGAGAAGTTTCTGAGAATGCTTCTGTTTAGCTTTTCTGTGAAGATTCTCCCGTTTCCAACGAAATCTTCAAAGAGGTCGAAATATCCACTTGCAGATTCCACAGAAAGAGTGATTGGAAACTGCTGTTTGAAAAGGAACCTTCAACTCTGTGAGTTGAATGCAATCATCAGAAAGAAGTTTCTGACAATGCTTCTATCTAGCTTTTACGGGAAGATAATTCCTTTTCCACCACAGGCCTCAAAGCTCCCCAAATGTCCACTTGCACATTCTGGAAAAAGAGTGTTTCAAAGCTTCTCTCTCGAAAGGAAAGTTCAACTCTGTGAGTTGAATGCAAGCATCACAAAGAAGTTTCTGAGAATGCTACTGTCTAGCTTTTATATGAAGCTATTTCCTTTACTACCATAGGCCTCAAAGCGGTCCATATCTCCACTTGTAGATTCTACACAAAGAGAGTTTCCAAACTGCTCTGTCAAAGGGAATGTTCAACTCTGTGACTTGAATGCAATAATCACAAAGTAGTTTCTGAGAATGCTTCTGTTTTAGTTCTGTGCGTTTTATCCCGTTTCCAACGAAATCCTCAGAGAGGCCCAAATATCCACTTGCAGATTCTACAAATAGTGTGTTTCGAAACTGCTCCATCCAAAGGAATGTTCAGCTCTGTGAGTTAAACTCAGTCGTCACCAAGAGTTTTCTGTGAATGCTTCTGTTTAGTTCTGTGCGTTTTATCCCGTTTCCAACGAAATCCTCAGAGAGGACCAAATATCCACTTGCAGTTTCTACAAAAAGAGTGTTTCAAAGCTGCACTATCAAAGAAAGGTTCAGCACTGTGAGTTGAATGCAAACATCACGAAGAGGGCTCTGAGAGTTCTTCTGTTTAGTTCTGTGCGGTTTATCCCGTTTCCAACGAAATCCTCAGAGAGGACCAAATATCCACTTGCAGTTTCTACAATAAGAGTGTTTCAAAGCTGAACTATCAAAGAAAGGTTCAGCACTGTGAGTTGAATGCAAACATCACGAAGAGGGTTCTGAGAATGCTTCTGTCTTCTTTCTATAGGAAGTTATTTCCTTTACTACGGTAGGCCTCAAAGAAGTGCAATTATCCCCTTGCAGTTTCTACAAAAAGAGTGTTTCAAACCTGAACTATCAAAGAAAGGTTCCACACTGTGAGTTGAATGCAGACATCACGAAGAAGGTTCTGAGAATGCTTCTGTTTAGTCAGCTGAAATTATCCCGTTTCCAACGAATTCCTCAGAGAGGTCCAAATATGCACTTGCAGATTCTGCAGAAAGTGTGTTTCTAAACTGCTACATCGCAAGGAATGTTCAGCTCTGTGAGTTCCACTCAATCATCCCAAAGAATTTTCTGAGAAAGCTTCTGTCTAGATGTCGTGTGAAGATATACCCGTTTCGAACGAAGGACACAGAGTGGTCCAAATATCCACTTGTAGATCCTGCAAAAAGAGTGTTTCAAACGTGAACTTTGAAAGGAAAGTTCAACTCTGGGATTTGAATGCAAACATCACAAAGAAGATTCTGAGACTGCTTCTGTATAGTTTTTATGTGAAGATGATTCCGTTTCCAACGAAATCTTCAAAGAGGTCTACATGTCCCCTTGCGGATGCCACAGAAAGAGACTTTCAAAACTGCGCTCTCAAAAGGAGTGTTCAACTCCGTGAGTTGAATGCAGTCATCACAGAGAAGCTTCTGAGAATGCTTCTATCTAGTATTTAGGTGAAGATATTTCCTTTTCCACCACAAACCACAAAGCCGTCCAAACGTCCACTTGCAGATTCTAGAAAAAGAGTGTTTCATAGCTGCTCTTTCCAAAGGAAAGTTCAACTCTGGGAGTTGAATACAAACATCACCAAAAAGTTCCTGATAATGCATCTGTCTACTTTTTCTATGAAGCTATTCCCTTTACTACCATAGGCCTCAAAGCGCTCCAAATCTCCACTTGCACATTCCACAACAAGAGTGTTTCCAAACTGCTCTATCAATAGGAATGTTCAACTCTGTGAGGTGAATGCAATCATGAAAAAGCAGTTTCTGAGAATGCTTCCGTTTAGTTAGGTGCAGTTATCCCGTTTCCAACGAAATCCTCAGAGAGGTCCAAATATCCACTTGTAGATTCTACAAAAAGTGTGTCTCAAACCTGCTCCATCCAAAGGAATGTTCAGCTCTGTGAGTTCAACTCAATCATCACAAAGTATTTTCTGAGAATGCTTCTGTCTAGATTTTATGCGAAGATATACCCGTTTCGAACGAAGGCCACAGAGTGGTCCAAATAGCCACTTGCAGATCTTACAAAAAGAGTGTTTCAAACCTGAACTATCAAAGGAAGGTTCAACTCTGGGATTTCAATGCAAACATCACCAAGAAGTTTCTGAGAATGCTTCTGTTTAGTTTTTATGTGAAGATATTCCCGTTTCCAAAGACATCTTCGGAGAGGTCCACATATCCACTTGCAGATTCCACAAAAAGAGAGTTTCAACACTGCTCTATCCATAGGAGGGTTCAACTCTGTGAGTTGAATGCAATCATCACAGAGAAGTTTCTGAGAAGGCTTCTCTCCAGTTTTTATGTGACCATAATTCGTTTTCCACCACAGGCCTGAAAGCGCTCCAAATGTCCACTTGCAGACACTACGAAAAGCATGTTTCAGAACTACTCTATGAAAAGCAACGTGAAACTCTGGGAGTTGAACACAAACATCACAGAGAAGTTTCTGAGAATGCTTCTGTTTTAGTTCTGTGCGTTTTATCCCGTTTCCAACGAAATCCTCAGAGAGGCCCAAATATCCACTTGCAGATTCCACAGAAAGAGTGATTGGAAACTGCTGTTTGAAAAGGAACCTTCAACTCTGTGAGTTGAATGCAATCATCACAAAGAAGTTTCTGACAATGCTTCTGTTTTAGTTCTGTGCGGTTTATCCCGTTTCCAACGAAATCCTCAGAGAGGACCAAACATCCACTTGCAGTTTCTACAAAAAGAGTGTTTCAAAGCTGCACTATCAAAGAAAGGTTCAGCACTGTGAGTTGAATGCAAACATCACGAAGAGGGCTCTGAGAATTCTTCTGTTTAGTTCTGTGCGGTTTATCCCGTTTCCAACGAAATCCTCAGAGAGGACCAAATATCCACTTGCAGTTTCTACAAGAAGAGTGTTTCAAAGCTGAACTATCAAAGAAAGGTTCAGCACTGTGAGTTGAATGCAAACATCACGAAGAGGGTTCTGAGAATGCTTCTGTCTTCTTTCTATAGGAAGTTATTTCCTTTACTACGGTAGGCCTCAAAGAAGTGCAATTATCCCCTTGCAGTTTCTACAAAAAGAGTGTTTCAAACCTGAACTATCAAAGAAAGGTTCCACACTGTGAGTTGAATGCAGACATCACGAAGAAGGTTCTGAGAATGCTTCTGTTTAGTCAGCTGAAATTATCCCGTTTCCAACGAATTCCTCAGAGAGGTCCAAATATGCACTTGCAGATTCTGCAGAAAGTGTGTTTCTAAACTGCTACATCGCAAGGAATGTTCAGCTCTGTGAGTTCCACTCAATCATCCCAAAGAATTTTCTGAGAAAGCTTCTGTCTAGATGTCCTGTGAAGATATACCCGTTTCGAACGAAGGACACAGAGTGGTCCAAATATCCACTTGTAGATCCTGCAAAAAGAGTGTTTCAAACGTGAACTTTGAAAGGAAAGTTCAACTCTGGGATTTGAATGCAAACATCACAAAGAAGATTCTGAGACTGCTTCTGTATAGTTTTTATGTGAAGATGATTCCGTTTCCAACGAAATCTTCAAAGAGGTCCACATGTCCCCTTGCGGATGCCACAGAAAGAGAGTTTCAAAACTGCGCTCTCAAAAGGAGTGTTCAACTCCGTGAGTTGAATGCAGTCATCACAGAGAAGCTTCTGAGAATGCTTCTATCTAGTATTTAGGTGAAGATATTTCCTTTTCCACCACAAACCACAAAGCCCTCCAAACGTCCACTTGCAGATTCTAGAAAAAGAGTGTTTCATAGCTGCTCTTTCCAAAGGAAAGTTCAACTCTGGGAGTTGAATACAAACATCACCAAAAAGTTCCTGAGAATGCATCTGTCTAGTTTTTCTATGAAGCTATTCCCTTTACTACCATAGGCCTCAAAGCGCTCCAAATCTCCACTTGCACATTCCACAACAAGAGTGTTTCCAAACTGCTCTATCAATAGGAATGTTCAACTCTGTGAGGTGAATGCAATCATCACAAAGCAGTTTCTGAGAATGCTTCCGTTTAGTTAGGTGCAGTTATCCCGTTTCCAACGAAATCCTCAGAGAGGTCCAAATATCCACTTGTAGATTCTACAAAAGGTGTGTCTCAAACCTGCTCCATCCAAAGGAATGTTCAGCTCTGTGAGTTAAACTCAATCATCACAAAGTATTTTCTGAGAATGCTTCTGTCTAGATTTTATGCGAAGATACACCCGTTTCGAACGAAGGCCACAGAGTGGTCCAAATATCCACTTGCAGATCCTACAAAAAGAGTGTTTCAAACCTGAACTATCAAAGGAAGGTTCGACTCTGGGATTTGAATGCAAACATCACCAAGAAGTTTCTGAGAATGCTTCTGTTTAGTTTTTATGTGAAGATATTCCCGTTTCCAAAGACATCTTCGGAGAGGTCCACATATCCACTTGCAGATTCCACAAAAAGAGAGTTTCAACACTGCTCTATCCATAGGAGGGTTCAACTCTGTGAGTTGAATGCAATCATCACAGAGAAGTTTCTGAGAAGGCTTCTCTCCAGTTTTTATGTGACCATAATTCGTTTTCCACCACAGGCCTGAAAGCGCTCCAAATGTCCACTTGTAGACACTACGAAAAGCATGTTTCAGAACTACTCTATGAAAAGCAATGTGAAACTCTGGGAGTTGAACACAAACATCACAGAGAAGTTTCTGAGAATGCTTCTGTTTAGCTTTCCTGTGAAGATTCTCCCGTTTCCAACGAAATCTTCAAAATAGGTCCGAATATCCACTTGCAGATTCCACAGAAAGAGTGATTGGAAACTGCTCTTTGAAAAGGAACCTTCAACTCTGTGAGTTGAATGCAATCATCCCAAAGAAGTTTCTGACAATGCTTCTATCTAGCTTTTACGGGAAGATAATTCCTTTTCCACCACAGGCCTCAAAGCCCTCCAAATGTCCACTTGCAGATTCTGGAAAAAGAGTGTTTCAAAGCTTCTCTCTCGAAAGGAAAGTTCAACTCTGTGAGTTGAATGCAAGCATCACAAAGAAGTTTCTGAGAATGCTACTGTCTAGCTTTTATATGAAGCTATTTCCTTTACTACCATAGGCCTCAAAGCGGTCCATATCTCCACTTGCAGATTCTACACAAAGAGAGTTTCCAAACTGCTCTGTCAAAGGGAATGTTCAACTCTGTGACTTGAATGCAATCATCACAAAGTAGTTTCTGAGAATGCTTCTGTTTAGTTCTGTGCGGTTTATCCCGTTTCCAACGAAATCCTCAGAGAGGCCTAAATATCCACTTGCACATTCTACAAATAGTGTGTTTCGAAACTGCTCCATCCAAAGGGAATGTTCAGCTCTGTGAGTTAAACTCAGTCGTCACCAAGAGTTTTCTGTGAATGCTTCTGTTTTAGTTCTGTGCGGTTTATCCCGTTTCCAACGAAATCCTCAGAGAGGTCCAAATATCTACTTGCAGTTTCTACAGAAAGACCGTTTCAAACCTGAACTATCAAAGAAAGGTTCAACACTGTGAGTTGAATGCAAACATCACGAAGAAGGTTCTGAGAATGCTTCTGTTTAGTTCTGTGCGGTTTATCCCGTTTCCAACGAAATCCTCAGAGAGGACCAAATATCCACTTGCAGTTTCTACAAGAAGAGTGTTTCAAAGCTGAACTATCAAAGAAAGGTTCAGCACTGTGAGTTGAATGCAAACATCACGAAGAGGGTTCTGAGAATGCTTCTGTCTTCTTTCTATAGGAAGTTATTTCCTTTACTACGGTAGGCCTCAAAGAAGTGCAATTATCCCCTTGCAGTTTCTACAAAAAGAGTGTTTCAAACCTGAACTATCAAAGAAAGGTTCCACACTGTGAGTTGAATGCAGACATCACGAAGAAGGGTGTCTGAGAATGCTTCTGTTTAGTCAGCTGAAATTATCCCGTTTCCAACGAATTCCTCAGAGAGGTCCAAATATGCACTTGCAGATTCTGCAGAAAGTGTGTTTCTAAACTGCTACATCGCAAGGAATGTTCAGCTCTGTGAGTTCCACTCAATCATCCCAAAGAATTTTCTGAGAAAGCTTCTGTCTAGATGTCATGTGAAGATATACCCGTTTCGAACGAAGGACACAGAGTGGTCCAAATATCCACTTGTAGATCCTGCAAAAAGAGTGTTTCAAACGTGAACTTTGAAAGGAAAGTTCAACTCTGGGATTTGAATGCAAACATCACAAAGAAGATTCTGAGACTGCTTCTGTATAGTTTTTATGTGAAGATGATTCCGTTTCCAACGAAATCTTCAAAGAGGTCTACATGTCCCCTTGCAGATGCCACAGAAAGAGAGTTTCAAAACTGCGCTCTCAAAAGGAGTGTTCAACTCCGTGAGTTGAATGCAGTCATCACAGAGAAGCTTACTGAGAATGCTTTCTATCTAGTATTTAGGTGAAGATATTTCCTTTTCCACCACAAACCACAAAGCCCTCCAAACGTCCACTTGCAGATTCTAGAAAAAGAGTGTTTCATAGCTGCTCTTTCCAAAGGAAAGTTCAACTCTGGGAGTTGAATACAAACATCACCAAAAAGTTCCTGAGAATGCATCTGTCTAGTTTTTCTATGAAGCTATTCCCTTTACTACCATAGGCCTCAAAGCGCTCCAAATCTCCACTTGCACATTCCACAACAAGAGTGTTTCCAAACTGCTCTATCAATAGGAATGTTCAACTCTGTGAGGTGAATGCAATCATCACAAAGCAGTTTCTGAGAATGCTTCCGTTCAGTTAGGTGCAGTTATCCCGTTTCCAACGAAATCCTCAGAGAGGTCCAAATATCCACTTGTAGATTCTACAAAAAGTGTGTCTCAAACCTGCTCCATCCAAAGGAATGTTCAGCTCTGTGAGTTCAACTCAATCATCACAAAGTATTTTCTGAGAATGCTTCTGTCTAGATTTTATGCGAAGATATACCCGTTTCGAACGAAGGCCACAGAGTGGTCCAAATATCCACTTGCAGATCCTACAAAAAGAGTGTTTCAAACCTGAACTATCAAAGGAAGGTTCAACTCTGGGATTTGAATGCAAACATCACCAAGAAGTTTCTGAGAATGCTTCTGTTTAGTTTTTATGTGAAGATATTCCCGTTTCCAAAGACATCTTCGGAGAGGTCCACATATCCACTTGCAGATTCCACAAAAAGAGAGTTTCAACACTGCTCTATCCATAGGAGGGTTCAACTCTGTGAGTTGAATGCAATCATCACAGAGAAGTTTCTGAGAAGGCTTCTCTCCAGTTTTTATGTGACCATAATTCGTTTTCCACCACAGGCCTGAAAGCGCTCCAAATGTCCACTTGTAGACACTACGAAAAGCATGTTTCAGAACTACTCTATGAAAAGCAATGTGAAACTCTGGGAGTTGAACACAAACATCACAGAGAAGTTTCTGAGAATGCTTCTGTTTAGCTTTTCTGTGAAGATTCTCCCGTTTCCAACGAAATCTTCAAACTAGGTCCAAATATCCACTTGCAGATTCCACAGAAAGAGTGATTGGAAACTGCTGTTTGAAAAGGAACCTTCAACTCTGTGAGTTGAATGCAATCATCACAAAGAAGTTTCTGACAATGCTTCTATCCAGCTTTTACAGGAAGATAATTCCTTTTCCACCGCAGGCCTCAAAGCCCTCCAAATGTCCACTTGCAGATTCTGGAAAAAGAGTGTTTCAAAGCTTCTCTCTCGAAAGGAAAGTTCAACTCTGTGAGTTGAATGCAAGCATCACAAAGAAGTTTCTGAGAATGCTACTGTCTAGCTTTTATATGAAGCTATTTCCTTTACTACCATAGTCCTCAAAGCATTCCATATCTCCACTTGCAGATTCTACACAAAGAGAGTTTCCAAACTGCTCTGTCAAAGGGAATGTTCAGCTCTGTGACTTGAATGCAATCATCACAAAGTAGTTTCTCAGAATGCTTCTGTTTTAGTTCTGTGCGGTTTATCCCGTTTCCAACGAAATCCTCAGAGAGGCCCAAATATCCACTTGCAGATTCTACAAAGAGTGTGTTTCGAAACTGCTCCATCCAAAGGAATGTTCAGCTCTGTGAGTTAAACTCAGTCGTCACCAAGAGTTTTCTGTGAATGCTTCTGTTTAGTTCTGTGCGGTTTATCCCGTTTCCAACGAAATCCTCAGAGAGCACCAAATATCCACTTGCAGTTTCTACAAAAAGAGTGTTTCAAAGCTGAACTATCAAAGAAAGGTTCAGCATTGTGAGTTGAATGCAAACATCACGAAGAAGGTTCTGAGAATGCTTCTGTCTTCTTTTTATAGGAAGTAATTTCCTTTACTACGGTAGGCCTCAAAGAAGTGCAATAATCCCCTTACAGTTTCTACAAAAAGAGTGTTTCAAAGCTGAACTATCAAAGAAAGTTTCCACACTGTGAGTTGAATGCAGACATCACGAAGAAGGTTCTGAGAATGCTTCTGTTTAGTCAGCTGAAATTATCCCGTTTCCAACGAATTCCTCAGAGAGGTCCAAATATGCACTTGCAGATTCTGCAGAAAGTCTGTTTCTAAACTGCTACATCGCAAGGAATGTTCAGCTCTGTGAGTTCAACTCAGTCATCCCAAAGAATTTTCTGAGAAAGCTTCTGTCTAGATGTCCTGTGAAGATATACCCGTTTCGAACGAAGGACACAGAGTGGTCCAAATATCCACTTGTAGATCCTGCAAAAAGAGTGTTTCAAACGTGAACTTTGAAAGGAAAGTTCAACTCTGGGATTTGAATGCAAACATCACAAAGAAGATTCTGAGACTGCTTCTGTGTAGTTTTTATGTGAAGATGATTCCGTTTCCAACGAAATCTTCAAAGAGGTCTACATGTCCCCTTGCAGATGCCACAGAAAGAGAGTTTCAAAACTGCGCTCTCAAAAGGAGTGTTCAACTCCGTGAGTTGAATGCAGTCATCACAGAGAAGCTTCTGAGGATGCTTCTATCTAGTATTTAGGTGAAGATATTTCCTTTTCCACCACAAACCACAAAGCCCTCCAAACGTCCACTTGCAGATTCTAGAAAAAGAGTGTTTCATAGCTGCTCTTTCCAAAGGAAAGTTCAACTCTGGGAGTTGAATACAAACATCACCAAAAAGTTCCTGAGAATGCATCTGTCTAGTTTTTCTATGAAGCTATTCCCTTTACTACCATAGGCCTCAAAGCGCTCCAAATCTCCACTTGCACATTCCACAACAAGAGTGTTTCCAAACTGCTCTATCAATAGGAATGTTCAACTCTGTGAGGTGAATGCAATCATCACAAAGCAGTTTCTGAGAATGCTTCCGTTTAGTTAGGTGCAGTTATCCCGTTTCCAACGAAATCCTCAGAGAGGTCCAAATATCCACTTGTAGATTCTACAAAAAGTGTGTCTCAAACCTGCTCCATCCAAAGGAATGGTCAGCTCTGTGATTTAAACTCAATCATCACAAAGTATTTTCTGAGAATGCTTCTGTCTAGATTTTATGTGAAGATGTACCCGTTTCGAACGAAGGCCACAGAGTGGTCCAAATATCCACTTGCAGATCCTACAAAAAGAGTGTTTCAAACCTGAACTATCAAAGGAAGGTTCAACTCTGGGATTTGAATGCAAACATCACCAAGAAGTTTCTGAGAATGCTTCTGTTTAGTTTTTATGTGAAGATATTCCCGTTTCCAAAGACATCTTCGGAGAGGTCCACATATCCACTTGCAGATTCCACAAAAAGAGAGTTTCAACAATGCTCTATCCATAGGAGGGTTCAACTCTGTGAGTTGAATGCAATCATCACAGAGAAGTTTCTGAGAAGGCTTCTCTCCAGTTTTTATGTGACCATAATTCGTTTTCCACCACAGGCCTGGAAGCGCTCCAAATGTCCACTTGTAGACACTACGAAAAGCATGTTTCAGAACTACTCTATGAAAAGCAATGTGAAACTCTGGGAGTTGAACACAAACATCACAGAGAAGTTTCTGAGAATGCTTCTGTTTAGCTTTTCTGTGAAGATTCTCCCGTTTCCAACGAAATCTTCAAAATAGGTCGAAATATCCACTTGCAGATTCCACAGAAAGAGTGATTGGAAACTGCTCTTTGAAAAGGAACCTTCAACTCTGTGAGTTGAATGCAATCATCACAAAGAAGTTTCTGACAATGCTTCTATCTAGCTTTTACGGGAAGATAATTCCTTTTCCACCACAGGCCTCAAAGCCCTCCAAATGTCCACTTGCACATTCTGGAAAAAGAGTGTTTCAAAGCTTCTCTCTCGAAAGGAAAGTTCAACTCTGTGAGTTGAATGCAAGCATCACAAAGAAGTTTCTGAGAATGCTACTGTCTAGCTTTTATATGAAGCTATTTCCTTTACTACCATAGGCCTCAAAGCGGTCCATATCTCCACTTGCAGATTCTACACAAAGAGAGTTTCCAAACTGCTCTGTCAAAGGGAATGTTCAACTCTGTGACTTGAATGCAATCATCACAAAGTAGTTTCTGAGAATGCTTCTGTTTAGTTCTGTGCGGTTTATCCCGTTTCCAGCGAAATCCTCAGAGAGGCCCAAATATCCACTTGCACATTCTACAAATAGTGTGTTTCGAAACTGCTCCATCCAAAGGAATGTTCAGCTCTGTGAGTTAAACTCAGTCGTCACCAAGAGTTTTCTGTGAATGCTTCTGTTTTAGTTCTGTGCGGTTTATCCCGTTTCCAACGAAATCCTCAGAGAGGTCCAAATATCTACTTGCAGTTTCTACAGAAAGACCGTTTCCAACCTGAACTATCAAAGAAAGGTTCAACACTGTGAGTTGAATGCAAACATCACGAAGAAGGTTCAGAGAATGCTTCTGTTTAGTTCTGTGCGGTTTATCCCGTTTCCAACGAAATCCTCAGAGAGGACCAAATATCCACTTGCAGTTTCTACAAGAAGAGTGTTTCAAAGCTGAACTATCAAAGAAAGGTTCAGCACTGTGAGTTGAATGCAAACATCACGAAGAGGGTTCTGAGAATGCTTCTGTCTTCTTTCTATAGGAAGTTATTTCCTTTACTACGGTAGGCCTCAAAGAAGTGCAATTATCCCCTTGCAGTTTCTACAAAAAGAGTGTTTCAAACCTGAACTATCAAAGAAAGGTTCCACACTGTGAGTTGAATGCAGACATCACGAAGAAGGTTCTGAGAATGCTTCTGTTTAGTCAGCTGAAATTATCCCGTTTCCAACGAATTCCTCAGAGAGGTCCAAATATGCACTTGCAGATTCTGCAGAAAGTGTGTTTCTAAACTGCTACATCGCAAGGAATGTTCAGCTCTGTGAGTTCCACTCAATCATTCCAAAGAATTTTCTGAGAAAGCTTCTGTCTAGATGTCATGTGAAGATATACCCGTTTCGAACGAAGGACACAGAGTGGTCCAAATATCCACTTGTAGATCCTGCAAAAAGAGTGTTTCAAACGTGAACTTTGAAAGGGAAGTTCAACTCTGGGATTTGAATGCAAACATCACAAAGAAGATTCTGAGACTGCTTCTGTATAGTTTTTATGTGAAGATGATTCCGTTTCCAACGAAATCTTCAAAGAGGTCTACATGTCCCCTTGCAGATGCCACAGAAAGAGAGTTTCAAAACTGCGCTCTCAAAAGGAGTGTTCAACTCCGTGAGTTGAATGCAGTCATCACAGAGAAGCTTCTGAGAATGCTTCTATCTAGTATTTAGGTGAAGATATTTCCTTTTCCACCACAAACCACAAAGCCCTCCAAACGTCCACTTGCAGATTCTAGAAAAAGAGTGTTTCATAGCTGCTCTTTCCAAAGGAAAGTTCAACTCTGGGAGTTGAATACAAACATCACCAAAAAGTTCCTGAGAATGCATCTGTCTAGTTTTTCTATGAAGCTATTCCCTTTACTACCACAGGCCTCAAAGCGCTCCAAATCTCCACTTGCACATTCCACAACAAGAGTGTTTCCAAACTGCTCTATCAATAGGAATGTTCAACTCTGTGAGGTGAATGCAATCATCACAAAGCAGTTTCTGAGAATGCTTCCGTTTAGTTAGGTGCAGTTATCCCGTTTCCAACGAAATCCTCAGAGAGGTCCAAATATCCACTTGTAGATTCTACAAAAAGTGTGTCTCAAACCTGCTCCATCCAAAGGAATGGTCAGCTCTGTGATTTAAACTCAATCATCACAAAGTATTTTCTGAGAATGCTTCTGTCTAGATTTTATGCGAAGATATACCCGTTTCGAACGAAGGCCACAGAGTGGTCCAAATAGCCACTTGCAGATCCTACAGAAAGAGTGTTTCAAACCTGAACTATCAAAGGAAGGTTCAACTCTGGGATTTGAATGCAAACATCACCAAGAAGTTTCTGAGAATGCTTCTGTTTAGTTTTTATGTGAAGATATTCCCGTTTCCAAAGACATCTTCGGAGAGGTCCACATATCCACTTGCAGATTCCACAAAAAGAGAGTTTCAACACTGCTCTATCCATAGGAGGGTTCAACTCTGTGAGTTGAATGCAATCATCACAGAGAAGTTTCTGAGAAGGCTTCTCTCCAGTTTTTATGTGACCATAATTCGTTTTCCACCACAGGCCTGAAAGCGCTCCAAATGTCCACTTGCAGACACTACGAAAAGCATGTTTCAGAACTACTCTATGAAAAGCAACGTGAAACTCTGGGAGTTGAACACAAACATCACAGAGAAGTTTCTGAGAATGCTTCTGTTTTAGTTCTGTGCGTTTTATCCCGTTTCCAACGAAATCCTCAGAGAGGCCCAAATATCCACTTGCAGATTCCACAGAAAGAGTGATTGGAAACTGCTGTTTGAAAAGGAACCTTCAACTCTGTGAGTTGAATGCAATCATCACAAAGAAGTTTCTGACAATGCTTCTGTTTTAGTTCTGTGCGGTTTATCCCGTTTCCAACGAAATCCTCAGAGAGGACCAAACATCCACTTGCAGTTTCTACAAAAAGAGTGTTTCAAAGCTGCACTATCAAAGAAAGGTTCAGCACTGTGAGTTGAATGCAAACATCACGAAGAGGGCTCTGAGAATTCTTCTGTCTTCTTTTTATAGGAAGTTATTTCCTTTACTACGGTAGGCCTCAAAGAAGTGCAATTATCCCCTTGCAGTCTCTACAAAAAGAGTGTTTCAAACCTGAACTATCAAAGAAAGGTTCCACACTGTGAGTTGAATGCAGACATCACGAAGAAGGTTCTGAGAATGCTTCTGTTTAGTCAGCTGAAATTATCCCGTTTCCAACGAATTCCTCAGAGAGGTCCACATATGCACTTGCAGATTCTGCAGAAAGTGTGTTTCTAAACTGCTCCATCGCAAGGAATGTTCAGCTCTGTGAGTTCAACTCAATCATCCCAAAGAATTTTCTGAGAAAGCTTCTGTCTAGATGTCATGTGAAGATATACCCGTTTCGAACGAAGGACACAGAGTGGTCCAAATATCCACTTGTAGATCCTGCAAAAAGAGTGTTTCAAACGTGAACTTTGAAAGGAAAGTTCAACTCTGGGATTTGAATGCAAACATCACAAAGAAGATTCTGAGACTGCTTCTGTATAGTTTTGATGTGAAGATGATTCCGTTTCCAACGAAATCTTCAAAGAGGTCTACATGTCCCCTTGCAGATGCCACAGAAAGAGAGTTTCAAAACTGCGCTCTCAAAAGGAGTGTTCAACTCCGTGAGTTGAATGCAGTCATCACAGAGAAGCTTCTGAGAATGCTTCTATCTAGTATTTAGGTGAAGATATTTCCTTTTCCACCACAAACCACAAAGCCCTCCAAACGTCCACTTGCAGATTCTAGAAAAAGAGTGTTTCATAGCTGCTCTTTCCAAAGGAAAGTTCAACTCTGGGAGTTGAATACAAACATCATCAAAAAGTTCCTGAGAATGCATCTGTCTAGTTTTTCTATGAAGCTATTCCCTTTACTACCATAGGCCTCAAAGCGCTCCAAATCTCCACTTGCACATTCCACAACAAGAGTGTTTCCAAACTGCTCTATCAATAGGAATGTTCAACTCTGTGAGGTGAATGCAATCATCACTAAGCAGTTTCTGAGAATGCTTCCGTTTAGTTAGGTGCAGTTATCCCGTTTCCAACGAAATCCTCAGAGAGGTCCAAATATCCACTTGTAGATTCTATAAAAAGTGTGTCTCAAACCTGCTCCATCCAAAGGAATGTTCAGCTCTGTGATTTAAACTCAATCATCACAAAGTATTTTCTGAGAATGCTTCTGTCTAGATTTTATGCGAAGATATACCCGTTTCGAACGAAGGCCACAGAGTGGTCCAAATAGCCACTTGCAGATCCTACAAAAAGAGTGTTTCAAACCTGAACTATCAAAGGAAGGTTCAACTCTGGGATTTGAATGCAAACATCACCAAGAAGTTTCTGAGAATGCTTCTGTTTAGTTTTTATGTGAAGATATTCCCGTTTCCAAAGACATCTTCGGAGAGGTCCACATATCCACTTGCAGATTCCACAAAAAGAGAGTTTCAACACTGCTCTATCCATAGGAGGGTTCAACTCTGTGAGTTGAATGCAATCATCACAGAGAAGTTTCTGAGAAGGCTTCTCTCCAGTTTTTATGTGACCATAATTCGTTTTCCACCACAGGCCTGAAAGCGCTCCAAATGTCCACTTGCAGACACTACGAAAAGCATGTTTCAGAACTACTCTATGAAAAGCAACGTGAAACTCTGGGAGTTGAACACAAACATCACAGAGAAGTTTCTGAGAATGCTTCTGTTTTAGTTCTGTGCGTTTTATCCCGTTTCCAACGAAATCCTCAGAGAGGCCCAAATATCCACTTGCAGATTCCACAGAAAGAGTGATTGGAAACTGCTGTTTGAAAAGGAACCTTCAACTCTGTGAGTTGAATGCAATCATCACAAAGAAGTTTCTGACAATGCTTCTGTTTTAGTTCTGTGCGGTTTATCCCGTTTCCAACGAAATCCTCAGAGAGGACCAAACATCCACTTGCAGTTTCTACAAAAAGAGTGTTTCAAAGCTGCACTATCAAAGAAAGGTTCAGCACTGTGAGTTGAATGCAAACATCACGAAGAGGGCTCTGAGAATTCTTCTGTTTAGTTCTGTGCGGTTTATCCCGTTTCCAACGAAATCCTCAGAGAGGACCAAATATCCACTTGCAGTTTCTACAAGAAGAGTGTTTCAAAGCTGAACTATCAAAGAAAGGTTCAGCACTGTGAGTTGAATGCAAACATCACGAAGAGGGTTCTGAGAATGCTTCTGTCTTCTTTCTATAGGAAGTTATTTCCTTTACTACGGTAGGCCTCAAAGAAGTGCAATTATCCCCTTGCAGTTTCTACAAAAAGAGTGTTTCAAACCTGAACTATCAAAGAAAGGTTCCACACTGTGAGTTGAATGCAGACATCACGAAGAAGGTTCTGAGAATGCTTCTGTTTAGTCAGCTGAAATTATCCCGTTTCCAACGAATTCCTCAGAGAGGTCCAAATATGCACTTGCAGATTCTGCAGAAAGTGTGTTTCTAAACTGCTACATCGCAAGGAATGTTCAGCTCTGTGAGTTCCACTCAATCATCCCAAAGAATTTTCTGAGAAAGCTTCTGTCTAGATGTCGTGTGAAGATATACCCGTTTCGAACGAAGGACACAGAGTGGTCCAAATATCCACTTGTAGATCCTGCAAAAAGAGTGTTTCAAACGTGAACTTTGAAAGGAAAGTTCAACTCTGGGATTTGAATGCAAACATCACAAAGAAGATTCTGAGACTGCTTCTGTATAGTTTTTATGTGAAGATGATTCCGTTTCCAACGAAATCTTCAAAGAGGTCTACATGTCCCCTTGCAGATGCCACAGAAAGAGAGTTTCAAAACTGCGCTCTCAAAAGGAGTGTTCAACTCCGTGAGTTGAATGCAGTCATCACAGAGAAGCTTCTGAGAATGCTTCTATCTAGTATTTAGGTGAAGATATTTCCTTTTCCACCACAAACCACAAAGCCCTCCAAACGTCCACTTGCAGATTCTAGAAAAAGAGTGTTTCATAGCTGCTCTTTCCAAAGGAAAGTTCAACTCTGGGAGTTGAATACAAACATCACCAAAAAGTTCCTGAGAATGCATCTGTCTAGTTTTTCTATGAAGCTATTCCCTTTACTACCATAGGCCTCAAAGCGCTCCAAATCTCCACTTGCACATTCCACAACAAGAGTGTTTCCAAACTGCTCTATCAATAGGAATGTTCAACTCTGTGAGGTGAATGCAATCATCACAAAGCAGTTTCTGAGAATGCTTCCGTTTAGTTAGGTGCAGTTATCCCGTTTCCAACGAAATCCTCAGAGAGGTCCAAATATCCACTTGTAGATTCTACAAAAAGTGTGTCTCAAACCTGCTCCATCCAAAGGAATGGTCAGCTCTGTGATTTAAACTCAATCATCACAAAGTATTTTCTGAGAATGCTTCTGTCTAGATTTTATGCGAAGATATACCCGTTTCGAACGAAGGCCACAGAGTGGTCCAAATAGCCACTTGCAGATCCTACAGAAAGAGTGTTTCAAACCTGAACTATCAAAGGAAGGTTCAACTCTGGGATTTGAATGCAAACATCACCAAGAAGTTTCTGAGAATGCTTCTGTTTAGTTTTTATGTGAAGATATTCCCGTTTCCAAAGACATCTTCGGAGAGGTCCACATATCCACTTGCAGATTCCACAAAAAGAGAGTTTCAACACTGCTCTATCCATAGGAGGGTTCAACTCTGTGAGTTGAATGCAATCATCACAGAGAAGTTTCTGAGAAGGCTTCTCTCCAGTTTTTATGTGACCATAATTCGTTTTCCACCACAGGCCTGAAAGCGCTCCAAATGTCCACTTGCAGACACTACGAAAAGCATGTTTCAGAACTACTCTATGAAAAGCAACGTGAAACTCTGGGAGTTGAACACAAACATCACAGAGAAGTTTCTGAGAATGCTTCTGTTTTAGTTCTGTGCGTTTTATCCCGTTTCCAACGAAATCCTCAGAGAGGCCCAAATATCCACTTGCAGATTCCACAGAAAGAGTGATTGGAAACTGCTGTTTGAAAAGGAACCTTCAACTCTGTGAGTTGAATGCAATCATCACAAAGAAGTTTCTGACAATGCTTCTGTTTTAGTTCTGTGCGGTTTATCCCGTTTCCAACGAAATCCTCAGAGAGGACCAAACATCCACTTGCAGTTTCTACAAAAAGAGTGTTTCAAAGCTGCACTATCAAAGAAAGGTTCAGCACTGTGAGTTGAATGCAAACATCACGAAGAGGGCTCTGAGAATTCTTCTGTTTAGTTCTGTGCGGTTTATCCCGTTTCCAACGAAATCCTCAGAGAGGACCAAATATCCACTTGCAGTTTCTACAAGAAGAGTGTTTCAAAGCTGAACTATCAAAGAAAGGTTCAGCACTGTGAGTTGAATGCAAACATCACGAAGAGGGTTCTGAGAATGCTTCTGTCTTCTTTCTATAGGAAGTTATTTCCTTTACTACGGTAGGCCTCAAAGAAGTGCAATTATCCCCTTGCAGTTTCTACAAAAAGAGTGTTTCAAACCTGAACTATCAAAGAAAGGTTCCACACTGTGAGTTGAATGCAGACATCACGAAGAAGGTTCTGAGAATGCTTCTGTTTAGTCAGCTGAAATTATCCCGTTTCCAACGAATTCCTCAGAGAGGTCCAAATATGCACTTGCAGATTCTGCAGAAAGTGTGTTTCTAAACTGCTACATCGCAAGGAATGTTCAGCTCTGTGAGTTCCACTCAATCATCCCAAAGAATTTTCTGAGAAAGCTTCTGTCTAGATGTCGTGTGAAGATATACCCGTTTCGAACGAAGGACACAGAGTGGTCCAAATATCCACTTGTAGATCCTGCAAAAAGAGTGTTTCAAACGTGAACTTTGAAAGGAAAGTTCAACTCTGGGATTTGAATGCAAACATCACAAAGAAGATTCTGAGACTGCTTCTGTATAGTTTTTATGTGAAGATGATTCCGTTTCCAACGAAATCTTCAAAGAGGTCTACATGTCCCCTTGCAGATGCCACAGAAAGGGAGTTTCATAACTGCGCTCTCAAAAGGAGTGTTCAACTCCGTGAGTTGAATGCAGTCATCACAGAGAAGCTTCTGAGAATGCTTCTATCTAGTATTTAGGTGAAGATATTTCCTTTTCCACCACAAACCACAAAGCCCTCCAAACGTCCACTTGCAGATTCTAGAAAAAGAGTGTTTCATAGCTGCTCTTTCCAAAGGAAAGTTCAACTCTGGGAGTTGAATACAAACATCACCAAAAAGTTCCTGAGAATGCATCTGTCTAGTTTTTCTATGAAGCTATTCCCTTTACTACCATAGGCCTCAAAGCGCTCCAAATCTCCACTTGCACATTCCACAACAAGAGTGTTTCCAAACTGCTCTATCAATAGGAATGTTCAACTCTGTGAGGTGAATGCAATCATCACAAAGCAGTTTCTGAGAATGCTTCCGTTTAGTTAGGTGCAGTTATCCCGTTTCCAACGAAATCCTCAGAGAGGTCCAAATATCCACTTGTAGATTCTACAAAAAGTGTGTCTCAAACCTGCTCCATCCAAAGGAATGGTCAGCTCTGTGATTTAAACTCAATCATCACAAAGTATTTTCTGAGAATGCTTCTGTCTAGATTTTATGCGAAGATATACCCGTTTCGAACGAAGGCCACAGAGTGGTCCAAATAGCCACTTGCAGATCCTACAGAAAGAGTGTTTCAAACCTGAACTATCAAAGGAAGGTTCAACTCTGGGATTTGAATGCAAACATCACCAAGAAGTTTCTGAGAATGCTTCTGTTTAGTTTTTATGTGAAGATATTCCCGTTTCCAAAGACATCTTCGGAGAGGTCCACATATCCACTTGCAGATTCCACAAAAAGAGAGTTTCAACACTGCTCTATCCATAGGAGGGTTCAACTCTGTGAGTTGAATGCAATCATCACAGAGAAGTTTCTGAGAAGGCTTCTCTCCAGTTTTTATGTGACCATAATTCGTTTTCCACCACAGGCCTGAAAGCGCTCCAAATGTCCACTTGCAGACACTACGAAAAGCATGTTTCAGAACTACTCTATGAAAAGCAACGTGAAACTCTGGGAGTTGAACACAAACATCACAGAGAAGTTTCTGAGAATGCTTCTGTTTTAGTTCTGTGCGTTTTATCCCGTTTCCAACGAAATCCTCAGAGAGGCCCAAATATCCACTTGCAGATTCCACAGAAAGAGTGATTGGAAACTGCTGTTTGAAAAGGAACCTTCAACTCTGTGAGTTGAATGCAATCATCACAAAGAAGTTTCTGACAATGCTTCTGTTTTAGTTCTGTGCGGTTTATCCCGTTTCCAACGAAATCCTCAGAGAGGACCAAACATCCACTTGCAGTTTCTACAAAAAGAGTGTTTCAAAGCTGCACTATCAAAGAAAGGTTCAGCACTGTGAGTTGAATGCAAACATCACGAAGAGGGCTCTGAGAATTCTTCTGTTTAGTTCTGTGCGGTTTATCCCGTTTCCAACGAAATCCTCAGAGAGGACCAAATATCCACTTGCAGTTTCTACAAGAAGAGTGTTTCAAAGCTGAACTATCAAAGAAAGGTTCAGCACTGTGAGTTGAATGCAAACATCACGAAGAGGGTTCTGAGAATGCTTCTGTCTTCTTTCTATAGGAAGTTATTTCCTTTACTACGGTAGGCCTCAAAGAAGTGCAATTATCCCCTTGCAGTTTCTACAAAAAGAGTGTTTCAAACCTGAACTATCAAAGAAAGGTTCCACACTGTGAGTTGAATGCAGACATCACGAAGAAGGTTCTGAGAATGCTTCTGTTTAGTCAGCTGAAATTATCCCGTTTCCAACGAATTCCTCAGAGAGGTCCAAATATGCACTTGCAGATTCTGCAGAAAGTGTGTTTCTAAACTGCTACATCGCAAGGAATGTTCAGCTCTGTGAGTTCCACTCAATCATCCCAAAGAATTTTCTGAGAAAGCTTCTGTCTAGATGTCGTGTGAAGATATACCCGTTTCGAACGAAGGACACAGAGTGGTCCAAATATCCACTTGTAGATCCTGCAAAAAGAGTGTTTCAAACGTGAACTTTGAAAGGAAAGTTCAACTCTGGGATTTGAATGCAAACATCACAAAGAAGATTCTGAGACTGCTTCTGTATAGTTTTTATGTGAAGATGATTCCGTTTCCAACGAAATCTTCAAAGTAGGTCTACATGTCCCCTTGCAGATGCCACAGAAAGAGAGTTTCAAAACTGCGCTCTCAAAAGGAGTGTTCAACTCCGTGAGTTGAATGCAGTCATCACAGAGAAGCTTCTGAGAATGCTTCTATCTAGTATTTAGGTGAAGATATTTCCTTTTCCACCACAAACCACAAAGCCCTCCAAACGTCCACTTGCAGATTCTAGAAAAAGAGTGTTTCATAGCTGCTCTTTCCAAAGGAAAGTTCAACTCTGGGAGTTGAATACAAACATCACCAAAAAGTTCCTGAGAATGCATTCTGTCTAGTTTTTCTATGAAGCTATTCCCTTTACTACCATAGGCCTCAAAGCGCTCCAAATCTCCACTTGCACATTCCACAACAAGAGTGTTTCCAAACTGCTCTATCAATAGGAATGTTCAACTCTGTGAGGTGAATGCAATCATCACAAAGCAGTTTCTGAGAATGCTTCCGTTTAGTTAGGTGCAGTTATCCCGTTTCCAACGAAATCCTCAGAGAGGTCCAAATATCCACTTGTAGATTCTACAAAAAGTGTGTCTCAAACCTGCTCCATCCAAAGGAATGTTCAGCTCTGTGATTTAAACTCAATCATCACAAAGTATTTTCTGAGAATGCTTCTGTCTAGATTTTATGCGAAGATATACCCGTTTCAAACGAAGGCCACAGAGTGGTCCAAATAGCCACTTGCAGATCCTACAAAAAGAGTGTTTCAAACCTGAACTATCAAAGGAAGGTTCAACTCTGGGATTTGAATGCAAACATCACCAAGAAGTTTCTGAGAATGCTTCTGTTTAGTTTTTATGTGAAGATATTCCCGTTTCCAAAGACATCTTCGGAGAGGTCCACATATCCACTTGCAGATTCCACAAAAAGAGAGTTTCAACACTGCTCTATCCATAGGAGGGTTCAACTCTGTGAGTTGAATGCAATCATCACAGAGAAGTTTCTGAGAAGGCTTCTCTCCAGTTTTTATGTGACCATAATTCGTTTTCCACCACAGGCCTGAAAGCGCTCCAAATGTCCACTTGCAGACACTACGAAAAGCATGTTTCAGAACTACTCTATGAAAAGCAACGTGAAACTCTGGGAGTTGAACACAAACATCACAGAGAAGTTTCTGAGAATGCTTCTGTTTTAGTTCTGTGCGTTTTATCCCGTTTCCAACGAAATCCTCAGAGAGGCCCAAATATCCACTTGCAGATTCCACAGAAAGAGTGATTGGAAACTGCTGTTTGAAAAGGAACCTTCAACTCTGTGAGTTGAATGCAATCATCACAAAGAAGTTTCTGACAATGCTTCTATCTAGGCTTTTACGGGAAGATAATTCCTTTTCCACCACAGGCCTCAAAGCCCTCCAAATGTCCACTTGCAGATTCTGGAAAAAGAGTGTTTCAAAGCTTCTCTCTCGAAAGGAAAGTTCAACTCTGTGAGTTGAATGCAAGCATCACAAAGAAGTTTCTGAGAATGCTACTGTCTAGCTTTTATATGAAGCTATTTCCTTTACTACCATAGGCCTCAAAGCGGTCCATATCTCCACTTGCAGATTCTACACAAAGAGAGTTTCCAAACTGCTCTGTCAAAGGGAATGTTCAACTCTGTGTCTTGAATGCAATCATCACAAAGTAGTTTCTGAGAATGCTTCTGTTTAGTTCTGTGCGGTTTATCCCGTTTCCAACGAAATCCTCAGAGAGGCCCACATATCCACTTGCACATTCTACAAATAGTGTGTTTCGAAACTGCTCCATCCAAAGGAATGTTCAGCTCTGTGAGTTAAACTCAGTCGTCACCAAGAGTTTTCTGTGAATGCTTCTGTTTTAGTTCTGTGCGGTTTATCCCGTTTCCAACGAAATCCTCAGAGAGGTCCAAATATCTACTTGCAGTTTCTACAGAAAGACCGTTTCAAACCTGAACTATCAAAGAAAGGTTCAACACTGTGAGTTGAATGCAAACATCACGAAGAAGGTTCTGAGAATGCTTCTGTTTAGTTCTGTGCGGTTTATCCCGTTTCCAACGAAATCCTCAGAGAGGACCAAATATCCACTTGCAGTTTCTACAAGAAGAGTGTTTCAAAGCTGAACTATCAAAGAAAGGTTCAGCACTGTGAGTTGAATGCAAACATCACGAAGAGGATCCTGAGAATGCTTCTGTCTTCTTTCTATAGGAAGTTATTTCCTTTACTACGGTAGGCCTCAAAGAAGTGCAATTATCCCCTTGCAGTTTCTACAAAAAGAGTGTTTCAAACCTGAACTATCAAAGAAAGGTTCCACACTGTGAGTTGAATGCAGACATCACGAAGAAGGTTCTGAGAATGCTTCTGTTTAGTCAGCTGTAATTATCCCGTTTCCAACGAATTCCTCAGAGAGGTCCAAATATGCACTTGCAGATTCTGCAGAAAGTGTGTTTCTAAACTGCTACATCGCAAGGAATGTTCAGCTCTGTGAGTTCCACTCAATCATCCCAAAGAATTTTCTGAGAAAGCTTCTGTCTAGATGTCATGTGAAGATATACCCGTTTCGAACGAAGGACACAGAGTGGTCCAAATATCCACTTGTAGATCCTGCAAAAAGAGTGTTTCAAACGTGAACTTTGAAAGGAAAGTTCAACTCTGGGATTTGAATGCAAACATCACAAAGAAGATTCTGAGACTGCTTCTGTATAGTTTTTATGTGAAGATGATTCCGTTTCCAACGAAATCTTCAAAGAGGTCTACATGTCCCCTTGTAGATGCCACAGAAAGAGAGTTTCAAAACTGCGCTCTCAAAAGGAGTGTTCAACTCCGTGAGTTGAATGCAGTCATCACAGAGAAGCTTCTGAGAATGCTTCTATCTAGTATTTAGGTGAAGATATTTCCTTTTCCACCACAAACCGCAAAGCCCTCCAAACGTCCACTTGCAGATTCTAGAAAAAGAGTGTTTCATAGCTGCTCTTTCCAAAGGAAAGTTGAACTCTGGGAGTTGAATACAAACATCACCAAAAAGTTCCTGAGAATGCATCTGTCTAGTTTTTCTATGAAGCTATTCCCTTTACTACCATAGACCTCAAAGCGCTCCAAATCTCCACTTGCACATTCCACAACAAGAGTGTTTCCAAACTGCTCTATCAATAGGAATGTTCAACTCTGTGAGGTGAATGCAATCATCACAAAGCAGTTTCTGAGAATGCTTCCGTTTAGTTAGGTGCAGTTATCCCGTTTCTAACGAAATCCTCAGAGAGGTCCAAATATCCACTTGTAGATTCTACAAAAAGTGTGTCTCAAACCTGCTCCATCCAAAGGAATGTTCAGCTCTGTGAGTTAAACTCAATCATCACAAAGTATTTTCTGAGAATGCTTCTGTCTAGATTTTATGCGAAGATATACCCGTTTCGAACGAAGGCCACAGAGTGGTCCAAATATCCACTTGCAGATCCTACAAAAAGAGTGTTTCAAACCTGAACTATCAAAGGAAGGTTCAACTCTGGGATTTGAATGCAAACATCACCAAGAAGTTTCTGAGAATGCTTCTGTTTAGTTTTTATGTGAAGATATTCCCGTTTCCAAAGACATCTTCGGAGAGGTCCACATATCCACTTGCAGATTCCACAAAAAGAGAGTTTCAACACTGCTCTATCCATAGGAGGGTTCAACTCTGTGAGTTGAATGCAATCATCACAGAGAAGTTTCTGAGAAGGCTTCTCTCCAGTTTTTATGTGACCATAATTCGTTTTCCACCACAGGCCTGAAAGCGCTCCAAATGTCCACTTGTAGACACTACGAAAAGCATGTTTCAGAACTACTCTATGAAAAGCAATGTGAAACTCTGGGAGTTGAACACAAACATCACAGAGAAGTTTCTGAGAATGCTTCTGTTTAGCTTTCCTGTGAAGATTCTCCCGTTTCCAACGAAATCTTCAAAATAGGTCCAAATATCCACTTGCAGATTCCACAGAAAGAGTGATTGGAAACTGCTCTTTGAAAAGGAACCTTCAACTCTGTGAGTTGAATGCAATCATCACAAAGAAGTTTCTGACAATGCTTCTATCTAGCTTTTACGGGAAGATAATTCCTTTTCCACCACAGGCCTCAAAGCCCTCCAAATGTCCACTTGCAGATTCCGGAAAAAGAGTGTTTCAAAGCTTCTCTCTCCAAAGGAAAGTTCAACTCTGTGAGTTGAATGCAAGCATCACAAAGAAGTTTCTGAGAATGCTACTGTCTAGCTTTTATATGAAGCTATTTCCTTTACTACCATAGGCCTCAAAGCGGTCCATATCTCCACTTGCAGATTCTACACAAAGAGAGTTTCCAAACTGCTCTGTCAAAGGGAATGTTCAACTCTGTGACTTGAATGCAATCATCACAAAGTAGTTTCTGAGAATGCTTCTCTTTTAGTTCTGTGCATTTTATCCCGTTTCCAACGAAATCCTCAGAGAGGCCCAAATATCCACTTGCAGATTCTACAAATAGTGTGTTTCGAAACTGCTCCATCCAAAGGAATGTTCAGCTCTGTGAGTTAAACTCAGTCGTCACCAAGAGTTTTCTGTGAATGCTTCTGTTTAGTTCTGTGCGGTTTATCCCGTTTCCAACGAAATCCTCAGAGAGGACCAAATATCCACTTGCAGTTTCTACAAGAAGAGTGTTTCAAAGCTGCACTATCAAAGAAAGGTTCAGCACTGTGAGTTGAATGCAAACATCACGAAGAGGGCTCTGAGAATGCTTCTGTCTTCTTTCTATAGGAAGTTATTTCCTTTACTACGGTTGGCCTCAAAGAAGTGCAATTATCCCCTTGCAGTTTCTACAAAAAGATTGTTTCAAACCTGAACTATCAAAGAAAGGTTCCACACTGTGAGTTGAATGCAGACATCACGAAGAAGGTTCTGAGAATGCTTCTGTTTAGTCAGCTGAAATTATCCCGTTTCCAACGAATTCCTCAGAGAGGTCCAAATATGCACTTGCAGATTCTGCAGAAAGTGTGTTTCTAAACTGCTACATCGCAAGGAATGTTCAGCTCTGTGAGTTCCACTCAATCATCCCAAAGAATTTTCTGAGAAAGCTTCTGTCTAGATGTCATGTGAAGATATACCCGTTTCGAACGGAGGACACGGAGTGGTCCAAATATCCACTTGTAGATCCTGCAAAAAGAGTGTTTCAAACGTGAACTTTGAAAGGAAAGTTCAACTCTGGGATTTGAATGCAAACATCACAAAGAAGATTCTGAGACTGCTTCTGTATAGTTTTTATGTGAAGATGATTCCGTTTCCAACGAAATCTTCAAAGAGGTCCACATGTCCCCTTGCGGATGCCACAGAAGGAGAGTTTCAAAACTGCGCTCTCAAAAGGAGTGTTCAACTCCGTGAGTTGAATGCAGTCATCACAGAGAAGCTTCTGAGAATGCTTCTATCTAGTATTTAGGTGAAGATATTTCCTTTTCCACCACAAACCACAAAGCCCTCCAAACGTCCACTTGCAGATTCTAGAAAAAGAGTGTTTCATAGCTGCTCTTTCCAAAGGAAAGTTCAACTCTGGGAGTTGAATACAAACATCACCAAAAAGTTCCTGAGAATGCATCTGTCTAGTTTTTCTATGAAGCTATTCCCTTTACTAACATAGGCCTCAAAGCGCTCCAAATCTCCACTTGCACATTCCACAACAAGAGTGTTTCCAAACTGCTCTATCAATAGGAATGTTCAACTCTGTGAGGTGAATGCAATCATCACAAAGCAGTTTCTGAGAATGCTTCCGTTTAGTTAGGTGCAGTTATCCCGTTTCCAACGAAATCCTCAGAGAGGTCCAAATATCCACTTGTAGATTCTACAAAAAGTGTGTCTCAAACCTGCTCCATCCAAAGGAATGGTCAGCTCTGTGATTTAAACTCAATCATCACAAAGTATTTTCTGAGAATGCTTCTGTCTAGATTTTATGCGAAGATATACCCGTTTCGAACGAAGGCCACAGAGTGGTCCAAATAGCCACTTGCAGATCCTACAGAAAGAGTGTTTCAAACCTGAACTATCAAAGGAAGGTTCAACTCTGGGATTTGAATGCAAACATCACCAAGAAGTTTCTGAGAATGCTTCTGTTTAGTTTTTATGTGAAGATATTCCCGTTTCCAAAGACATCTTCGGAGAGGTCCACATATCCAATTGCAGATTCCACAAAAAGAGAGTTTCAACACTGCTCTATCCATAGGAGGGTTCAACTCTGTGAGTTGAATGCAATCATCACAGAGAAGTTTCTGAGAAGGCTTCTCTCCAGTTTTTATGTGACCATAATTCGTTTTCCACCACAGGCCTGAAAGCGCTCCAAATGTCCACTTGCAGACACTACGAAAAGCATGTTTCAGAACTACTCTATGAAAAGCAACGTGAAACTCTGGGAGTTGAACACAAACATCACAGAGAAGTTTCTGAGAATGCTTCTGTTTTAGTTCTGTGCGTTTTATCCCGTTTCCAACGAAATCCTCAGAGAGGCCCAAATATCCACTTGCAGATTCCACAGAAAGAGTGATTGGAAACTGCTGTTTGAAAAGGAACCTTCAACTCTGTGAGTTGAATGCAATCATCACAAAGAAGTTTCTGACAATGCTTCTATCTAGCTTTTACGGGAAGTTAATTCCTTTTCCACCACAGGCCTCAAAGCCCTCCAAATGTCCACTTGCAGATTCTGGAAAAAGAGTGTTTCAAAGCTTCTCTCTCGAAAGGAAAGTTCAACTCTGTGAGTTGAATGCAAGCATCACAAAGAAGTTTCTGAGAATGCTACCGTCTAGCTTTTATATGAAGCTATTTCCTTTACTACCATAGGCCTCAAAGCGGTCCATATCTCCACTTGCAGATTCTACACAAAAAGAGTTTCCAAACTGCTCTGTCAAAGGGAATGTTCAACTCTGTGACTTGAATGCAATCATCACAAAGTAGTTTCTGAGAATGCTTCTGTTTAGTTCTGTGCGGTTTATCCCGTTTCCAACGAAATCCTCAGAGAGGCCCAAATATCCACTTGCACATTCTACAAATAGTGTGTTTCGAAACTGCTCCATCCAAAGGAATGTTCAGCTCTGTGAGTTAAACTCAGTCGTCACCAAGAGTTTTCTGTGAATGCTTCTGTTTTAGTTCTGTGCGGTTTATCCTGTTTCCAACGAAATCCTCAGAGAGGTCAAAATATCTACTTGCAGTTTCCACAGAAAGACCGTTTCAATCCTGAACTATCAAAGAAAGGTTCAACACTGTGAGTTGAATGCAAACATCACGAAGAAGGTTTTGAGAATGCTTCTGTTTAGTTCTGTGCGGTTTATCCCGTTTCCAACGAAATCCTCAGAGAGCACCAAATATCCACTTGCAGTTTCTACAAAAAGAGTGTTTCAAAGCTGTACTATCAAAGAAAGTTTCAGCACTGTGAGTTCAATGTAAACATCACGAAGAGGGTTCTGAGAATGCTTCTGTCTTCTTTTTATAGGAAGTTATTTCCTTTACTACGGTAGGCCTCAAAGAAGTGCAATTATCCCCTTGCAGTTTCTACAAAAAGAGTGTTTCAAACCTGAACTATCAAAGAAAGTTTCCACACTGTGAGTTGAATGCAGACATCACGAAGAAGGTTCTGAGAATGCTTCTGTTTAGTCAGCTGAAATTATCCCGTTTCCAACGAATTCCTCAGAGAGGTCCAAATATGCACTTGCAGATTCTGCAGAAAGTCTGTTTCTAAACTGCTACATCGCAAGGAATGTTCAGCTCTGTGAGTTCAACTCAATCATCCCAAAGAATTTTCTGAGAAAGCTTCTGTCTAGATGTCATGTGAAGATATACCCGTTTGGAACGAAGGACACAGAGTGGTCCAAATATCCACTTGTAGATCCTGCAAAAAGAGTGTTTCAAACGTGAACTTTGAAAGGAAAGTTCAACTCTGGGATTTGAATGTAAACATCACAAAGAAGATTCTGAGACTGCTTCTGTATAGTTTTTATGTGAAGATGATTCCGTTTCCAACGAAATCTTCAAAGAGGTCTACATGTCCCCTTGCAGATGCCACAGAAAGAGAGTTTCAAAACTGCGCTCTCAAAAGGAGTGTTCAACTCCGTGAGTTGAATGCAGTCATCACAGAGAAGCTTCTGAGAATGCTTCTCTCTAGTATTTAGGTGAAGATATTTCCTTTTCCACCACAAACCACAAAGCCCTCCAAACGTCCACTTGCAGATTCTAGAAAAAGAGTGTTTCATAGCTGCTCTTTCCAAAGGAAAGTTCAACTCTGGGAGTTGAATACAAACATCACCAAAAAGTTCCTGAGAATGCATCGGTCTAGTTTTTCTATGAAGCTATTCCCTTTACTACCATAGGCCTCAAAGCGCTCCAAATCTCCACTTGCACATTCCACAACAAGAGTGTTTCCAAACTGCTCTATCAATAGGAATGTTCAACTCTGTGAGGTGAATGCAATCATCACAAAGCAGTTTCTGAGAATGCTTCCGTTTAGTTAGGTGCAGTTATACCGTTTCCAACGAAATCCTCAGAGAGGTCCAAATATCCACTTGTAGATTCTACAAAAAGTGTGTCTCAAACCTGCTCCATCCAAAGGAATGTTCAGCTCTGTGATTTAAACTCAATCATCACAAAGTATTTTCTGAGAATGCTTCTGTCTAGATTTTATGCGAAGATATACCCGTTTCGAACGAAGGCCACAGAGTGGTCCAAATAGCCACTTGCAGATCCTACAAAAAGAGTGTTTCAAACCTGAACTATCAAAGGAAGGTTCAACTCTGGGATTTGAATGCAAACATCACCAAGAAGTTTCTGAGAATGCTTCTGTTTAGTTTTTATGTGAAGATATTCCCGTTTCCAAAGACATCTTCGGAGAGGTCCACATATCCACTTGCAGATTCCACAAAAAGAGAGTTTCAACACTGCTCTATCCATAGGAGGGTTCAACTCTGTGAGTTGAATGCAATCATCACAGAGAAGTTTCTGAGAAGGCTTCTCTCCAGTTTTTATGTGACCATAATTCGTTTTCCACCGCAGGCCTGAAAGCACTCCAAATGTCCACTTGCAGACACTACGAAAAGCATGTTTCAGAACTACTCTATGAAAATCAATGTGAAACTCTGGGAGTTGAACACAAACATCACAGAGAAGTTTCTGAGTATGCTTCTGTTTAGCTTTTCTGTGAAGATTCTCCCGTTTCCAACGAAATCTTCAAACTAGGTCCAAATATCCACTTGCAGATTCCACAGAAAGAGTGATTGGAAACTGCTGTTTGAAAAGGAACCTTCAACTCTGTGAGTTGAATGCAATCATCACAAAGAAGTTTCTGACAATGCTTCCATCTAGCTTTTACGGGAAGGTAATTCCTTTTCCACCACAGGCCTCAAAGCCCTCCAAATGTCCACTTGCAGATTCTGGAAAAGGAGTGTTCCAAAGCTTCTCTCTCGAAAGGAAAGTTCAACTCTGTGAGTTGAATGCAAGCATCACAAAGAAGTTTCTGAGAATGCTACTGTCTAGCTTTTATATGAAGCTATTTCCTTTACTACCATAGGCCTCAAAGCGGTCCATATCTCCACTTGCAGATTCTACACAAAGAGAGTTTCCAAACTGCTCTGTCAAAGGGAATGTTCAACTCTGTGACTTGAATGCAATCATCACAAAGTAGTTTCTGAGAATGCTTCTGTTTTAGTTCTGTGCGTTTTATCCCGTTTCCAACGAAATCCTCAGAGAGGCCCCAATATCCACTTGCAGATTCTACAAATAGTGTGTTTCGAAACTGCTCCATCCAAAGGAATGTTCAGCTCTGTGAGTTAAACTCAGTCGTCACCAAGAGTTTTCTGTGAATGCTTCTGTTTTAGTTCTGTGCGGTTTATCCCGTTTCCAACGAAATCCTCAGAGAGGACCAAACATCCAGTTGCAGTTTCTACAAAAAGAGTGTTTCAAAGCTGCACTATCAAAGGAAGGTTCAGCACTGTGAGTTGAATGCAAACATCACGAAGAGGGCTCTGAGAATGCTTCTGTTTAGTTCTGTGCGGTTTATCCCGTTTCCAACGAAATCCTCAGAGAGGACCAAATATCCACTTGCAGTTTCTACAAGAAGAGTGTTTCAAAGCTGAACTATCAAAGAAAGGTTCAGCACTGTGAGTTGAATGCAAACATCACGAAGAGGGTTCTGAGAATGCTTCTGTCTTCTTTCTATAGGAAGTTATTTCCTTTACTACGGTAGGCCTCAAAGAAGTGCAATTATCCCCTTGCAGTTTCTACAAAAAGAGTGTTTCAAACCTGAACTATCAAAGAAAGGTTCCACACTGTGAGTTGAATGCAGACATCACGAAGAAGGTTCTGAGAATGCTTCTGTTTAGTCAGCTGAAATTATCCCGTTTCCAACGAATTCCTCAGAGAGGTCCAAATATGCACTTGCAGATTCTGCAGAAAGTGTGTTTCTAAACTGCTACATCGCAAGGAATGTTCAGCTCTGTGAGTTCCACTCAATCATCCCAAAGAATTTTCTGAGAAAGCTTCTGTCTAGATGTCATGTGAAGATATACCCGTTTCGAACGAAGGACACAGAGTGGTCCAAATATCCACTTGTAGATCCTGCAAAAAGAGTGTTTCAAACGTGAAGTTTGAAAGGAAAGTTCAACTCTGGGATTTGAATGCAAACATCACAAAGAAGATTCTGAGACTGCTTCTGTATAGTTTTTATGTGAAGATGATTCCGTTTCCAACGAAATCTTCAAAGAGGTCCACATGTCCCCTTGCGGATGCCACAGAAAGAGAGTTTCAAAACTGCGCTCTCAAAAGGAGTGTTCAACTCCGTGAGTTGAATGCAGTCATCACAGAGAAGCTTCTGAGAATGCTTCTATCTAGTATTTAGGTGAAGATATTTCCTTTTCCACCACAAACCACAAAGCCCTCCAAACGTCCACTTGCAGATTCTAGAAAAAGAGTGTTTCATAGCTGCTCTTTCCAAAGGAAAGTTCAACTCTGGGAGTTGAATACAAACATCACCAAAAAGTTCCTGAGAATGCATCTGTCTAGTTTTTCTATGAAGCTATTCCCTTTACTACCACAGGCCTCAAAGCGCTCCAAATCTCCACTTGCACATTCCACAACAAGAGTGTTTCCAAACTGCTCTATCAATAGGAATGTTCAACTCTGTGAGGTGAATGCAATCATCACAAAGCAGTTTCTGAGAATGCTTCCGTTTAGTTAGGTGCAGTTATCCCGTTTCCAACGAAATCCTCAGAGAGGTCCAAATATCCACTTGTAGATTCTACAAAAAGTGTGTCTCAAACCTGCTCCATCCAAAGGAATGGTCAGCTCTGTGATTTAAACTCAATCATCACAAAGTATTTTCTGAGAATGCTTCTGTCTAGATTTTATGCGAAGATATACCCGTTTCGAACGAAGGCCACAGAGTGGTCCAAATAGCCACTTGCAGATCCTACAGAAAGAGTGTTTCAAACCTGAACTATCAAAGGAAGGTTCAACTCTGGGATTTGAATGCAAACATCACCAAGAAGTTTCTGAGAATGCTTCTGTTTAGTTTTTATGTGAAGATATTCCCGTTTCCAAAGACATCTTCGGAGAGGTCCACATATCCACTTGCAGATTCCACAAAAAGAGAGTTTCAACACTGCTCTATCCATAGGAGGGTTCAACTCTGTGAGTTGAATGCAATCATCACAGAGAAGTTTCTGAGAAGGCTTCTCTCCAGTTTTTATGTGACCATAATTCGTTTTCCACCACAGGCCTGAAAGCGCTCCAAATGTCCACTTGCAGACACTACGAAAAGCATGTTTCAGAACTACTCTATGAAAAGCAACGTGAAACTCTGGGAGTTGAACACAAACATCACAGAGAAGTTTCTGAGAATGCTTCTGTTTTAGTTCTGTGCGTTTTATCCCGTTTCCAACGAAATCCTCAGAGAGGCCCAAATATCCACTTGCAGATTCCACAGAAAGAGTGATTGGAAACTGCTGTTTGAAAAGGAACCTTCAACTCTGTGAGTTGAATGCAATCATCACAAAGAAGTTTCTGACAATGCTTCTGTTTTAGTTCTGTGCGGTTTATCCCGTTTCCAACGAAATCCTCAGAGAGGACCAAACATCCACTTGCAGTTTCTACAAAAAGAGTGTTTCAAAGCTGCACTATCAAAGAAAGGTTCAGCACTGTGAGTTGAATGCAAACATCACGAAGAGGGCTCTGAGAATTCTTCTGTTTAGTTCTGTGCGGTTTATCCCGTTTCCAACGAAATCCTCAGAGAGGACCAAATATCCACTTGCAGTTTCTACAAGAAGAGTGTTTCAAAGCTGAACTATCAAAGAAAGGTTCAGCACTGTGAGTTGAATGCAAACATCACGAAGAGGGTTCTGAGAATGCTTCTGTCTTCTTTCTATAGGAAGTTATTTCCTTTACTACGGTAGGCCTCAAAGAAGTGCAATTATCCCCTTGCAGTTTCTACAAAAAGAGTGTTTCAAACCTGAACTATCAAAGAAAGGTTCCACACTGTGAGTTGAATGCAGATATCACGAAGAAGGTTCTGAGAATGCTTCTGTTTAGTCAGCTGAAATTATCCCGTTTCCAACGAATTCCTCAGAGAGGTCCAAATATGCACTTGCAGATTCTGCAGAAAGTGTGTTTCTAAACTGCTACATCGCAAGGAATGTTCAGCTCTGTGAGTTCCACTCAATCATCCCAAAGAATTTTCTGAGAAAGCTTCTGTCTAGATGTCGTGTGAAGATATACCCGTTTCGAACGAAGGACACAGAGTGGTCCAAATATCCACTTGTAGATCCTGCAAAAAGAGTGTTTCAAACGTGAACTTTGAAAGGAAAGTTCAACTCTGGGATTTGAATGCAAACATCACAAAGAAGATTCTGAGACTGCTTCTGTATAGTTTTTATGTGAAGATGATTCCGTTTCCAACGAAATCTTCAAAGAGGTCTACATGTCCCCTTGCAGATGCCACAGAAAGAGAGTTTCAAAACTGCGCTCTCAAAAGGAGTGTTCAACTCCGTGAGTTGAATGCAGTCATCACAGAGAAGCTTCTGAGAATGCTTCTATCTAGTATTTAGGTGAAGATATTTCCTTTTCCACCACAAACCACAAAGCCCTCCAAACGTCCACTTGCAGATTCTAGAAAAAGAGTGTTTCATAGCTGCTCTTTCCAAAGGAAAGTTCAACTCTGGGAGTTGAATACAAACATCACCAAAAGGTTCCTGAGAATGCATCTGTCTAGTTTTTCTATGAAGCTATTCCCTTTACTACCATAGGCCTCAAAGCGCTCCAAATCTCCACTTGCACATTCCACAACAAGAGTGTTTCCAAACTGCTCTATCAATAGGAATGTTCAACTCTGTGAGGTGAATGCAACCATCACAAAGCAGTTTCTGAGAATGCTTCCGTTTAGTTAGGTGCAGTTATCCCGTTTCCAACGAAATCCTCAGAGAGGTCCAAATATCCACTTGTAGATTCTACAAAAAGTGTGTCTCAAACCTGCTCCATCCAAAGGAATGGTCAGCTCTGTGATTTAAACTCAATCATCACAAAGTATTTTCTGAGAATGCTTCTGTCTAGATTTTATGCGAAGATATACCCGTTTCGAACGAAGGCCACAGAGTGGTCCAAATAGCCACTTGCAGATCCTACAGAAAGAGTGTTTCAAACCTGAACTATCAAAGGAAGGTTCAACTCTGGGATTTGAATGCAAACATCACCAAGAAGTTTCTGAGAATGCTTCTGTTTAGTTTTTATGTGAAGATATTCCCGTTTCCAAAGACATCTTCGGAGAGGTCCACATATCCACTTGCAGATTCCACAAAAAGAGAGTTTCAACACTGCTCTATCCATAGGAGGGTTCAACTCTGTGAGTTGAATGCAATCATCACAGAGAAGTTTCTGAGAAGGCTTCTCTCCAGTTTTTATGTGACCATAATTCGTTTTCCACCACAGGCCTGAAAGCGCTCCAAATGTCCACTTGCAGACACTACGAAAAGCATGTTTCAGAACTACTCTATGAAAAGCAACGTGAAACTCTGGGAGTTGAACACAAACATCACAGAGAAGTTTCTGAGAATGCTTCTGTTTAGCTTTTCTGTGAAGATTCTCCCGTTTCCAACGAAATCTTCAAAGAGTTCCAAATATCCACTTGCAGATTCCACAGAAAGAGTGATTGGAAACTGCTGTTTGAAAAGGAACCTTCAACTCTGTGACTTGAATGCAATCATCACAAAGAAGTTTCTGACAATGCTTCTGTTTTAGTTCTGTGCGGTTTATCCCGTTTCCAACGAAATCCTCAGAGAGGACCAAACATCCACTTGCAGTTTCTACAAAAAGAGTGTTTCAAAGCTGCACTATCAAAGAAAGGTTCAGCACTGTGAGTTGAATGCAAACATCACGAAGAGGGCTCTGAGAATTCTTCTGTTTAGTTCTGTGCGGTTTATCCCGTTTCCAACGAAATCCTCAGAGAGGACCAAATATCCACTTGCAGTTTCTACAAGAAGAGTGTTTCAAAGCTGAACTATCAAAGAAAGGTTCAGCACTGTGAGTTGAATGCAAACATCACGAAGAGGGTTCTGAGAATGCTTCTGTCTTCTTTCTATAGGAAGTTATTTCCTTTACTACGGTAGGCCTCAAAGAAGTGCAATTATCCCCTTGCAGTTTCTACAAAAAGAGTGTTTCAAACCTGAACTATCAAAGAAAGGTTCCACACTGTGAGTTGAATGCAGACATCACGAAGAAGGTTCTGAGAATTCTTCTGTTTAGTCAGCTGAAATTATCCCGTTTCCAACGAATTCCTCAGAGAGGTCCAAATATGCACTTGCAGATTCTGCAGAAAGTGTGTTTCTAAACTGCTACATCACAAGGAATGTTCAGCTCTGTGAGTTCAACTCAATCAACCCAAAGAATTTTCTGAGAAAGCTTCTGTCTAGATGTCATGTGAAGATATACCCTTTTCGAACGAAGGACACAGAGTGGTCCAAATATCCACTTGTAGATCCTGCAAAAAGAGTGTTTCAAACGTGAACTTTGAAAGGAAAGTTCAACTCTGGGATTTGAATGCAAACATCACAAAGAAGTTTCTGAGACTGCTTCTGTATAGTTTTGATGTGAAGATGATTCCGTTTCCAACGAAATCTTCAAAGAGGTCTACATGTCCCCTTGCAGATGCCACAGAAAGAGAGTTTCAAAACTGCGCTCTCAAAAGGAGTGTTCAACTCCGTGAGTTGAATGCAGTCATCACAGAGAAGCTTCTGAGAATGCTTCTATCTAGTATTTAGGTGAAGATAATTCCTTTTCCACCACAAACCACAAAGCCCTCCAAACGTCCACTTGCAGATTCTAGAAAAAGAGTGTTTCATAGCTGCTCTTTCCAAAGGAAAGTTCAACTCTGGGAGTTGAATACAAACATCACCAAAAAGTTCCTGAGAATGCATCTGTCTAGTTTTTCTATGAAGCTATTCCCTTTACTACCATAGGCCTCAAAGCGCTCCAAATCTCCACTTGCACATTCCACAACAAGAGTGTTTCCAAACTGCTCTATCAATAGGAATGTTCAACTCTGTGAGGTGAATGCAATCATCACAAAGCAGTTTCTGAGAATGCTTCCGTTTAGTTAGGTGCAGTTATCCCGTTTCCAACGAAATCCTCAGAGAGGTCCAAATATCCACTTGTAGATTCTACAAAAAGTGTGTCTCAAACCTGCTCCATCCAAAGGAATGTTCAGCTCTGTGAGTTCAACTCAATCATCACAAAGTATTTTCTGAGAATGCTTCTGTCTAGATTTTATGCGAAGATGTACCCGTTTCGAACGAAGGCCACAGAGTGGTCCAAATATCCACTTGCAGATCCTACAAACAGAGTGTTTCAAACCTGAACTCTCAAAGGAAGGTTCAACTCTGGGATTTGAATAGAAACATCACCAAGAAGTTTCTGAGAATGCTTCTGTTTAGTTTTTATGTGAAGATATTCCCGTTTCCAAAGACATCTTCGGAGAGGTCCACATATCCACTTGCAGATTCCACAAAAAGAGAGTTTCAACACTGCTCTATCCATAGGAGGGTTCAACTCTGTGAGTTGAATGCAATCATCACAGAGAAGTTTCTGAGAAGGCTTCTCTCCAGTTTTTATGTGACCATAATTCGTTTTCCACCACAGGCCTGAAAGCGCTCCAAATGTCCACTTGCAGACACTACGAAAAGCATGTTTCAGAACTACTCTATGAAAAGCAACGTGAAACTCTGGGAGTTGAACACAAACATCACAGAGAAGTTTCTGAGAATGCTTCTGTTTTAGTTCTGTGCGTTTTATCCCGTTTCCAACGAAATCCTCAGAGAGGCCCAAATATCCACTTGCAGATTCCACAGAAAGAGTGATTGGAAACTGCTGTTTGAAAAGGAACCTTCAACTCTGTGAGTTGAATGCAATCATCACAAAGAAGTTTCTGACAATGCTTCTGTTTTAGTTCTGTGCGGTTTATCCCGTTTCCAACGAAATCCTCAGAGAGGACCAAACATCCACTTGCAGTTTCTACAAAAAGAGTGTTTCAAAGCTGCACTATCAAAGAAAGGTTCAGCACTGTGAGTTGAATGCAAACATCACGAAGAGGGCTCTGAGAATTCTTCTGTTTAGTTCTGTGCGGTTTATCCCGTTTCCAACGAAATCCTCAGAGAGGACCAAATATCCACTTGCAGTTTCTACAAGAAGAGTGTTTCAAAGCTGAACTATCAAAGAAAGGTTCAGCACTGTGAGTTGAATGCAAACATCACGAAGAGGGTTCTGAGAATGCTTCTGTCTTCTTTTTATAGGAAGTTATTTCCTTTACTACGGTAGGCCTCAAAGAAGTGCAATTATCCCCTTGCAGTTTCTACAAAAAGAGTGTTTCAAACCTGAACTATCAAAGAAAGGTTCCACACTGTGAGTTGAATGCAGACATCACGAAGAAGGTTCTGAGAATGCTTCTGTTTAGTCAGCTGAAATTATCCCGTTTCCAACGAATTCCTCAGAGAGGTCCAAATATGCACTTGCAGATTCTGCAGAAAGTGTGTTTCTAAACTGCTACATCGCAAGGAATGTTCAGCTCTGTGAGTTCCACTCAATCATCCCAAAGAATTTTCTGAGAAAGCTTCTGTCTAGATGTCGTGTGAAAATATACCCGTTTCGAACGAAGGACACAGAGTGGTCCAAATATCCACTTGTAGATCCTGCAAAAAGAGTGTTTCAAACGTGAACTTTGAAAGGAAAGTTCAACTCTGGGATTTGAATGCAAACATCACAAAGAAGATTCTGAGACTGCTTCTGTATAGTTTTTATGTGAAGATGATTCCGTTTCCAACGAAATCTTCAAAGAGGTCTACATGTCCCCTTGCAGATGCCACAGAAAGAGAGTTTCAAAACTGCGCTCTCAAAAGGAGTGTTCAACTCCGTGAGTTGAATGCAGTCATCACAGAGAAGCTTCTGAGAATGCTTGTATCTAGTATTTAGGTGAAGATATTTCCTTTTCCACCACAAACCACAAAGCCCTCCAAACGTCCACTTGCAGATTCTAGAAAAAGAGTGTTTCATAGCTGCTCTTTCCAAAGGAAAGTTCAACTCTCGGAGTTGAATACAAACATCACCAAAAAGTTCCTGAGAATGCATCTGTCTAGTTTTTCTATGAAGCTATTCCCTTTACTACCATAGGCCTCAAAGCGCTCCAAATCTCCACTTGCACATTCCACAACAAGAGTGTTTCCAAACTGCTCTATCAATAGGAATGTTCAACTCTGTGAGGTGAATGCAATCATCACAAAGCAGTTTCTGAGAATGCTTCCGTTTAGTTAGGTGCAGTTATCGCGTTTCCAACGAAATCCTCAGAGAGGTCCAAATATCCACTTGTAGATTCTACAAAAAGTGTGTCTCAAACCTGCTCCATCCAAAGGAATGTTCAGCTCTGTGAGTTAAACTCAATCATCACAAAGTATTTTCTGAGAATGCTTCTGTCTAGATTTTATGTGAAGATGTACCCGTTTCGAACGAAGGCCACAGAGTGGTCCAAATATCCACTTGCAGATCCTACAAAAAGAGTGTTTCAAACCTGAACTATCACAGGAAGGTTCAACTCTGGGATTTGAATGCAAACATCACCAAGAAGTTTCTGAGAATGCTTCTGTTTAGTTTTTATGTGAAGATATTCCCGTTTCCAAAGACATCTTCGGAGAGGTCCACATATCCACTTGCAGATTCCACAAAAAGAGAGTTTCAACAATGCTCTATCCATAGGAGGGTTCAAATCTGTGAGTTGAATGCAATCATCACAGAGAAGTTTCTGAGAAGGCTTCTCTCCAGTTTTTATGTGACCATAATTCGTTTTCCACCACAGGCCTGAAAGCGCTCCAAATGTCCACTTGCAGACACTACGAAAAGCATGTTTCAGAACTACTCTATGAAAAGCAATGTGAAACTCTGGGAGTTGAACACAAACATCACAGAGAAGGTTCTGAGAATGCTTCTGTTTAGTCAGCTGAAATTATCCCGTTTCCAACGAATTCCTCAGAGAGGTCCAAATATGCACTTGCAGATTCCACAGAAAGGGTGTTTGGAAACTGCTGTTTGAAAAGGAACCTTCAACTCTGTGAGTTGAATGCAATCATCACAAAGAAGTTTCTGACAATGCTTCTGTCTAGATGTCATGTGAAGATATACCCGTTTCGAACGAAGGACACAGAGTGGTCCAAATATCCACTTGTAGATCCTGCAAAAAGAGTGTTTCAAACGTGAACTTTGAAAGGAAAGTTCAACTCTGGGATTTGAATGCAAACATCACAAGGAAGATTCTGAGACTGCTTCTGTATAGTTTTTATGTGAAGATGATTCCGTTTCCAACGAAATCTTCAAAGAGGTCTACATGTCCCCTTGCAGATGCCACAGAAACAGAGTTTCAAAACTGCGCTCTCAAAAGGAGTGTTCAACTCCGTGAGTTGAATGCAGTCATCACAGAGAAGCTTCTGAGAATGCTTCTCTCTAGTATTTAGGTGAAGATATTTCGTTTTCCACCACAAACCACAAAGCCCTCCAAACGTCCACTTGCAGATTCTAGAAAAAGCGTGTTTCATAGCTGCTCTTTCCAAAGGAAAGTTCAACTCTGGGAGTTGAATACAAACATCACCAAAAAGTTCCTGAGAATGCATCTGTCTAGTTTTTCTATGAAGCTATTCCCTTTACTACCATAGGCCTCAAAGCGCTCCAAATCTCCACTTGCACATTCCACAACAAGAGTGTTTCCAAACTGCTCTATCAATAGGAATGGTCAACTCTGTGAGGTGAATGCAATCATCACAAAGCAGTTTCTGAGAATGCTTCCGTTTAGTTCGGTGCAGTTATCCCGTTTCCAACGAAATCCTCAGAGAGGTCCAAATATCCACTTGTGGATTCTACAAAAAGTGTGTCTCAAGCCTGCTCCATCCAAAGGAATGTTCAGCTCTGTGAGTTAAACTCAATCATCACAAAGTATTTTCTGAGAATGCTTCTGTCTAGATTTTATGCGAAGATATACCCGTTTCGAACGAAGGCCACAGAGTGGTCCAAATAGCCACTTGCAGATCCTACAGAAAGAGTGTTTCAAACCTGAACTATCAAAGGAAGGTTCAACTCTGGGATTTGAATGCAAACATCACCAAGAAGTTTCTGAGAATGCTTCTGTTTAGTTTTTATGTGAAGATATTCCCGTTTCCAAAGACATCTTCGGAGAGGTCCACATATCCACTTGCAGATTCCACAAAAAGAGAGTTTCAACACTGCTCTATCCATAGGAGGGTTCAACTCTGTGAGTTGAATGCAATCATCACAGAGAAGTTTCTGAGAAGGCTTCTCTCCAGTTTTTATGTGACCATAATTCGTTTTCCACCACAGGCCTGAAAGCGCTCCAAATGTCCACTTGCAGACACTACGAAAAGCATGTTTCAGAACTACTCTATGAAAAGCAACGTGAAACTCTGGGAGTTGAACACAAACATCACAGAGAAGTTTCTGAGAATGCTTCTGTTTTAGTTCTGTGCGTTTTATCCCGTTTCCAACGAAATCCTCAGAGAGGCCCAAATATCCACTTGCAGATTCCACAGAAAGAGTGATTGGAAACTGCTGTTTGAAAAGGAACCTTCAACTCTGTGAGTTGAATGCAATCATCACAAAGAAGTTTCTGACAATGCTTCTGTTTTAGTTCTGTGCGGTTTATCCCGTTTCCAACGAAATCCTCAGAGAGGACCAAACATCCACTTGCAGTTTCTACAAAAAGAGTGTTTCAAAGCTGCACTATCAAAGAAAGGTTCAGCACTGTGAGTTGAATGCAAACATCACGAAGAGGGCTCTGAGAATTCTTCTGTCTTCTTTTTATAGGAAGTTATTTCCTTTACTACGGTAGGCCTCAAAGAAGTGCAATTATACCCTTGCAATTTCTACAAAAAGAGTGTTTCAAACCTGAACTATCAAAGAAAGGTTCCACACTGTGAGTTGAATGCAGACATCACGAAGAAGGTTCTGAGAATGCTTCTGTTTAGTCAGCTGAAATTATCCCGTTTCCAACGAATTCCTCAGAGAGGTCCAAATATGCACTTGCAGATTCTGCAGAAAGTGTGTTTCTAAACTGCTACATTGCAAGGAATGTTCAGCTCTGTGAGTTCCACTCAATCATCCCAAAGAATTTTCTGAGAAAGCTTCTGTCTAGATGTCGTGTGAAGATATACCCGTTTCGAACGAAGGACACAGAGTGGTCCAAATATCCACTTGTAGATCCTGCAAAAAGAGTGTTTCAAACGTGAACTTTGAAAGGAAAGTTCAACTCTGGGATTTGAATGCAAACATCACAAAGAAGATTCTGAGACTGCTTCTGTATAGTTTTTATGTGAAGATGATTCCGTTTCCAACGAAATCTTCAAAGAGGTCTACATGTCCCCTTGCAGATGCCACAGAAAGAGAGTTTCAAAACTGCGCTCTCAAAAGGAGTGTTCAACTCCGTGAGTTGAATGCAGTCATCACAGAGAAGCTTCTGAGAATGCTTCTATCTAGTATTTAGGTGAAGATATTTCCTTTTCCACCACAAACCACAAAGCCCTCCAAACGTCCACTTGCAGATTCTAGAAAAAGAGTGTTTCATAGCTGCTCTTTCCAAAGGAAAGTTCAACTCTGGGAGTTGAATACAAACATCACCAAAAAGTTCCTGAGAATGCATCTGTCTAGTTTTTCTATGAAGCTATTCCCTTTACTACCATAGGCCTCAAAGCGCTCCAAATCTCCACTTGCACATTCCACAACAAGAGTGTTTCCAAACTGCTCTATCAATAGGAATGTTCAACTCTGTGAGGTGAATGCAATCATCACAAAGCAGTTTCTGAGAATGCTTCCGTTTAGTTAGGTGCAGTTATCCCGTTTCCAACGAAATCCTCCGAGAGGTCCAAATATCCACTTGTAGATTCTACAAAAAGTGTGTCTCAAACCTGCTCCATCCAAAGGAATGTTCAGCTCTGTGATTTAAACTCAATCATCACAAAGTATTTTCTGAGAATGCTTCTGTCTAGATTTTATGCGAAGATATACCCGTTTCGAACGAAGGCCACAGAGTGGTCCAAATAGCCACTTGCAGATCCTACAAAAAGAGTGTTTCAAACCTGAACTATCAAAGGAAGGTTCAACTCTGGGATTTGAATGCAAACATCACCAAGAAGTTTCTGAGAATGCTTCTGTTTAGTTTTTATGTGAAGATATTCCCGTTTCCAAAGACATCTTCGGAGAGGTCCACATATCCACTTGCAGATTCCACAAAAAGAGAGTTTCAACACTGCTCTGTCCATAGGAGGGTTCAACTCTGTGAGTTGAATGCAATCATCACAGAAAAGTTTCTGAGAAGGCTTCTCTCCAGTTTTTATGTGACCATAATTCGTTTTCCACCACAGGCCTGAAAGCGCTCCAAATGTCCACTTGCAGACACTACGAAAAGCATGTTTCAGAACTACTCTATGAAAAGCAACGTGAAACTCTGGGAGTTGAACACAAACATCACAGAGAAGTTTCTGAGAATGCTTCTGTTTAGCTTTTCTGTGAAGATTCTCCCGTTTCCAACGAAATCTTCAAAGAGGTCGAAATATCCACTTGCAGATTCCACAGAAAGAGTGATTGGAAACTGCTGTTTGAAAAGGAACCTTCAACTCTGTGAGTTGAATGCAATCATCACAAAGAAGTTTCTGACAATGCTTCTATCTACCTTTTACGGGAAGATAATTCCTTTTCCACCCCAGGCCTCAAAGCTCCCCAAATGTCCACTTGCACATTCTGGAAAAAGAGTGTTTCAAAGCTTCTCTCTCGAAAGGAAAGTTCAACTCTATGAGTTGAATGCAAGCATCACAAAGAAGTTTCTGAGAATGCTACTGTCTAGCTTTTATATGAAGGTATTTCCTTTACTACCATAGGCCTCAAAGCGGTCCATATCTCCACTTGCAGATTCTACACAAAGAGAGTTTCCAAACTGCTCTGTCAAAGGAAATGTTCAACTCTGTGACTTGAATGCAATCATCACAAAGTAGTTTCTGAGAATGCTTCTGTTTTAGTTCTGTGCGTTTTATCCCGTTTCCAACGAAATCCTCAGAGAGGCCCAAATATCCACTTGCAGATTCTACAAATAGTGTGTTTCGAAACTGCTCCATCCAAAGGAATGTTCAGCTCTGTGAGTTAAACTCAGTCGTCACCAAGAGTTTTCTGTGAATGCTTCTGTTTTAGTTCTGTGCTGTTTATCCCGTTTCCAACGAAATCCTCAGAGAGGTCTAAATATCTACTTGCAGTTTCTACAGAAAGACCGTTTCAAACCTGAACTATCAAAGAAAGGTTCAACACTGTGAGTTGAATGCAAACATCACGAAGAAGGTTCTGAGAATGCTTCTGTTTAGTTCTGTGCGGTTTATCCCGTTTCCAACGAAATCCTCAGAGAGGTCCAAATATCCACTTGCAGTTTCTACAAGAAGAGTGTTTCAAAGCTGAACTATCAAAGAAAGGTTCAGCACTGTGAGTTGAATGCAAACATCACGAAGAGGGTTCTGAGAATGCTTCTGTCTTTTTTCTATAGGAAGTTATTTCCTTTACTACGGTAGGCCTCAAAGAAGTGCAATTATCCCCTTGCAGTTTCTACAAAAAGAGTGTTTCAAACCTGAACTATCAAAGAAAGGTTCCACACTGTGAGTTGAATGCAGACATCACGAAGAAGGTTCTGAGAATGCTTCTGTTTAGTCAGCTGAAATTATCCCGTTTCCAACGAATTCCTCAGAGAGGTCCAAATATGCACTTGCAGATTCTGCAGAAAGTGTGTTTCTAAACTGCTACATCGCAAGGAATGTTCAGCTCTGTGAGTTCCACTCAATCATCCCAAAGAATTTTCTGAGAAAGCTTCTGTCTAGATGTCATGTGAAGATATAGCCGTTTCGAACGAAGGACACAGAGTGGTCCAAATATAAAATTGTAGATCCTGCAAAAAGAGTGTTTCAAACGTGAACTTTGAAAGGAAAGTTCAACTCTGGGATTTGAATGCAAACATCACAAAGAAGATTCTGAGACTGCTTCTGTATAGTTTTTATGTGAAGATGATTCCGTTTCCAACGAAATCTTCAAAGAGGTCTACATGTCCCCTTGCAGATGCCACAGAAAGAGAGTTTCAAAACTGCGCTCTCAAAAGGAGTGTTCAACTCCGTGAGTTGAATGCAGTCATCACAGAGAAGCTTCTGAGAATGCTTCTATCTAGTATTTAGGTGAAGATATTTCCTTTTCCACCACAAACCACAAAGCCCTCCAAACGTCCACTTGCAGATTCTAGAAAAACAGTGTTTCATAGCTGCTCTTTCCAAAGGAAAGTTCAACTCTGGGAGTTGAATACAAACATCACCAAAAAGTTCCTGAGAATGCATCTGTCTAGTTTTTCTATGAAGCTATTCCCTTTACTACCATAGGCCTCAAAGCGCTCCAAATCTCCACTTGCACATTCCACAACAAGAGTGTTTCCAAACTGCTCTATCAATAGGAATGTTCAACTCTGTGAGGTGAATGCAATCATCACAAAGCAGTTTGCTGAGAATGCTTCCGTTTAGTTAGGTGCAGTTATCCCGTTTCCAACGAAATCCTCAGAGAGGTCCAAATATCCACTTGTAGATTCTACAAAAAGTGTGTCTCAAACCTGCTCCATCCAAAGGAATGGTCAGCTCTGTGATTTAAACTCAATCATCACAAAGTATTTTCTGAGAATGCTTCTGTCTAGATTTTATGCGAAGATATACCCGTTTCGAACGAAGGCCACAGAGTGGTCCAAATAGCCACTTGCAGATCCTACAGAAAGAGTGTTTCAAACCTGAACTATCAAAGGAAGGTTCAACTCTGGGATTTGAATGCAAACATCACCAAGAAGTTTCTGAGAATGCTTCTGTTTAGTTTTTATGTGAAGATATTCCCGTTTCCAAAGACATCTTCGGAGAGGTCCACATATCCACTTGCAGATTCCACAAAAAGAGAGTTTCAACACTGCTCTATCCATAGGAGGGTTCAACTCCTGTGAGTTGAATGCAATCATCACAGAGAAGTTTCTGAGAAGGCTTCTCTCCAGTTTTTATGTGACCATAATTCGTTTTCCACCACAGGCCTGAAAGCGCTCCAAATGTCCACTTGCAGACACTACGAAAAGCATGTTTCAGAACTACTCTATGAAAAGCAACGTGAAACTCTGGGAGTTGAACACAAACATCACAGAGAAGTTTCTGAGAATGCTTCTGTTTAGCTTTCCTGTGAAGATTCTCCCGTTTCCAACGAAATCTTCAAAATAGGTCCGAATATCCACTTGCAGATTCCACAGAAAGAGTGATTGGAAACTGCTCTTTGAAAAGGAACCTTCAACTCTGTGAGTTGAATGCAATCATCACAAAGAAGTTTCTGACAATGCTTCTATCTAGCTTTTACGGGAAGATAATTCCTTTTCCACCACAGGCCTCAAAGCCCTCCAAATGTCCACTTGCAGATTCTGGAAAAAGAGTGTTTCAAAGCTTCTCTCTCGAAAGGAAAGTTCAACTCTGTGAGTTGAATGCAAGCATCACAAAGAAGTTTCTGAGAATGCTACTGTCTAGCTTTTATATGAAGCTATTTCCTTTACTACCATAGGCCTCAAAGCGGTCCATATCTCCACTTGCAGATTCTACACAAAGAGAGTTTCCAAACTGCTCTGTCAAAGGGAATGTTCAACTCTGTGACTTGAATGCAATCATCACAAAGTAGTTTCTGAGAATGCTTCTGTTTAGTTCTGTGCGGTTTATCCCGTTTCCAACGAAATCCTCAGAGAGGCCTAAATATCCACTTGCACATTCTACAAATAGTGTGTTTCGAAACTGCTCCATCCAAAGGAATGTTCAGCTCTGTGAGTTAAACTCAGTCGTCACCAAGAGTTTTCTGTGAATGCTTCTGTTTTAGTTCTGTGCGGGTTATCCCGTTTCCAACGAAATCCTCAGAGAGGTCCAAATATCTACTTGCAGTTTCTACAGAAAGACCGTTTCAAACCTGAACTATCAAAGAAAGGTTCAACACTGTGAGTTGAATGCAAACATCACGAAGAAGGTTCTGAGAATGCTTCTGTTTAGTTCTGTGCAGTTTATCCCGTTTCCAACGAATTCCTCAGAGAGGACCAAATATCCACTTGCAGTTTCTACAAAAAGAGTGTTTCAAAGCTGAACTATCAAAGAAAGGTTCAGCACTGTGAGTTGAATGCAAACATCACGAAGAGGGTTCTGAGAATGCTTCTGTCTTCTTTTTATAGGAAGTTATTTCCTTTACTACGGTACTCCTCAAAGAGTGCAATTATCCCCTTGCAGTTTCTACAAAAAGAGTGTTTCAAACCTGAACTATCAAAGAAAGGTTCCACACTGTGAGTTGAATGCAGACATCACGAAGAAGGTTCTGAGAATGCTTCTGTTTAGTCAGCTGAAATTATCCCGTTTCCAACGAATTCCTCACAGAGGTCCAAATATGCACTTGCAGATTCTGCAGAAAGTGTGTTTCTAAACTGCTACATCGCAAGGAATGCTCAGCTCTGTGAGTTCAACTCAATCATCCCAAAGAATTTTCTGAGAAAGCTTCTGTCTAGATGTCATGTGAAGATATACCCGTTTCGAACGAAGGACACAGAGTGGTCCAAATATCCACTTGTAGATCCTGCAAAAAGAGTGTTTCAAACGTGAACTTTGAAAGGAAAGTTCAACTCGGGGATTTGAATGCAAACATCACAAAGAAGATTCTGAGACTGCTTCTGTATAGTTTTTATGTGAAGATGATTCCGTTTCCAACGAAATCTTCAAAGAGGTCTACATGTCCCCTTGCAGATGCCACAGAAAGAGAGTTTCAAAACTGCGCTCTCAAAAGGAGTGTTCAACTCCGTGAGTTGAATGCAGTCATCACAGAGAAGCTTCTGAGGATGCTTCTATCTAGTATTTAGGTGAAGATATTTCCTTTTCCACCACAAACCACAAAGCCCTCCAAACGTCCACTTGCAGATTCTAGAAAAAGAGTGTTTCATAGCTGCTCTTTCCAAAGGAAAGTTCAACTCTGGGAGTTGAATACAAACATCACCAAAAAGTTCCTGAGAATGCATCTGTCTAGTTTTTCTATGAAGCTATTCCCTTTGCTACCACAGGCCTCAAAGCGCTCCAAATCTCCACTTGCACATTCCACAACAAGAGTGTTTCCAAACTGCTCTATCAATAGGAATGTTCAACTCTGTGAGGTGAATGCAATCATCACAAAGCAGTTTCTGAGAATGCTTCCGTTTAGTTAGGTGCAGTTATCCCGTTTCCAACGAAATCCTCAGAGAGGTCCAAATATCCACTTGTAGATTCTACAAAAAGTGTGTCTCAAACCTGCTCCATCCAAAGGAATGGTCAGCTCTGTGATTTAAACTCAATCATCACAAAGTATTTTCTGAGAATGCTTCTGTCTAGATTTTATGCGAAGATATACCCGTTTCGAACGAAGGCCACAGAGTGGTCCAAATAGCCACTTGCAGATCCTACAGAAAGAGTGTTTCAAACCTGAACTATCAAAGGAAGGTTCAACTCTGGGATTTGAATGCAAACATCACCAAGAAGTTTCTGAGAATGCTTCTGTTTAGTTTTTATGTGAAGATATTCCCGTTTCCAAAGACATCTTCGGAGAGGTCCACATATCCACTTGCAGATTCCACAAAAAGAGAGTTTCAACACTGCTCTATCCATAGGAGGGTTCAACTCTGTGAGTTGAATGCAATCATCACAGAGAAGTTTCTGAGAAGGCTTCTCTCCAGTTTTTATGTGACCATAATTCGTTTTCCACCACAGGCCTGAAAGCGCTCCAAATGTCCACTTGCAGACACTACGAAAAGCATGTTTCAGAACTACTCTATGAAAAGCAACGTGAAACTCTGGGAGTTGAACACAAACATCACAGAGAAGTTTCTGAGAATGCTTCTGTTTAGCTTTTCTGTGAATGTTCTCCCGTTTCCAACGAAATCTTCAAAGAGGTCGAAATATCCACTTGCAGATTCCACAGAAAGAGTGATTGGAAACTGCTGTTTGAAAAGGAACCTTCAACTCTGTGAGTTGAATGCAATCATCACAAAGAAGTTTCTGACAATGCTTCTATCTAGCTTTCACGGGAAGATAATTCCTTTTCCACCACAGGCCTCAAAGCCCTCCAAATGTCCACTTGCACATTCTGGAAAAAGAGTGTTTCAAAGCTTCTCTCTCGAAAGGAAAGTTCAACTCTGTGAGTTGAATGCAAGCATCACAAAGAAGTTTCTGAGAATGCTACTGTCTAGCTTTTATATGAAGCTATTTCCTTTACTACCATAGGCCTCAAAGCGGTCCATATCTCCACTTGCAGATTCTACACAAAGAGAGTTTCCAAACTGCTCTGTCAAAGGGAATGTTCAACTCTGTGACTTGAATGCAATCATCACAAAGTAGTTTCTGAGAATGCTTCTGTTTAGTTCTGTGCGGTTTATACCGTTTCCAACGAAATCCTCAGAGAGGCCCCAATATCCACTTGCACATTCTACAAATAGTGTTTTTCGAAACTGCTCCATCCAAAGGGATCTTCAGCTCTGTGAGTTAAACTCAGTCGTCACCAAGAGTTTTCTGTGAATGCTTCTGTTTTAGTTCTGTGCTGTTTATCCCGTTTCCAACGAAATCCTCAGAGAGGTCCAAATATCTACTTGCAGTTTCTACAGAAAGACCGTTTCAAACCTGAACTATGAAAGAAAGGTTCAACACTGTGAGTTGAATGCAAACATCACGAAGAAGGTTCTGAGAATGCTTCTGTTTAGTTCTGTGCGGTTTATCCCGTTTCCAACGAAATCCTCAGAGAGGACCAAATATCCACTTGCAGTTTCTACAAAAAGAGTGTTTCAAAGCTGAACTATCAAAGAAAGGTTCAGCACCGTGAGTTGAATGCAAACATCACGAAGAGGGTTCTGCGAATGCTTCTGTCTTCTTTTTACAGGAAGTTATTTCCTTTACTACGGTAGGCCTCAAAGAAGTGCAATGATCCCCTTGCAGTTTCTACAAAAAGAGTGTTTCAAACCTGAACTATCAAAGAAAGGTTCCACACTGTGAGTTGAATGCAGACATCACGAAGAAGGTTCTGAGAATGCTTCTGTTTAGTCAGCTGAAATTATCCCGTTTCCAACGAATTCCTCAGAGAGGTCCAAATATGCACTTGCAGATTCTGCAGAAAGTGTGTTTCTAAACTGCTACATCGCAAGGAATGTTCAGCTCTGTGAGTTCCTACTCAATCATCCCAAAGAATTTTCTGAGAAAGCTTCTGTCTAGATGTCGTGTGAAGATATACCCGTTTCGAACGAAGGACACAGAGTGGTCCAAATATCCACTTGTAGATCCTGCAAAAAGAGTGTTTCAAACGTGAACTTTGAAAGGAAAGTTCAACTCTGGGATTTGAATGCAAACATCACAAAGAAGATTCTGAGACTGCTTCTGTATAGTTTTTATGTGAAGATGATTCCGTTTCCAACGAAATCTTCAAAGAGGTCTACATGTCCCCTTGCAGATGCCACAGAAAGAGAGTTTCAAAACTGCGCTCTCAAAAGGAGTGTTCAACTCCGTGAGTTGAATGCAGTCATCACAGAGAAGCTTCTGAGAATGCTTCTATCTAGTATTTAGGTGAAGATATTTCCTTTTCCACCACAAACCACAAAGCCCTCCAAACGTCCACTTGCAGATTCTAGAAAAAGAGTGTTTCATAGCTGCTCTTTCCAAAGGAAAGTTCAACTCTGGGAGTTGAATACAAACATCACCAAAAAGTTCCTGAGAATGCATCTGTCTAGTTTTTCTATGAAGCTATTCCCTTTACTACCACAGGCCTCAAAGCGCTCCAAATCTCCACTTGCACATTCCACAACAAGAGTGTTTCCAAACTGCTCTATCAATAGGAATGTTCAACTCTGTGAGGTGAATGCAATCATCACAAAGCAGTTTCTGAGAATGCTTCCGTTTAGTTAGGTGCAGTTATCCCGTTTCCAACGAAATCCTCAGAGAGGTCCAAATATCCACTTGTAGATTCTACAAAAAGTGTGTCTCAAACCTGCTCCATCCAAAGGAATGGTCAGCTCTGTGATTTAAACTCAATCATCACAAAGTATTTTCTGAGAATGCTTCTGTCTAGATTTTATGCGAAGATATACCCGTTTCGAACGAAGGCCACAGAGTGGTCCAAATAGCCACTTGCAGATCCTACAGAAAGAGTGTTTCAAACCTGAACTATCAAAGGAAGGTTCAACTCTGGGATTTGAATGCAAACATCACCAAGAAGTTTCTGAGAATGCTTCTGTTTAGTTTTTATGTGAAGATATTCCCGTTTCCAAAGACATCTTCGGAGAGGTCCACATATCCACTTGCAGATTCCACAAAAAGAGAGTTTCAACACTGCTCTATCCATAGGAGGGTTCAACTCTGTGAGTTGAATGCAATCATCACAGAGAAGTTTCTGAGAAGGCTTCTCTCCAGTTTTTATGTGACCATAATTCGTTTTCCACCACAGGCCTGAAAGCGCTCCAAATGTCCACTTGCAGACACTACGAAAAGCATGTTTCAGAACTACTCTATGAAAAGCAACGTGAAACTCTGGGAGTTGAACACAAACATCACAGAGAAGTTTCTGAGAATGCTTCTGTTTTAGTTCTGTGCGTTTTATCCCGTTTCCAACGAAATCCTCAGAGAGGCCCAAATATCCACTTGCAGATTCCACAGAAAGAGTGATTGGAAACTGCTGTTTGAAAAGGAACCTTCAACTCTGTGAGTTGAATGCAATCATCACAAAGAAGTTTCTGACAATGCTTCTGTTTTAGTTCTGTGCGGTTTATCCCGTTTCCAACGAAATCCTCAGAGAGGACCAAACATCCACTTGCAGTTTCTACAAAAAGAGTGTTTCAAAGCTGCACTATCAAAGAAAGGTTCAGCACTGTGAGTTGAATGCAAACATCACGAAGAGGGCTCTGAGAATTCTTCTGTCTTCTTTTTATAGGAAGTTATTTCCTTTACTACGGTACTCCTCAAAGAGTGCAATTATCCCCTTGCAGTTTCTACAGAAAGAGTGTTTCAAACCTGAACTATCAAAGAAAGGTTCCACACTGTGAGTTGAATGCAGACATCAAGAAGAAGGTTCTGAGAATGCTTCTGTTTAGTCAGCTGAAATTATCCCGTTTCCAACGAATTCCTCACAGAGGTCCAAATATGCACTTGCAGATTCTGCAGAAAGTGTGTTTCTAAACTGCTACATCGCAAGGAATGCTCAGCTCTGTGAGTTCAACTCAATCATCCCAAAGAATTTTCTGAGAAAGCTTCTGTCTAGATGTCATGTGAAGATATACCCGTTTCGAACGAAGGACACAGAGTGGTCCAAATATCCACTTGTAGATCCTGCAAAAAGAGTGTTTCAAACGTGAACTTTGAAAGGAAAGTTCAACTCGGGGATTTGAATGCAAACATCACAAAGAAGATTCTGAGACTGCTTCTGTATAGTTTTTATGTGAAGATGATTCCGTTTCCAACGAAATCTTCAAAGAGGTCTACATGTCCCCTTGCAGATGCCACAGAAAGAGAGTTTCAAAACTGCGCTCTCAAAAGGAGTGTTCAACTCCGTGAGTTGAATGCAGTCATCTCAGAGAAGCTTCTGAGAATGCTTCTATCTAGTATTTAGGTGAAGATATTTCCTTTTCCACCACAAACCACAAAGCCCTCCAAACGTCCACTTGCAGATTCTAGAAAAAGAGTGTTTCATAGCTGCTCTTTCCAAAGGAAAGTTCAACTCTGGGAGTTGAATACAAACATCACCAAAAAGTTCCTGAGAATGCATCTGTCTAGTTTTTCTATGAAGCTATTCCCTTTACTACCATAGGCCTCAAAGCGCTCCAAATCTCCACTTGCACATTCCACAACAAGAGTGTTTCCAAACTGCTCTATCAATAGGAATGTTCAACTCTGTGAGGTGAATGCAATCATCACAAAGCAGTTTCTGAGAATGCTTCCGTTTAGTTAGGTGCAGTTATCCCGTTTCCAACGAAATCCTCAGAGAGGTCCAAATATCCACTTGTAGATTCTACAAAAAGTGTGTCTCAAACCTGCTCCATCCAAAGGAATGTTCAGCTCTGTGATTTAAACTCAATCATCACAAAGTATTTTCTGAGAATGCTTCTGTCTAGATTTTATGCGAAGATATACCCGTTTCGAACGAAGGCCACAGAGTGGTCCAAATATCCACTTGCAGATCCTACAAAAAGAGTGTTTCAAACCTGAACTATCAAAGGAAGGTTCAACTCTGGGATTTGAATGCAAACATCACCAAGAAGTTTCTGAGAATGCTTCTGTTTAGTTTTTATGTGAAGATATTCCCGTTTCCAAAGACATCTTCGGAGAGGTCCACATATCCACTTGCAGATTCCACAAAAAGAGAGTTTCAACACTGCTCTATCCATAGGAGGGTTCAACTCTGTGAGTTGAATGCAATCATCACAGAGAAGTTTCTGAGAAGGCTTCTCTCCAGTTTTTATGTGACCATAATTCGTTTTCCACCACAGGCCTGAAAGCGCTCCAAATGTCCACTTGTAGACACTACGAAAAGCATGTTTCAGAACTACTCTATGAAAAGCAATGTGAAACTCTGGGAGTTGAACACAAACATCACAGAGAAGTTTCTGAGAATGCTTCTGTTTAGCTTTCCTGTGAAGATTCTCCCGTTTCCAACGAAATCTTCAAAATAGGTCCAAATATCCACTTGCAGATTCCACAGAAAGAGTGATTGGAAACTGCTCTTTGAAAAGGAACCTTCAACTCTGTGAGTTGAATGCAATCATCACAAAGAAGTTTCTGACAATGCTTCTATCTAGCTTTTACGGGAAGATAATTCCTTTTCCACCACAGGCCTCAAAGCCCTCCAAATGTCCACTTGCAGATTCTGGAAAAAGAGTGTTTCAAAGCTTCTCTCTCGAAAGGAAAGTTCAACTCTGTGAGTTGAATGCAAGCATCACAAAGAAGTTTCTGAGAATGCTACTGTCTAGCTTTTATATGAAGCTATTTCCTTTACTACCATAGGCCTCAAAGCGGTCCATATCTCCACTTGCAGATTCTACACAAAGAGAGTTTCCAAACTGCTCTGTCAAAGGGAATGTTCAACTACTGTGACTTGAATGCAATCATCACAAAGTAGTTTCTGAGAATGCTTCTGTTTAGTTCTGTGCGGTTTATCCCATTTCCAACGAAATCCTCAGAGAGGCCCAAATATCCACTTGCACATTCTACAAATAGTGTGTTTCGAAACTGCTCCATCCAAAGGAATGTTCAGCTCTGTGAGTTAAACTCAGTCGTCACCAAGAGTTTTCTGTGAATGCTTCTGTTTTAGTTCTGTGCGGGTTATCCCGTTTCCAACGAAATCCTCAGAGAGGTCCAAATATCTACTTGCAGTTTCTACAGAAAGACCGTTTCAAACCTGAACTATCAAAGAAAGGTTCAACACTGTGAGTTGAATGCAAACATCACGAAGAAGGTTCTGAGAATGCTTCTGTTTTAGTTCTGTGCGGTTTATCCCGTTTCCAACGAAATCCTCAGAGAGGACCAAATATCCACTTGCAGTTTCTACAAAAAGAGTGTTTCAAAGCTGCACTATCAAAGAAAGTTTCAGCACTGTGAGTTGAATGCAAACATCACGAAGAGGGCTCTGAGAATTCTTCTGTTTAGTTCTGTGCGGTTTATCCCGTTTCCCAACGAAATCCTCAGAGAGGACCAAATATCCACTTGCAGTTTCTACAAGAAGAGTGTTTCAAAGCTGAACTATCAAAGAAAGGTTCAGCACTGTGAGTTGAATGCAAACATCACGAAGAGGGTTCTGAGAATGCTTCTGTCTTCTTTCTATAGGAAGTTATTTCCTTTACTACGGTAGGCCTCAAAGAAGTGCAATTATCCCCTTGCAGTTTCTACAAAAAGAGTGTTTCAAACCTGAACTATCAAAGAAAGGTTCCACACTGTGAGTTGAATGCAGACATCACGAAGAAGGTTCTGAGAATGCTTCTGTTTAGTCAGCTGAAATTATCCCGTTTCCAACGAATTCCTCAGAGAGGTCCAAATATGCACTTGCAGATTCTGCAGAAAGTGTGTTTCTAAACTGCTACATCGCAAGGAATGTTCAGCTCTGTGAGTTCCACTCAATCATCCCAAAGAATTTTCTGAGAAAGCTTCTGTCTAGATGTCGTGTGAAGATATACCCGTTTCGAACGAAGGACACAGAGTGGTCCAAATATCCACTTGTAGATCCTGCAAAAAGAGTGTTTCAAACGTGAACTTTGAAAGGAAAGTTCAACTCTGGGATTTGAATGCAAACATCACAAAGAAGATTCTGAGACTGCTTCTGTATAGTTTTTATGTGAAGATGATTCCGTTTCCAACGAAATCTTCAAAGAGGTCTACATGTCCCCTTGCAGATGCCACAGAAAGAGAGTTTCAAAACTGCGCTCTCAAAAGGAGTGTTCAACTCCGTGAGTTGAATGCAGTCATCACAGAGAAGCTTCTGAGAATGCTTCTATCTAGTATTTAGGTGAAGATATTTCCTTTTCCACCACAAACCACAAAGCCCTCCAAACGTCCACTTGCAGATTCTAGAAAAAGAGTGTTTCATAGCTGCTCTTTCCAAAGGAAAGTTCAACTCTGGGAGTTGAATACAAACATCACCAAAAAGTTCCTGAGAATGCATCTGTCTAGTTTTTCTATGAAGCTATTCCCTTTACTAACATAGGCCTCAAAGCGCTCCAAATCTCCACTTGCACATTCCACAACAAGAGTGTTTCCAAACTGCTCTATCAATAGGAATGTTCAACTCTGTGAGGTGAATGCAATCATCACAAAGCAGTTTCTGAGAATGCTTCCGTTTAGTTAGGTGCAGTTATCCCGTTTCCAACGAAATCCTCAGAGAGGTCCAAATATCCACTTGTAGATTCTACAAAAAGTGTGTCTCAAACCTGCTCCATCCAAAGGAATGGTCAGCTCTGTGATTTAAACTCAATCATCACAAAGTATTTTCTGAGAATGCTTCTGTCTAGATTTTATGCGAAGATATACCCGTTTCGAACGAAGGCCACAGAGTGGTCCAAATAGCCACTTGCAGATCCTACAGAAAGAGTGTTTCAAACCTGAACTATCAAAGGAAGGTTCAACTCTGGGATTTGAATGCAAACATCACCAAGAAATTTCTGAGAATGCTTCTGTTTAGTTTTTATGTGAAGATATTCCCGTTTCCAAAGACATCTTCGGAGAGGTCCACATATCCACTTGCAGATTCCACAAAAAGAGAGTTTCAACACTGCTCTATCCATAGGAGGGTTCAACTCTGTGAGTTGAATGCAATCATCACAGAGAAGTTTCTGAGAAGGCTTCTCTCCAGTTTTTATGTGACCATAATTCGTTTTCCACCACAGGCCTGAAAGCGCTCCAAATGTCCACTTGCAGACACTACGAAAAGCATGTTTCAGAACTACTCTATGAAAAGCAACGTGAAACTCTGGGAGTTGAACACAAACATCACAGAGAAGTTTCTGAGAATGCTTCTGTTTTAGTTCTGTGCGTTTTATCCCGTTTCCAACGAAATCCTCAGAGAGGCCCAAATATCCACTTGCAGATTCCACAGAAAGAGTGATTGGAAACTGCTGTTTGAAAAGGAACCTTCAACTCTGTGAGTTGAATGCAATCATCACAAAGAAGTTTCTGACAATGCTTCTGTTTTAGTTCTGTGCGGTTTATCCCGTTTCCAACGAAATCCTCAGAGAGGACCAAACATCCACTTGCAGTTTCTACAAAAAGAGTGTTTCAAAGCTGCACTATCAAAGAAAGGTTCAGCACTGTGAGTTGAATGCAAACATCACGAAGAGGGCTCTGAGAATTCTTCTGTTTAGTTCTGTGCGGTTTATCCCGTTTCCAACGAAATCCTCAGAGAGGACCAAATATCCACTTGCAGTTTCTACAAGAAGAGTGTTTCAAAGCTGAACTATCAAAGAAAGGTTCAGCACTGTGAGTTGAATGCAAACATCACGAAGAGGGTTCTGAGAATGCTTCTGTCTTCTTTCTATAGGAAGTTATTTCCTTTACTACGGTAGGCCTCAAAGAAGTGCCATTATCCCCTTGCAGTTTCTACAAAAAGAGTGTTTCAAACCTGAACTATCAAAGAAAGGTTCCACACTGTGAGTTGAATGCAGACATCACGAAGAAGGTTCTGAGAATGCTTCTGTTTAGTCAGCTGAAATTATCCCGTTTCCAACGAATTCCTCAGAGAGGTCCAAATATGCACTTGCAGATTCTGCAGAAAGTGTGTTTCTAAACTGCTACATCGCAAGGAATGTTCAGCTCTGTGAGTTCCACTCAATCATCCCAAAGAATTTTCTGAGAAAGCTTCTGTCTAGATGTCCTGTGAAGATATACCCGTTTCGAACGAAGGACACAGAGTGGTCCAAATATCCACTTGTAGATCCTGCAAAAAGAGTGTTTCAAACGTGAACTTTGAAAGGAAAGTTCAACTCTGGGATTTGAATGCAAACATCACAAAGAAGATTCTGAGACTGCTTCTGTATAGTTTTTATGTGAAGATGATTCCGTTTCCAACGAAATCTTCAAAGAGGTCTACATGTCCCCTTGCAGATGCCACAGAAAGAGAGTTTCAAAACTGCGCTCTCAAAAGGAGTGTTCAACTCCGTGAGTTGAATGCAGTCATCACAGAGAAGCTTCTGAGAATGCTTCTATCTAGTATTTAGGTGAAGATATTTCCTTTTCCACCACAAACCACAAAGCCCTCCAAACGTCCACTTGCAGATTCTAGAAAAAGAGTGTTTCATAGCTGCTCTTTCCAAAGGAAAGTTCAACTCTGGGAGTTGAATACAAACATCACCAAAAAGTTCCTGAGAATGCATCTGTCTAGTTTTTCTATGAAGCTATTCCCTTTACTACCACAGGCCTCAAAGCGCTCCAAATCTCCACTTGCACATTCCACAACAAGAGTGTTTCCAAACTGCTCTATCAATAGGAATGTTCAACTCTGTGAGGTGAATGCAATCATCACAAAGCAGTTTCTGAGAATGCTTCCGTTTAGTTAGGTGCAGTTATCCCGTTTCCAACGAAATCCTCAGAGAGGTCCAAATATCCACTTGTAGATTCTACAAAAAGTGTGTCTCAAACCTGCTCCATCCAAAGGAATGGTCAGCTCTGTGATTTAAACTCAATCATCACAAAGTATTTTCTGAGAATGCTTCTGTCTAGATTTTATGCGAAGATATACCCGTTTCGAACGAAGGCCACAGAGTGGTCCAAATAGCCACTTGCAGATCCTACAGAAAGAGTGTTTCAAACCTGAACTATCAAAGGAAGGTTCAACTCTGGGATTTGAATGCAAACATCACCAAGAAGTTTCTGAGAATGCTTCTGTTTAGTTTTTATGTGAAGATATTCCCGTTTCCAAAGACATCTTCGGAGAGGTCCACATATCCACTTGCAGGTTCCACAAAAAGAGAGTTTCAACACTGCTCTATCCATAGGAGGGTTCAACTCTGTGAGTTGAATGCAATCATCACAGAGAAGTTTCTGAGAAGGCTTCTCTCCAGTTTTTATGTGACCATAATTCGTTTTCCACCACAGGCCTGAAAGCGCTCCAAATGTCCACTTGCAGACACTACGAAAAGCATGTTTCAGAACTACTCTATGAAAAGCAACGTGAAACTCTGGGAGTTGAACACAAACATCACAGAGAAGTTTCTGAGAATGCTTCTGTTTTAGTTCTGTGCGTTTTATCCCGTTTCCAACGAAATCCTCAGAGAGGCCCAAATATCCACTTGCAGATTCCACAGAAAGAGTGATTGGAAACTGCTGTTTGAAAAGGAACCTTCAACTCTGTGAGTTGAATGCAATCATCACAAAGAAGTTTCTGACAATGCTTCTGTTTTAGTTCTGTGCGGTTTATCCCGTTTCCAACGAAATCCTCAGAGAGGACCAAACATCCACTTGCAGTTTCTACAAAAAGAGTGTTTCAAAGCTGCACTATCAAAGAAAGGTTCAGCACTGTGAGTTGAATGCAAACATCACGAAGAGGGCTCTGAGAATTCTTCTGTTTAGTTCTGTGCGGTTTATCCCGTTTCCAACGAAATCCTCAGAGAGGACCAAATATCCACTTGCAGTTTCTACAAGAAGAGTGTTTCAAAGCTGAACTATCAAAGAAAGGTTCAGCACTGTGAGTTGAATGCAAACATCACGAAGAGGGTTCTGAGAATGCTTCTGTCTTCTTTTTATAGGAAGTTATTTCCTTTACTACGGTACTCCTCAAAGAGTGCAATGATCCCCTTGCAGTTTCTACAAAAAGAGTGTTTCAAACCTGAACTATCAAAGAAAGGTTCCACACTGTGAGTTGAATGCAGACATCACGAAGAAGGTTCTGAGAATGCTTCTGTTTAGTCAGCTGAAATTATCCCGTTTCCAACGAATTCCTCAGAGAGGTCCAAATATGCACTTGCAGATTCTGCAGAAAGTGTGTTTCTAAACTGCTACATCGCAAGGAATGTTCAGCTCTGTGAGTTCCACTCAATCATCCCAAAGGATTTTCTGAGAAAGCTTCTGTCTAGATGTCATGTGAAGATATACCCGTTTCGAACGAAGGACACAGAGTGGTCCAAATATCCACTTGTAGATCCTGCAAAAAGAGTGTTTCAAACGTGAACTTTGAAAGGAAAGTTCAACTCTGGGATTTGAATGCAAACATCACAAAGAAGATTCTGAGACTGCTTCTGTATAGTTTTTATGTGAAGATGATTCCGTTTCCAACGAAATCTTCAAAGAGGTCTACATGTCCCCTTGCAGATGCCACAGAAAGAGAGTTTCAAAACTGCGCTCTCAAAAGGAGTGTTCAACTCCGTGAGTTGAATGCAGTCATCACAGAGAAGCTTCTGAGAATGCTTCTATCTAGTATTTAGGTGAAGATATTTCCTTTTCCACCACAAACCACAAAGCCCTCCAAACGTCCACTTGCAGATTCTAGAAAAAGAGTGTTTCATAGCTGCTCTTTCCAAAGGAAAGTTCAACTCTGGGGGTTGAATACAAACATCACCAAAAAGTTCCTGAGAATGCATCTGTCTAGTTTTTCTATGAAGCTATTCCCTTTACTACCATAGGCCTCAAAGCGCTCCAAATCTCCACTTGCACATTCCACAACAAGAGTGTTTCCAAACTGCTCTATCAATAGGAATGTTCAACTCTGTGAGGTGAATGCAATCATCACAAAGCAGTTTCTGAGAATGCTTCCGTTTAGTTAGGTGCAGTTATCCCGTTTCCAACGAAATCCTCAGAGAGGTCCAAATATCCACTTGTAGATTCTACAAAAAGTGTGTCTCAAACCTGCTCCATCCAAAGGAATGTTCAGCTCTGTGATTTTAACTCAATCATCACAAAGTATTTTCTGAGAATGCTTCTGTCTAGATTTTATGCGAAGATATACCCGTTTCGAACGAAGGCCACAGAGTGGTCCAAATAGCCACTTGCAGATCCTACAGAAAGAGTGTTTCAAACCTGAACTATCAAAGGAAGGTTCAACTCTGGGATTTGAATGCAAACATCACCAAGAAGTTTCTGAGAATGCTTCTGTTTAGTTTTTATGTGAAGATATTCCCGTTTCCAAAGACATCTTCGGAGAGGTCCACATATCCACTTGCAGATTCCACAAAAAGAGAGTTTCAACACTGCTCTATCCATAGGAGGGTTCAACTCTGTGAGTTGAATGCAATCATCACAGAGAAGTTTCTGAGAAGGCTTCTCTCCAGTTTTTATGTGACCATAATTCGTTTTCCACCACAGGCCTGAAAGCGCTCCAAATGTCCACTTGCAGACACTACGAAAAGCATGTTTCAGAACTACTCTATGAAAAGCAACGTGAAACTCTGGGAGTTGAACACAAACATCACAGAGAAGTTTCTGAGAATGCTTCTGTTTAGCTTTTCTGTGAAGATTCTCCCGTTTCCAACGAAATCTTCAAAGAGGTCCAAATATCCACTTGCAGATTCCACAGAAAGAGTGTTTGGAAACTGCTGTTTGTAAAGGAACCTTCATCTCCGTGAGTTGAATGCAATCATCACAAAGAAGTTTCTGACAATGCTTCTATCTAGCTTTTACGGGAAGTTAATTCCTTTTCCACCACAGGCCTCAAAGCCCTCCAAATGTCCACTTGCAGATTCTGGAAAAAGAGTGTTTCAAAGCTTCTCTCTCGAAAGGAAAGTTCAACTCTGTGAGTTGAATGCAAGCATCACAAAGAAGTTTCTGAGAATGCTACTGTCTAGCTTTTATATGAAGCTATTTACTTTACTACCATAGGCCTCAAAGCGGTCCATGTCTCCACTTGCAGATTCTACACAAAGAGAGTTTCCAAACTGCCCTGTCAAAGGGAATGTTCAACTCTGTGACTTGAATGCAATCATCACAAAGTAGTTTCTGAGAATGCTTCTGTTTAGTTCTGTGCGGTTTATCCCTTTTCCAACGAAATCCTCAGAGAGGCCCAAATATCCACTTGCACATTCTACAAATAGTGTGTTTTGAAACTGCTCCATCCAAAGGAATGTTCAGCTCTGTGAGTTAAACTCAGTCGTCACCAAGAGTTTTCTGTGAATGCTTCTGTTTTAGTTCTGTGCGGTTTATCCCGTTTCCAACGAAATCCTCAGAGAGGTCCAAATATCTACTTGCAGTTTCTACAGAAAGACCGTTTCCAACCTGAACTATCAAAGAAAGGTTCAACACTGTGAGTTGAATGCAAACATCACGAAGAAGGTTCTGAGAATGCTTCTGTTTAGTTCTGTGTGGTTTATCCCGTTTCCAACGAAATCCTCAGAGAGGACCAAATATCCACTTGCAGTTTCTACAAGAAGAGTGTTTCAAAGCTGAACTATCAAAGAAAGGTTCAGCACTGTGAGTTGAATGCAAACATCACGAAGAGGGTTCTGAGAATGCTTCTGTCTTCTTTCTATAGGAAGTTATTTCCTTTACTACGGTAGGCCTCAAAGAAGTGCAATTATCCCCTTGCAGTTTCTACAAAAAGAGTGTTTCAAACCTGAACTATCAAAGAAAGGTTCCACACTGTGAGTTGAATGCAGACATCACGAAGAAGGTTCTGAGAATGCTTCTGTTTAGTCAGCTGAAATTATCCCGTTTCCAACGAATTCCTCACAGAGGTCCAAATATGCACTTGCAGATTCTGCAGAAAGTGTGTTTCTAAACTGCTACATCGCAAGGAATGCTCAGCTCTGTGAGTTCAACTCAATCATCCCAAAGAATTTTCTGAGAAAGCTTCTGTCTAGATGTCATGTGAAGATATACCCGTTTCGAACGAAGGACACAGAGTGGTCCAAATATCCACTTGTAGATCCTGCAAAAAGAGTGTTTCAAACGTGAACTTTGAAAGGGAAGTTCAACTCTGGGATTTGAATGCAAACATCACAAAGAAGATTCTGAGACTGCTTCTGTATAGTTTTTATGTGAAGATGATTCCGTTTCCAACGAAATCTTCAAAGAGGTCTACATGTCCCCTTGCAGATGCCACAGAAAGAGAGTTTCAAAACTACGCTCTCAAAAGGAGTGTTCAACTCCGTGAGTTGAATGCAGTCATCACAGAGAAGCTTCTGAGAATGCTTCTATGTAGTATTTAGGTGAAGATATTTCCTTTTCCACCACAAACCACAAAGCTCTCCAAACGTCCACTTTCAGATTCTAGAAAAAGAGTGTTTCATAGCTGCTCTTTCCAAAGGAAAGTTCAACTCTGGGAGTTGAATACAAACATCACCAAAAAGTTCCTGAGAATGCATCCTGTCTAGTTTTTCTATGAAGCTATTCCCTTTACTACCATAGGCCTCAAAGCGCTCCAAATCTCCACTTGCACATTCCACAACAAGAGTGTTTCCAAACTGCTCTATCAATAGGAATGTTCAACTCTGTGAGGTGAATGCAATCATCACAAAGCAGTTTCTGAGAATGCTTCCGTTTAGTTAGGTGCAGTTATCCCGTTTCCAACGAAATCCTCAGAGAGGTCCAAATATCCACTTGTAGATTCTACAAAAAGTGTGTCTCAAACCTGCTCCATCCAAAGGAATGGTCAGCTCTGTGATTTAAACTCAATCATCACAAAGTATTTTCTGAGAATGCTTCTGTCTAGATTTTATGCGAAGATATACCCGTTTCGAACGAAGGCCACAGAGTGGTCCAAATAGCCACTTGCAGATCCTACAGAAAGAGTGTTTCAAACCTGAACTATCAAAGGAAGGTTCAACTCTGGGATTTGAATGCAAACATCACCAAGAAGTTTCTGAGAATGCTTCTGTTTAGTTTTTATGTGAAGATATTCCCGTTTCCAAAGACATCTTCGGAGAGGTCCACATATCCACTTGCAGATTCCACAAAAAGAGAGTTTCAACACTGCTCTATCCATAGGAGGGTTCAACTCTGTGAGTTGAATGCAATCATCACAGAGAAGTTTCTGAGAAGGCTTCTCTCCAGTTTTTATGTGACCATAATTCGTTTTCCACCACAGGCCTGGAAGCGCTCCAAATGTCCACTTGTAGACACTACGAAAAGCATGTTTCAGAACTACTCTATGAAAAGCAATGTGAAACTCTGGGAGTTGAACACAAACATCACAGAGAAGTTTCTGAGAATGCTTCTGTTTAGCTTTTCTGTGAAGATTATCCCGTTTCCAACGAAATCTTCAAAATAGGTCGAAATATCCACTTGCAGATTCCACAGAAAGAGTGATTGGAAACTGCTCTTTGAAAAGGAACCTTCAACTCTGTGAGTTGAATGCAATCATCACAAAGAAGTTTCTGACAATGCTTCTATCTAGCTTTTACGGGAAGATAATTCCTTTTCCACCACAGGCCTCAAAGCCCTCCAAATGTCCACTTGCACATTCTGGAAAAAGAGTGTTTCAAAGCTTCTCTCTCGAAAGGAAAGTTCAACTCTGTGAGTTGAATGCAAGCATCACAAAGAAGTTTCTGAGAATGCTACTGTCTAGCTTTTATATGAAGCTATTTCCTTTACTACCATAGGCCTCAAAGCGGTCCATATCTCCACTTGCAGATTCTACACAAAGAGAGTTTCCAAACTGCTCTGTCAAAGGGAATGTTCAACTCTGTGACTTGAATGCAATCATCACAAAGTTGTTTCTGAGAATGCTTCTGTTTTAGTTCTGTGCGGTTTATCCCGTTTCCAACGAAATCCTCAGAGAGGCCCAAATATCCACTTGCAGATTCTACAAATAGTGTGTTTCGAAACTGCTCCATCCAAAGGAATGTTCAGCTCTGTGAGTTAAACTCAGTCGTCACCAAGAGTTTTCTGTGAATGCTTCTGTTTTAGTTCTGTGCGGTTTATCCCGTTTCCAACGAAATCCTCAGAGGAGGTCCAAATATCTACTTGCAGTTTCTACAGAAAGACCGTTTCCAACCTGAACTATCAAAGAAAGGTTCAACACTGTGAGTTGAATGCAATCATCACGAAGAAGATTCTGAGAATGCTTCTGTCTAGATGTCGTGTGAAGATATACCCGTTTCGAACGAAGGACACAGAGTGGTCCAAATATCCACTTGTAGATCCTGCAAAAAGAGTGTTTCAAACGTGAACTTTGAAAGGAAAGTTCAACTCTGGGATTTGAATGCAAACATCACAAAGAAGATTCTGAGACTGCTTCTGTATAGTTTTTATGTGAAGATGATTCCGTTTCCAACGAAATCTTCAAAGAGGTCTACATGTCCCCTTGCAGATGCCACAGAAAGAGAGTTTCAAAACTGCGCTCTCAAAAGGAGTGTTCAACTCCGTGAGTTGAATGCAGTCATCACAGAGAAGCTTCTGAGAATGCTTCTATCTAGTATTTAGGTGAAGATATTTCCTTTTCCACCACAAACCACAAAGCCCTCCAAACGTCCACTTGCAGATTCTAGAAAAAGAGTGTTTCATAGCTGCTCTTTCCAAAGGAAAGTTCAACTCTGGGAGTTGAATACAAACATCACCAAAAAGTTCCTGAGAATGCATCTGTCTAGTTTTTCTATGAAGCTATTCCCTTTACTACCACAGGCCTCAAAGCGCTCCAAATCTCCACTTGCACATTCCACAACAAGAGTGTTTCCAAACTGCTCTATCAATAGGAATGTTCAACTCTGTGAGGTGAATGCAATCATCACAAAGCAGTTTCTGAGAATGCTTCCGTTTAGTTAGGTGCAGTTATCCCGTTTCCAACGAAATCCTCAGAGAGGTCCAAATATCCACTTGTAGATTCTACAAAAAGTGTGTCTCAAACCTGCTCCATCCAAAGGAATGGTCAGCTCTGTGATTTAAACTCAATCATCACAAAGTATTTTCCTGAGAATGCTTCTGTCTAGATTTTATGCGAAGATATACCCGTTTCGAACGAAGGCCACAGAGTGGTCCAAATAGCCACTTGCAGATCCTACAAAAAGAGTGTTTCAAACCTGAACTATCAAAGGAAGGTTCAACTCTGGGATTTGAATGCAAACATCACCAAGAAGTTTCCTGAGAATGCTTCTGTTTAGTTTTTATGTGAAGATATTCCCGTTTCCAAAGACATCTTCGGAGAGGTCCACATATCCACTTGCAGATTCCACAAAAAGAGAGTTTCAACACTGCTCTATCCATAGGAGGGTTCAACTCTGTGAGTTGAATGCAATCATCACAGAGAAGTTTCTGAGAAGGCTTCTCTCCAGTTTTTATGTGACCATAATTCGTTTTCCACCACAGGCCTGAAAGCGCTCCAAATGTCCACTTGCAGACACTACGAAAAGCATGTTTCAGAACTACTCTATGAAAAGCAACGTGAAACTCTGGGAGTTGAACACAAACATCACAGAGAAGTTTCTGAGAATGCTTCTGTTTTAGTTCTGTGCGTTTTATCCCGTTTCCAACGAAATCCTCAGAGAGGCCCAAATATCCACTTGCAGATTCCACAGAAAGAGTGATTGGAAACTGCTGTTTGAAAAGGAACCTTCAACTCTGTGAGTTGAATGCAATCATCACAAAGAAGTTTCTGACAATGCTTCTGTTTAGTTCTGTGCGGTTTATCCCGTTTCCAACGAAATCCTCAGAGAGGACCAAATATCCACTTGCAGTTTCTACAAGAAGAGTGTTTCAAAGCTGAACTATCAAAGAAAGGTTCAGCACTGTGAGTTGAATGCAAACATCACGAAGAGGGCTCTGAGAATGCTTCTGTCTTCTTTCTATAGGAAGTTATTTCCTTTACTACGGTAGGCCTCAAAGAAGTGCAATTATCCCCTTGCAGTTTCTACAAAAAGAGTGTTTCAAACCTGAACTATCAAAGAAAGGTTCCACACTGTGAGTTGAATGCAGACATCACGAAGAAGGTTCTGAGAATGCTTCTGTTTAGTCAGCTGAAATTATCCCGTTTCCAACGAATTCCTCAGAGAGGTCCAAATATGCACTTGCAGATTCTGCAGAAAGTGTGTTTCTAAACTGCTCCATCGCAAGGAATGTTCAGCTCTGTGAGTTCCACTCAATCATCCCAAAGAATTTTCTGAGAAAGCTTCTGTCTAGATGTCATGTGAAGATATACCCGTTTCGAACGAAGGACACAGAGTGGTCCAAATATCCACTTGTAGATCCTGCAAAAAGAGTGTTTCAAACGTGAACTTTGAAAGGAAAGTTCAACTCTGGGATTTGAATGCAAACATCACAAAGAAGATTCTGAGACTGCTTCTGTATAGTTTTTATGTGAAGATGATTCCGTTTCCAACGAAATCTTCAAAGAGGTCTACATGTCCCCTTGCAGATGCCACAGAAAGAGAGTTTCAAAACTGCGCTCTCAAAAGGAGTGTTCAACTCCGTGAGTTGAATGCAGTCATCACAGAGAAGCTTCTGAGAATGCTTCTCTCTAGTATTTAGGTGAAGATATTTCCTTTTCCACCACAAACCACAAAGCCCTCCAAACGTCCACTTGCAGATTCTAGAAAAAGAGTGCTTCATAGCTGCTCTTTCCAAAGGAAAGTTCAACTCTGGGAGTTGAATACAAACATCACCAAAAAGTTCCTGAGAATGCATCTGTCTAGTTTTTCTATGAAGCTATTCCCTTTACTACCATAGGCCTCAAAGCGCTCCAAATCTCCACTTGCACATTCCACAACAAGAGTGTTTCCAAACTGCTCTATCAATAGGAATGTTCAACTCTGTGAGGTGAATGCAATCATCACAAAGCAGTTTCTGAGAATGCTTCCGTTTAGTTAGGTGCAGTTATCCCGTTTCCAACGAAATCCTCAGAGAGGTCCAAATATCCACTTGTGGATTCTACAAAAAGTGTGTCTCAAACCTGCTCCATCCAAAGGAATGTTCAGCTCTGTGAGTTAAACTCAATCATCACAAAGTATTTTCTGAGAATGCTTCTGTCTAGATTTTATGCGAAGATGTACCCGTTTCGAACGAAGGCCACAGAGTGGTCCAAATATCCACTTGCAGATCCTACAAAAAGAGTGTTTCAAACCTGAACTATCAAAGGAAGGTTCAACTCTGGGATTTGAATGCAAACATCACCAAGAAGTTTCTGAGAATGCTTCTGTTTAGTTTTTATGTGAAGATAGTCCCGTTTCCAAAGACATCTTCGGAGAGGTCCACATATCCACTTGCAGATTCCACAAAAAGAGAGTTTCAACACTGCTCTATCCATAGGAGGGTTCAACTCTGTGAGTTGAATGCAATCATCACAGAGAAGTTTCTGAGAAGGCTTCTCTCCAGTTTTTATGTGACCATAATTCGTTTTCCACCACAGGCCTGAAAGCGCTCCAAATGTCCCCTTGCAGGCACTACGAAAAGCATGTTTCAGAACTACTCTATGAGAAGCAATGTGACACTCTGGGAGTTGAACACAAACATCACAGAGAAGTTTCTGAGAATGCTTCTGTTTAGCTTTTCTGTGAAGGCTATCCCGTTTCCAACGAAATCTTCAAAGAGGTCCAAATATCCACTTGCAGATTCCACAGAAAGAGTGTTTGGAAACTGCTGTTTGAAAAGGAACCTTCAACTCTGTGAGTTGAATGCAATCATCACAAAGAAGTTTCTGACAATGCTTCTATCCAGCTTTTACGGGAAGATAATTCCTTTTCCACCACAGGCCTCAAAGCCCTCCAAATGTCCACTTGCAGATTCTGGAAAAAGAGTGTTTCAAAGCTTCTCTCTCGAAAGGAAAGTTCAACTCTGTTAGTTGAATGCAAGCATCACAAAGAAGTTTCTGAGAATGCTACTGTCTAGCTTTTATATGAAGCTATTTCCTTTACTACCATAGTCCTCAAAGCATTCCATATCTCCACTTGCAGATTCTACACAAAGAGAGTTTCCAAACTGCTCTGTCAAAGGGAATGTTCAGCTCTGTGACTTGAATGCAATCATCACAAAGTAGTTTCTCAGAATGGTTCTGTTTAGTTCTGTGCGGTTTATCCCGTTTCCAACGAAATCCTCAGAGAGGACCAAATATCCACTTGCAGATTCTACAAATAGTGTGTTTCGAAACTGCTAAATCCAAAGGAATGTTCAGCTCTGTGAGTTAAACTCAGTCGTCACCAAGAGTTTTCTGTGAATGCTTCTGTCTTCTTTTTATAGGAAGTTATTTCCTTTACTACGATAGGCCTCAAAGAAGTGCAATTATCCCCTTGCAGTTTCTACAAAAAGAGTGTTTCAAACCTGAACTATCAAAGAAAGGTTCCACACTGTGAGTTGAATGCAGACATCACGAAGAAGGTTCTGAGAATGCTTCTGTTTAGTCAGCTGAAATTATCCCGTTTCCAACGAATTCCTCAGAGAGGTCCAAATATGCACTTGCAGATTCTGCAGAAAGTGTGTTTCTAAACTGCTCCATCGCAAGGAATGTTCAGCTCTGTGAGTTCAACTCAATCATCCCAAAGAATTTTCTGAGAAAGCTTCTGTCTAGATGTCATGTGAAGATATACCCGTTTCGAACGAAGGACACAGAGTGGTCCAAATATCCACTTGAAGATCCTGCAAAAAGAGTGTTTCAAACGTGAACTTTGAAAGGAAAGTTCAACTCTGGGATTTGAATGCAAACATCACAAAGAAGATTCTGAGACTGCTTCTGTATAGTTTTTATGTGAAGATGATTCCGTTTCCAACGAAATCTTCAAAGAGGTCTACATGTCCCCTTGCAGATGCCACAGAAAGAGAGTTTCAAAACTGCGCTCTCAAAAGGAGTGTTCAACTCCGTGAGTTGAATGCAGTCATCACAGAGAAGCTTCTGAGAATGCTTCTGTCTAGTATTTAGGTGAAGATATTTCCTTTTCCACCACAAACCACAAAGCCCTCCAAACGTCCACTTGCAGATTCTAGAAAAAGAGTGTTTCATAGCTGCTCTTTCCAAAGGAAAGTTCAACTCTGGGAGTTGAATACAAACATCACCAAAAAGTTCCTGAGAATGCATCTGTCTAGTTTTTCTATGAAGCTATTCCCTTTACTACCACAGGCCTCAAAGCGCTCCAAATCTCCACTTGCACATTCCACAACAAGAGTGTTTCCAAACTGCTCTATCAATAGGAATGTTCAACTCTGTGAGGTGAATGCAATCATCACAAAGCAGTTTCTGAGAATGCTTCCGTTTAGTTAGGTGCAGTTATCCCGTTTCCAACGAAATCCTCAGAGAGGTCCAAATATCCACTTGTAGATTCTACAAAAAGTGTGTCTCAAACCTGCTCCATCCAAAGGAATGGTCAGCTCTGTGATTTAAACTCAATCATCACAAAGTATTTTCTGAGAATGCTTCTGTCTAGATTTTATGCGAAGATATACCCGTTTCGAACGAAGGCCACAGAGTGGTCCAAATAGCCACTTGCAGATCCTACAGAAAGAGTGTTTCAAACCTGAACTATCAAAGGAAGGTTCAACTCTGGGATTTGAATGCAAACATCACCAAGAAGTTTCTGAGAATGCTTCTGTTTAGTTTTTATGTGAAGATATTCCCGTTTCCAAAGACATCTTCGGAGAGGTCCACATATCCACTTGCAGATTCCACAAAAAGAGAGTTTCAACACTGCTCTATCCATAGGAGGGTTCAACTCTGTGAGTTGAATGCAATCATCACAGAGAAGTTTCTGAGAAGGCTTCTCTCCAGTTTTTATGTGACCATAATTCGTTTTCCACCACAGGCCTGAAAGCGCTCCAAATGTCCACTTGCAGACACTACGAAAAGCATGTTTCAGAACTACTCTATGAAAAGCAACGTGAAACTCTGGGAGTTGAACACAAACATCACGGAGAAGTTTCTGAGAATGCTTCTGTTTTAGTTCTGTGCGTTTTATCCCGTTTCCAACGAAATCCTCAGAGAGGCCCAAATATCCACTTGCAGATTCCACAGAAAGAGTGATTGGAAACTGCTGTTTGAAAAGGAACCTTCAACTCTGTGAGTTGAATGCAATCATCACAAAGAAGTTTCTGACAATGCTTCTGTTTTAGTTCTGTGCGGTTTATCCCGTTTCCAACGAAATCCTCAGAGAGGACCAAATATCCACTTGCAGTTTCTACAAAAAGAGTGTTTCAAAGCTGCACTATCAAAGAAAGGTTCAGCACTGTGAGTTGAATGCAAACATCACGAAGAGGGCTCTGAGAATGCTTCTGTTTAGTTCTGTGCGGTTTATCCCGTTTCCAACGAAATCCTCAGAGAGGACCAAATATCCACTTGCAGTTTCTACAAGAAGAGTGTTTCAAAGCTGAACTATCAAAGAAAGGTTCAGCACTGTGAGTTGAATGCAAACATCACGAAGAGGGTTCTGAGAATGCTTCTGTCTTCTTTCTATAGGAAGTTATTTCCTTTACTACGGTAGGCCTCAAAGAAGTGCAATTATCCCCTTGCAGTTTCTACAAAAAGAGTGTTTCAAACCTGAACTATCAAAGAAAGGTTCCACACTGTGAGTTGAATGCAGACATCACGAAGAAGGTTCCTGAGAATGCTTTCTGTTTAGTCAGCTGAAATTATCCCGTTTCCAACGAATTCCTCAGAGAGGTCCAAATATGCACTTGCAGATTCTGCAGAAAGTGTGTTTCTAAACTGCTACATCGCAAGGAATGTTCAGCTCTGTGAGTTCCACTCAATCATCCCAAAGAATTTTCTGAGAAAGCTTCTGTCTAGATGTCGTGTGAAGATATACCCGTTTCGAACGAAGGACACAGAGTGGTCCAAATATCCACTTGTAGATCCTGCAAAAAGAGTGTTTCAAACGTGAACTTTGAAAGGAAAGTTCAACTCTGGGATTTGAATGCAAACATCACAAAGAAGATTCTGAGACTGCTTCTGTATAGTTTTTATGTGAAGATGATTCCGTTTCCAACGAAATCTTCAAAGAGGTCTACATGTCCCCTTGCAGATGCCACAGAAAGAGAGTTTCAAAACTGCGCTCTCAAAAGGAGTGTTCAACTCCGTGAGTTGAATGCAGTCATCACAGAGAAGCTTCTGAGAATGCTTCTATCTAGTATTTAGGTGAAGATATTTCCTTTTCCACCACAAACCACAAAGCCCTCCAAACGTCCACTTGCAGATTCTAGAAAAAGAGTGTTTCATAGCTGCTCTTTCCAAAGGAAAGTTCAACTCTGGGAGTTGAATACAAACATCACCAAAAAGTTCCTGAGAATGCATCTGTCTAGTTTTTCTATGAAGCTATTCCCTTTACTACCACAGGCCTCAAAGCGCTCCAAATCTCCACTTGCACATTCCGCAACAAGAGTGTTTCCAAACTGCTCTATCAATAGGAATGTTCAACTCTGTGAGGTGAATGCAATCATCACAAAGCAGTTTCTGAGAATGCTTCCGTTTAGTTAGGTGCAGTTATCCCGTTTCCAACGAAATCCTCAGAGAGGTCCAAATATCCACTTGTAGATTCTACAAAAAGTGTGTCTCAAACCTGCTCCATCCAAAGGAATGTTCAGCTCTGTGATTTTAACTCAATCATCACAAAGTATTTTCTGAGAATGCTTCTGTCTAGATTTTATGCGAAGATATACCCGTTTCGAACGAAGGCCACAGAGTGGTCCAAATAGCCACTTGCAGATCCTACAAAAAGAGTGTTTCAAACCTGAACTATCAAAGGAAGGTTCAACTCTGGGATTTGAATGCAAACATCACCAAGAAGTTTCTGAGAATGCTTCTGTTTAGTTTTTATGTGAAGATATTCCCGTTTCCAAAGACATCTTCGGAGAGGTCCACATATCCACTTGCAGATTCCACAAAAAGAGAGTTTCAACACTGCTCTATCCATAGGGAGGGTTCAACTCTGTGAGTTGAATGCAATCATCACAGAGAAGTTTCTGAGAAGGCTTCTCTCCAGTTTTTATGGGACCATAATTCGTTTTCCACCACAGGCCTGAAAGCGCTCCAAATGTCCACTTGCAGACACTACGAAAAGCATGTTTCAGAACTACTCTATGAAAAGCAATGTGAAACTCTGGGAGTTGAACACAAACATCACAGAGAAGTTTCTGAGAATGCTTCTGTTTAGCTTTTCTGTGAAGATTCTCCCGTTTCCAACGAAATCTTCAAAGAGGTCCAAATATCCACTTGCAGATTCCACAGAAAGAGTGTTTGGAAACTGCTGTTTGTAAAGGAACCTTCATCTCTGTGAGTTGAATGCAATCATCACAAAGAAGTTTCTGACAATGCTTCTATCTAGCTTTTACGGGAAGTTAATTCCTTTTCCACCACAGGCCTCAAAGCCCTCCAAATGTCCACTTGCAGATTCTGGAAAAAGAGTGTTTCAAAGCTTCTCTCTCGAAAGGAAAGTTCAACTCTGTGAGTTGAGTGCAAGCATCACAAAGAAGTTTCTGAGAATGCTACTGTCTAGCTTTTATATGAAGCTATTTCCTTTACTACCATAGGCCTCAAAGCGGTCCATATCTCCACTTGCAGATTCTACAGAAAGAGAGTTTCCAAACTGCTCTGTCAAAGGGAATGTTCAACTCTGTGACTTGAATGCAATCATCACAAAGTAGTTTCTGAGAATGCTTCTGTTTAGTTCTGTGCGGTTTATCCCGTTTCCAGCGAAATCCTCAGAGAGGCCCAAATATCCACTTGCACATTCTACAAATAGTGTGTTTCGAAACTGCTCCATCCAAAGGAATGTTCAGCTCTGTGAGTTAAACTCAGTCGTCACCAAGAGTTTTACTGTGAATGCTATCTGTTTTAGTTCTGTGCGGGTTATCCCGTTTCCAACGAAATCCTCAGAGAGGTCCAAATATCTACTTGCAGTTTCTACAGAAAGACCGTTTCAAACCTGAACTATCAAAGAAAGGTTCAACACTGTGAGTTGAATGCAAACATCACGAAGAAGTTCTGAGAATGCTTCTGTTTAGTTCTGTGCAGTTTATCCCGTTTCCAACGAAATGCTCAGAGAGGACCAAATATCCACTTGCAGTTTCTACAAAAAGAGTGTTTCAAAGCTGAACTATCAAAGAAAGGTTCAGCACTGTGAGTTGAATGCAAACATCACGAAGAGGGTTCTGAGAATGCTTCTGTCTTCTTTTTATAGGAAGTTATTTCCTTTACTACGGTACTCCTCAAAGAGTGCAATTATCCCCTTGCAGTTTCTACAAAAAGAGTGTTTCAAACCTGAACTATCAAAGAAAGGTTCCACACTGTGAGTTGAATGCAGACATCATGAAGAAGGTTCTGAGAATGCTTCTGTTTAGTCAGCTGAAATTATCCCGTTTCCAACGAATTCCTCACAGAGGTCCAAATATGCACTTGCAGATTCTGCAGAAAGTGTGTTTCTAAACTGCTACATCGCAAGGAATGCTCAGCTCTGTGAGTTCAACTCAATCATCCCAAAGAATTTTCTGAGAAAGCTTCTGTCTAGATGTCATGTGAAGATATACCCGTTTCGAACGAAGGACACAGAGTGGTCCAAATATCCACTTGTAGATCCTGCAAAAAGAGTGTTTCAAACGTGAACTTTGAAAGGAAAGTTCAACTCGGGGATTTGAATGCAAACATCACAAAGAAGATTCTGAGACTGCTTCTGTATAGTTTTTATGTGAAGATGATTCCGTTTCCAACGAAATCTTCAAAGAGGTCTACATGTCCCCTTGCAGATGCCACAGAAAGAGAGTTTCAAAACTGCGCTCTCAAAAGGAGTGTTCAACTCCGTGAGTTGAATGCAGTCATCACAGAGAAGCTTCTGAGAATGCTTCTATCTAGTATTTAGGTGAAGATATTTCCTTTTCCACCACAAACCACAAAGCCCTCCAAACGTCCACTTGCAGATTCTAGAAAAAGAGTGTGTCATAGCTGCTCTTTCCAAAGGAAAGTTCAACTCTGGGAGTTGAATACAAACATCACCAAAAAGTTCCTGAGAATGCATCTGTCTAGTTTTTCTATAAAGCTATTCCCTTTACTACCATAGGCCTCAAAGCGCTCCAAATCTCCACTTGCACATTCCACAACAAGAGTGTTTCCAAACTGCTCTATCAATAGGAATGTTCAACTCTGTGAGGTGAATGCAATCATCACAAAGTAGTTTCTGAGAATGCTTCCGTTTAGTTAGGTGCAGTTATCCCGTTTCCAACGAAATCCTCAGAGAGGTCCAAATATCCACTTGTAGATTCTACAAAAAGTGTTTCTCAAACCTGCTCCATCCAAAGGAATGTTCAGCTCTGTGAGTTAAACTCAATCATCAGAAAGTATTTTCTGAGAATGCTTCTGTCTAGATTTTATGCGAAGATATACCCGTTTCGAACGAAGGCCACAGAGTGGTCCAAATAGCCACTTGCAGATCCTACAAAAAGAGTGTTTCAAACCTGAACTATCAAAGGAAGGTTCAACTCTGGGATTTGAATGCAAACATCACCAAGAAGTTTCCTGAGAATGCTTCTGTTTAGTTTTTATGTGAAGATATTCCCGTTTCCAAAGACATCTTCGGAGAGGTCCACATATCCACTTGCAGATTCCACAAAAAGAGAGTTTCAACACTGCTCTATCCATAGGAGGGTTCAACTCTGTGAGTTGAATGCAATCATCACAGAGAAGTTTCTGAGAAGGCTTCTCTCCAGTTTTTATGTGACCATAATTCGTTTTCCACCACAGGCCTGAAAGCGCTCCAAATGTCCACTTGTAGACACTACGAAAAGCATGTTTCAGAACTACTCTATGAAAAGCAATGTGAAACTCTTGGGAGTTGAACACAAACATCACAGAGAAGTTTCTGAGAATGCTTCTGTTTTAGTTCTGTGCGTTTTATCCCGTTTCCAACGAAATCCTCAGAGAGGCCCAAATATCCACTTGCAGATTCCACAGAAAGAGTGATTGGAAACTGCTGTTTGAAAAGGAACCTTCAACTCTGTGAGTTGAATGCAATCATCACAAAGAAGTTTCTGACAATGCTTCTATCTAGCTTTTACGGGAAGTTAATTACTTTTCCACCACAGGCCTCAAAGCCCTCCAAATGTCCACTTGCAGATTCTGGAAAAAGAGTGTTTCAAAGCTTCTCTCTCGAAAGGAAAGTTCAACTCTGTGAGTTGAATGCAAGCATCACAAAGAAGTTTCTGAGAATGCTACTGTCTAGCTTTTATATGAAGCTATTTCCTTTACTACCATAGGCCTCAAAGCGGTCCATATCTCCACTTGCAGATTCTACAGAAAGAGAGTTTCCAAACTGCTCTGTCAAAGGGAATGTTCAACTCTGTGACTTGAATGCAATCATCACAAAGTAGTTTCTGAGAATGCTTCTGTTTAGTTCTGTGCGGTTTATCCCGTTTCCAACGAAATCCTCAGAGAGGCCCAAATATCCACTTGCACATTCAACAAATAGTGTGTTTCGAAACTGCTCCATCCAAAGGAATGTTCAGCTCTGTGAGTTAAACTCAGTCGTCACCAAGAGTTTTCTGTGAATGCTTCTGTTTTAGTTCTGTGCGGGTTATCCCGTTTCCAACGAAATCCTCAGAGAGGTCCAAATATCTACTTGCAGTTTCTACAGAAAGACCGTTTCAAACCTGAACTATCAAAGAAAGGTTCAACACTGTGAGTTGAATGCAAACATCACGAAGAAGGTTCTGAGAATGCTTCTGTTTAGTTCTGTGCGGTTTATCCCGTTTCCAACGAAATCCTCAGAGAGGACCAAATATCCACTTGCAGTTTCTACAAGAAGAGTGTTTCAAAGCTGAACTATCAAAGAAAGGTTCAGCACTGTGAGTTGAATGCAGACATCACGAAGAGGGTTCTGAGAATGCTTCTGTCTTCTTTCTATAGGAAGTTATTTCCTTTACTACGGTAGGCCTCAAAGAAGTGCAATTATCCCCTTGCAGTTTCTACAAAAAGAGTGTTTCAAACCTGAACTATCAAAGAAAGGTTCCACACTGTGAGTTGATTGCAGACATCACGAAGAAGGTTCTGAGAATGCTTCTGTTTAGTCAGCTGAAATTATCCCGTTTCCAACGAATTCCTCAGAGAGGTCCAAATATGCACTTGCAGATTCTGCAGAAAGTGTGTTTCTAAACTGCTACATCGCAAGGAATGTTCAGCTCTGTGAGTTCCACTCAATCATCCCAAAGAATTTTCTGAGAAAGCTTCTGTCTAGATGTCATGTGAAGATATACCCGTTTCGAACGAAGGACACAGAGTGGTCCAAATATCCACTTGTAGATCCTGCAAAAAGAGTGTTTCAAACGTGAACTTTGAAAGGAAAGTTCAACTCTGGGATTTGAATGCAAACATCACAAAGAAGATTCTGAGACTGCTTCTGTATAGTTTTTATGTGAAGATGATTCCGTTTCCAACGAAATCTTCAAAGAGGTCTACATGTCCCCTTGCAGATGCCACAGAAAGAGAGTTTCAAAACTGCGCTCTCAAAAGGAGTGTTCAACTCCGTGAGTTGAATGCAGTCATCACAGAGAAGCTTCTGAGAATGCTTCTCTCTAGTATTTAGGTGAAGATATTTCCTTTTCCACCACAAACCACAAAGCCCTCCAAACGTCCACTTGCAGATTCTAGAAAAAGAGTGTTTCATAGCTGCTCTTTCCAAAGGAAAGTTCAACTCTGGGAGTTGAATACAAACATCACCAAAAAGTTCCTGAGAATGCATCTGTCTAGTTTTTCTATGAAGCTATTCCCTTTACTACCATAGACCTCAAAGCGCTCCAAATCTCCACTTGCACATTCCACAACAAGAGTGTTTCCAAACTGCTCTATCAATAGGAATGTTCAACTCTGTGAGGTGAATGCAATCATCACAAAGCAGTTTCTGAGAATGCTTCCGTTTAGTTAGGTGCAGTTATCCCGTTTCCAACGAAATCCTCAGAGAGGTCCAAATATCCACTTGTAGATTCTACAAAAAGTGTGTCTCAAACCTGCTCCATCCAAAGGAATGTTCAGCTCTGTGAGTTCAACTCAATCATCACAAAGTATTTTCTGAGAATGCTTCTGTCTAGATTTTATGCGAAGATGTACCCGTTTCGAACGAAGGCCACAGAGTGGTCCAAATATCCACTTGCAGATCCTACAAAAAGAGTGTTTCAAACCTGAACTCTCAAAGGAAGGTTCAACTCTGGGATTTGAATGCAAACATCACCAAGAAGTTTCTGAGAATGCTTCTGTTTAGTTTTTATGTGAAGATATTCCCGTTTCCAAAGACATCTTCGGAGAGGTCCACATATCCACTTGCAGATTCCACAAAAAGAGAGTTTCAACACTGCTCTATCCATAGGAGGGTTCAACTCTGTGAGTTGAATGCAATCATCACAGAGAAGTTTCTGAGAAGGCTTCTCTCCAGTTTCTATGTGACCATAATTCGTTTTCCACCACAGGCCTGAAAGCGCTCCAAATGTCCACTTGCAGACACTACGAAAAGCATGTTTCAGAACTACTCTATGAAAAGCAATGTGAAACTCTGGGAGTTGAACACAAACATCACAGAGAAGTTTCTGAGAATGCTTCTGTTTAGCTTTTCTGTGAAGATTATCCCGTTTCCAACGAAATCTTCAAAATAGGTCCAAATATCCACTTGCAGATTCCACAGAAAGAGTGATTGGAAACTGCTGTTTGAAAAGGAACCTTCAACTCTGTGAGTTGAATGCAATCATCACAAAGAAGTTTCTGACAATGCTTCTATCTAGCTTTTACGGGAAGATAATTCCTTTTCCACCACAGGCCTCAAAGCCCTCCAAATGTCCACTTGCACATTCTGGAAAAAGAGTGTTTCAAAGCTTCTCTCTCGAAAGGAAAGTTCAACTCTGTGAGTTGAATGCAAGCATCACAAAGAAGTTTCTGAGAATGCTACTGTCTAGCTTTTATATGAAGCTCTTTCCTTTACTACCATAGGCCTCAAAGCGGTCCATATCTCCACTTGCAGATTCTACACAAAGAGAGTTTCCAAACTGCTCTGTCAAAGGGAATGTTCAACTCTGTGACTTGAATGCAATCATCACAAATTAGTTTCTGAGAATGCTTCTGTTTTAGTTCTGTGCGTTTTATCCCGTTTCCAACGAAATCCTCAGAGAGGCCCAAATATCCACTTGCAGATTCTACAAATAGTGTGTTTCGAAACTGCTCCATCCAAAGGAATGTTCAGCTCTGTGAGTTAAATTCAGTCGTCACCAAGAGTTTTCTGTGAATGCTTCTGTTTTAGTTCTGTGCGGTTTATCCCGTTTCCAACGAAATCCTCAGAGAGGACCAAATATCCACTTGCAGTTTCTACAAAAAGAGTGTTTCAAAGCTGCACTATCAAAGAAAGGTTCAGCACTGTGAGTTGAATGCAAACATCACGAAGAGGGCTCTGAGAATTCTTCTGTTTAGTTCTGTGCGTTTTATCCCGTTTCCAACGAAATCCTCAGAGAGGACCAAATATCCACTTGCAGTTTCTACAAGAAGAGTGTTTCAAAGCTGAACTATCAAAGAAAGGTTCAGCACTGTGAGTTGAATGCAAACATCACGAAGAGGGTTCTGAGAATGCTTCTGTCTTCTTTTTATAGGAAGTTATTTCCTTTACTACGGTAGGCCTCAAAGAAGTGCAATTATCCCCTTGCAGTTTCTACAAAAAGAGTGTTTCAAACCTGAACTATCAAAGAAAGGTTCCACACTGTGAGTTGAATGCAGACATCACGAAGGAGGTTCTGAGAATGCTTCTGTTTAGTCAGCTGAAATTATCCCGTTTCCAACGAATTCCTCAGAGAGGTCCAAATATGCACTTGCAGATTCTGCAGAAAGTGTGTTTCTAAACTGCTACATCGCAAGGAATGTTCAGCTCTGTGAGTTCCACTCAATCATCCCAAAGAATTTTCTGAGAAAGCTTCTGTCTAGATGTCGTGTGAAGATATACCCGTTTCGAACGAAGGACACAGAGTGGTCCAAATATCCACTTGTAGATCCTGCAAAAAGAGTGTTTCAAACGTGAACTTTGAAAGGAAAGTTCAACTCTGGGATTTGAATGCAAACATCACAAAGAAGATTCTGAGACTGCTTCTGTATAGTTTTTATGTGAAGATGATTCCGTTTCCAACGAAATCTTCAAAGAGGTCTACATGTCCCCTTGCAGATGCCACAGAAAGAGAGTTTCAAAACTGCGCTCTCAAAAGGAGTGTTCAACTCCGTGAGTTGAATGCAGTCATCACAGAGAAGCTTCTGAGAATGCTTCTATCTAGTATTTAGGTGAAGATATTTCCTTTTCCACCACAAACCACAAAGCCCTCCAAACGTCCACTTGCAGATTCTAGAAAAAGGGTGTTTCATAGCTGCTCTTTCCAAAGGAAAGTTCAACTCTGGGAGTTGAATACAAACATCACCAAAAAGTTCCTGAGAATGCATCTGTCTAGTTTTTCTATGAAGCTATTCCCTTTACTACCATAGGCCTCAAAGCGCTCCAAATCTCCACTTGCACATTCCACAACAAGAGTGTTTCCAAACTGCTCTATCAATAGGAATGGTCAACTCTGTGAGGTGAATGCAATCATCACAAAGCAGTTTCTGAGAATGCTTCCACTTAGTTAGGTGCAGTTATCCCGTTTCCAACGAAATCCTCAGAGAGGTCCAAATATCCACTTGTAGATTCTACAAAAAGTGTGTCTCAAGCCTGCTCCATCCAAAGGAATGTTCAGCTCTGTGAGTTAAACTCAATCATCACAAAGTATTTTCTGAGAATGCTTCTGTCTAGATTTTATGCGAAGATATACCCGTTTCGAACGAAGGCCACAGAGTGGTCCAAATAGCCACTTGCAGATCCTACAGAAAGAGTGTTTCAAACCTGAACTATCAAAGGAAGGTTCAACTCTGGGATTTGAATGCAAACATCACCAAGAAGTTTCTGAGAATGCTTCTGTTTAGTTTTTATGTGAAGATATTCCCGTTTCCAAAGACATCTTCGGAGAGGTCCACATATCCACTTGCAGATTCCACAAAAAGAGAGTTTCAACACTGCTCTATCCATAGGAGGGTTCAACTCTGTGAGTTGAATGCAATCATCACAGAGAAGTTTCTGAGAAGGCTTCTCTCCAGTTTTTATGTGACCATAATTCGTTTTCCACCACAGGCCTGAAAGCGCTCCAAATGTCCACTTGCAGACACTACGAAAAGCATGTTTCAGAACTACTCTATGAAAAGCAACGTGAAACTCTGGGAGTTGAACACAAACATCACAGAGAAGTTTCTGAGAATGCTTCTGTTTTAGTTCTGTGCGTTTTATCCCGTTTCCAACGAAATCCTCAGAGAGGCCCAAATATCCACTTGCAGATTCCACAGAAAGAGTGATTGGAAACTGCTGTTTGAAAAGGAACCTTCAACTCTGTGAGTTGAATGCAATCATCACAAAGAAGTTTCTGACAATGCTTCTGTTTTAGTTCTGTGCGGTTTATCCCGTTTCCAACGAAATCCTCAGAGAGGACCAAACATCCACTTGCAGTTTCTACAAAAAGAGTGTTTCAAAGCTGCACTATCAAAGAAAGGTTCAGCACTGTGAGTTGAATGCAAACATCACGAAGAGGGCTCTGAGAATTCTTCTGTTTAGTTCTGTGCGGTTTATCCCGTTTCCAACGAAATCCTCAGAGAGGACCAAATATCCACTTGCAGTTTCTACAAGAAGAGTGTTTCAAAGCTGAACTATCAAAGAAAGGTTCAGCACTGTGAGTTGAATGCAAACATCACGAAGAGGGTTCTGAGAATGCTTCTGTCTTCTTTCTATAGGAAGTTATTTCCTTTACTACGGTAGGCCTCAAAGAAGTGCAATTATCCCCTTGCAGTTTCTACAAAAAGAGTGTTTCAAACCTGAACTATCAAAGAAAGGTTCCACACTGTGAGTTGAATGCAGACATCACGAAGAAGGTTCTGAGAATGCTTCTGTTTAGTCAGCTGAAATTATCCCGTTTCCAACGAATTCCTCAGAGAGGTCCAAATATGCACTTGCAGATTCTGCAGAAAGTGTGTTTCTAAACTGCTACATCGCAAGGAATGTTCAGCTCTGTGAGTTCCACTCAATCATCCCAAAGAATTTTCTGAGAAAGCTTCTGTCTAGATGTCGTGTGAAGATATACCCGTTTCGAACGAAGGACACAGAGTGGTCCAAATATCCACTTGTAGATCCTGCAAAAAGAGTGTTTCAAACGTGAACTTTGAAAGGAAAGTTCAACTCTGGGATTTGAATGCAAACATCACAAAGAAGATTCTGAGACTGCTTCTGTATAGTTTTTATGTGAAGATGATTCCGTTTCCAAAGAAATCTTCAAAGAGGTCTACATGTCCCCTTGCAGATGCCACAGAAAGAGAGTTTCAAAACTGCGCTCTCAAAAGGAGTGTTCAACTCCGTGAGTTGAATGCAGTCATCACAGAGAAGCTTCTGAGGATGCTTCTATCTAGTATTTAGGTGAAGATATTTCCTTTTCCACCACAAACCACAAAGCCCTCCAAACGTCCACTTGCAGATTCTAGAAAAAGAGTGTTTCATAGCTGCTCTTTCCAAAGGAAAGTTCAACTCTGGGAGTTGAATACAAACATCACCAAAAAGTTCCTGAGAATGCATCTGTCTAGTTTTTCTATGAAGCTATTCCCTTTACTACCATAGGCCTCAAAGCGCTCCAAATCTCCACTTGCACATTCCACAACAAGAGTGTTTCCAAACTGCTCTATCAATAGGAATGTTCAACTCTGTGAGGTGAATGCAATCATCACAAAGCAGTTTCTGAGAATGCTTCCGTTTAGTTAGGTGCAGTTATCCCGTTTCCAACGAAATCCTCAGAGAGGTCCAAATATCCACTTGTAGATTCTACAAAAAGTGTGTCTCAAACCTGCTCCATCCAAAGGAATGGTCAGCTCTGTGATTTAAACTCAATCATCACAAAGTATTTTCTGAGAATGCTTCTGTCTAGATTTTATGCGAAGATATACCCGTTTCGAACGAAGGCCACAGAGTGGTCCAAATAGCCACTTGCAGATCCTACAAAAAGAGTGTTTCAAACCTGAACTATCAAAGGAAGGTTCAACTCTGGGATTTGAATGCAAACATCACCAAGAAGTTTCTGAGAATGCTTCTGTTTAGTTTTTATGTGAAGATATTCCCGTTTCCAAAGACATCTTCGGAGAGGTCCACATATCCACTTGCAGATTCCACAAAAAGAGAGTTTCAACACTGCTCTATCCATAGGAGGGTTCAACTCTGTGAGTTGAATGCAATCATCACAGAGAAGTTTCTGAGAAGGCTTCTCTCCAGTTTTTATGTGACCATAATTCGTTTTCCACCACAGGCCTGAAAGCGCTCCAAATGTCCACTTGCAGACACTACGAAAAGCATGTTTCAGAACTACTCTATGAAAAGCAACGTGAAACTCTGGGAGTTGAACACAAACATCACAGAGAAGTTTCTGAGAATGCTTCTGTTTTAGTTCTGTGCGTTTTATCCCGTTTCCAACGAAATCCTCAGAGAGGCCCAAATATCCACTTGCAGATTCCACAGAAAGAGTGATTGGAAACTGCTGTTTGAAAAGGAACCTTCAACTCTGTGAGTTGAATGCAATCATCACAAAGAAGTTTCTGACAATGCTTCTGTTTTAGTTCTGTGCGGTTTATCCCGTTTCCAACGAAATCCTCAGAGAGGACCAAACATCCACTTGCAGTTTCTACAAAAAGAGTGTTTCAAAGCTGCACTATCAAAGAAAGGTTCAGCACTGTGAGTTGAATGCAAACATCACGAAGAGGGCTCTGAGAATTCTTCTGTTTAGTTCTGTGCGGTTTATCCCGTTTCCAACGAAATCCTCAGAGAGGACCAAATATCCACTTGCAGTTTCTACAAGAAGAGTGTTTCAAAGCTGAACTATCAAAGAAAGGTTCAGCACTGTGAGTTGAATGCAAACATCACGAAGAGGGTTCTGAGAATGCTTCTGTCTTCTTTCTATAGGAAGTTATTTCCTTTACTACGGTAGGCCTCAAAGAAGTGCAATTATCCCCTTGCAGTTTCTACAAAAAGAGTGTTTCAAACCTGAACTATCAAAGAAAGGTTCCACACTGTGAGTTGAATGCAGACATCACGAAGAAGGTTCTGAGAATGCTTCTGTTTAGTCAGCTGAAATTATCCCGTTTCCAACGAATTCCTCAGAGAGGTCCAAATATGCACTTGCAGATTCTGCAGAAAGTGTGTTTCTAAACTGCTACATCGCAAGGAATGTTCAGCTCTGTGAGTTCCACTCAATCATCCCAAAGAATTTTCTGAGAAAGCTTCTGTCTAGATGTCGTGTGAAGATATACCCGTTTCGAACGAAGGACACAGAGTGGTCCAAATATCCACTTGTAGATCCTGCAAAAAGAGTGTTTCAAACGTGAACTTTGAAAGGAAAGTTCAACTCTGGGATTTGAATGCAAACATCACAAAGAAGATTCTGAGACTGCTTCTGTATAGTTTTTATGTGAAGATGATTCCGTTTCCAACGAAATCTTCAAAGAGGTCTACATGTCCCCTTGCAGATGCCACAGAAAGAGAGTTTCAAAACTGCGCTCTCAAAAGGAGTGTTCAACTCCGTGAGTTGAATGCAGTCATCACAGAGAAGCTTCTGAGAATGCTTCTATCTAGTATTTAGGTGAAGATATTTCCTTTTCCACCACAAACCACAAAGCCCTCCAAACGTCCACTTGCAGATTCTAGAAAAAGAGTGTTTCATAGCTGCTCTTTCCAAAGGAAAGTTCAACTCTGGGAGTTGAATACAAACATCACCAAAAAGTTCCTGAGAATGCATCTGTCTAGTTTTTCTATGAAGCTATTCCCTTTACTACCATAGGCCTCAAAGCGCTCCAAATCTCCACTTGCACATTCCACAACAAGAGTGTTTCCAAACTGCTCTATCAATAGGAATGTTCAACTCTGTGAGGTGAATGCAATCATCACAAAGCAGTTTCTGAGAATGCTTCCGTTTAGTTAGGTGCAGTTATCCCGTTTCCAACGAAATCCTCAGAGAGGTCCAAATATCCACTTGTAGATTCTACAAAAAGTGTGTCTCAAACCTGCTCCATCCAAAGGAATGGTCAGCTCTGTGATTTAAACTCAATCATCACAAAGTATTTTCTGAGAATGCTTCTGTCTAGATTTTATGCGAAGATATACCCGTTTCGAACGAAGGCCACAGAGTGGTCCAAATAGCCACTTGCAGATCCTACAGAAAGAGTGTTTCAAACCTGAACTATCAAAGGAAGGTTCAACTCTGGGATTTGAATGCAAACATCACCAAGAAGTTTCTGAGAATGCTTCTGTTTAGTTTTTATGTGAAGATATTCCCGTTTCCAAAGACATCTTCGGAGAGGTCCACATATCCACTTGCAGATTCCACAAAAAGAGAGTTTCAACACTGCTCTATCCATAGGAGGGTTCAACTCTGTGAGTTGAATGCAATCATCACAGAGAAGTTTCTGAGAAGGCTTCTCTCCAGTTTTTATGTGACCATAATTCGTTTTCCACCACAGGCCTGAAAGCGCTCCAAATGTCCACTTGCAGACACTACGAAAAGCATGTTTCAGAACTACTCTATGAAAAGCAACGTGAAACTCTGGGAGTTGAACACAAACATCACAGAGAAGTTTCTGAGAATGCTTCTGTTTTAGTTCTGTGCGTTTTATCCCGTTTCCAACGAAATCCTCAGAGAGGCCCAAATATCCACTTGCAGATTCCACAGAAAGAGTGATTGGAAACTGCTGTTTGAAAAGGAACCTTCAACTCTGTGAGTTGAATGCAATCATCACAAAGAAGTTTCTGACAATGCTTCTGTTTTAGTTCTGTGCGGTTTATCCCGTTTCCAACGAAATCCTCAGAGAGGACCAAATATCCACTTGCAGTTTCTACAAAAAGAGTGTTTCAAAGCTGCACTATCAAAGAAAGGTTCAGCACTGTGAGTTGAATGCAAACATCACGAAGAGGGCTCTGAGAATTCTTCTGTTTAGTTCTGTGCGGTTTATCCCGTTTCCAACGAAATCCTCAGAGAGGACGAAATATCCACTTGCAGTTTCTACAAGAAGAGTGTTTCAAAGCTGAACTATCAAAGAAAGGTTCAGCACTGTGAGTTGAATGCAAACATCACGAAGAGGATTCTGAGAATGCTTCTGTCTTCTTTCTATAGGAAGTTATTTCCTTTATTACGGTAGGCCTCAAAGAAGTGCAATTATCCCCTTGCAGTTTCTACAAAAAGAGTGTTTCAAACCTGAACTATCAAAGAAAGGTTCCACACTGTGAGTTGAATGCAGACATCACGAAGAAGGTTCTGAGAATGCTTCTGTTTAGTCAGCTGAAATTATCCCGTTTCCAACGAATTCCTCAGAGAGGTCCAAATATGCACTTGCAGATTCTGCAGAAAGTGTGTTTCTAAACTGCTACATCGCAAGGAATGTTCAGCTCTGTGAGTTCCACTCAATCATCCCAAAGAATTTTCTGAGAAAGCTTCTGTCTAGATGTCGTGTGAAGATATACCCGTTTCGAACGAAGGACACAGAGTGGTCCAAATATCCACTTGTAGATCCTGCAAAAAGAGTGTTTCAAACGTGAACTTTGAAAGGAAAGTTCAACTCTGGGATTTGAATGCAAACATCACAAAGAAGATTCTGAGACTGCTTCTGTATAGTTTTTATGTGAAGATGATTCCGTTTCCAACGAAATCTTCAAAGAGGTCTACATGTCCCCTTGCAGATGCCACAGAAAGAGAGTTTCAAAACTGCGCTCTCAAAAGGAGTGTTCAACTCCGTGAGTTGAATGCAGTCATCACAGAGAAGCTTCTGAGAATGCTTCTATCTAGTATTTAGGTGAAGATATTTCCTTTTCCACCACAAACCACAAAGCCCTCCAAACGTCCACTTGCAGATTCTAGAAAAAGAGTGTTTCATAGCTGCTCTTTCCAAAGGAAAGTTCAACTCTGGGAGTTGAATACAAACATCACCAAAAAGTTCCTGAGAATGCATCTGTCTAGTTTTTCTATGAAGCTATTCCTTTTACTACCATAGGCCTCAAAGCGCTCCAAATCTCCACTTGCACATTCCACAACAAGAGTGTTTCCAAACTGCTCTATCAATAGGAATGTTCAACTCTGTGAGGTGAATGCAATCATCACAAAGCAGTTTCTGAGAATGCTTCCGTTTAGTTAGGTGCAGTTATCGCGTTTCCAACGAAATCCTCAGAGAGGTCCCAATATCCACTTGTAGATTCTACAAAAAGTGTGTCTCAAACCTGCTCCATCCAAAGGAATGTTCAGCTCCGTGAGTTAAACTCAATCATCACAAAGTATTTTCTGAGAATGCTTCTGTCTAGATTTTATGTGAAGATGTACCCGTTTCGGACGAAGGCCACAGAGTGGTCCAAATATCCACTTGCAGATCCTACAAAAAGAGTGTTTCAAACCTGAACTATCACAGGAAGGTTCAACTCTGGGATTTGAATGCAAACATCACCAAGAAGTTTCTGAGAATGCTTCTGTTTAGTTTTTATGTGAAGATATTCCCGTTTCCAAAGACATCTTCGGAGAGGTCCACATATCCACTTGCAGATTCCACAAAAAGAGAGTTTCAACAATGCTCTATCCATAGGAGGGTTCAAATCTGTGAGTTGAATGCAATCATCACAGAGAAGTTTCTGAGAAGGCTTCTCTCCAGTTTTTATGGGACCATAATTCGTTTTCCACCACAGGCCTGAAAGCGCTCCAAATGTCCACTTGCAGACACTACGAAAAGCATGTTTCAGAACTACTCTATGAAAAGCAATGTGAAACTCTGGGAGTTGAACACAAACATCACAGAGAAGTTTCTGAGAATGCTTCTGTTTAGCTTTTCTGTGAAGATTCTCCCGTTTCCAACGAAATCTTCAAAGAGGTCCAAATATCCACTTGCAGATTCCACAGAAAGGGTGTTTGGAAACTGCTGTATGTAAAGGAACCTTCATCTCTGTGAGTTGAATGCAATCATCACAAAGAAGTTTCTGACAATGCTTCTATCTAGCTTTTACGGGAAGTTAATTCCTTTTCCACCACAGGCCTCAAAGCCCTCCAAAGGTCCACTTGCAGATTCTGGAAAAAGAGTGTTTCAAAGCTTCTCTCTCGAAAGGAAAGTTCAACTCTGTGAGTTGAATGCAAGCATCACAAAGAAGTTTCTGAGAATGCTACTGTCTAGCTTTTATATGAAGCTATTTCCTTTACTACCATAGGCTTCAAAGCGGTCCATATCTCCACTTGCAGATTCTACACAAAGAGAGTTTCCAAACTGCTCTGTCAAAGGGAATGTTCAACTCTGTGACTTGAATGCAATCATCACAAAGTAGTTTCTGAGAATGCTTCTGTTTAGTTCTGGGCAGTTTATCCCGTTTCCAACAAAATCCTCAGAGAGGCCCAAATATCCACTTGCACATTCTACAAATAGTGTGTTTCGAAACTGCTCCATCCAAAGGAATGTTCAGCTCTGTGGGTTAAACTCAGTCGTCACCAAGAGTTTTCTGTGAATGCTTCTGTTTTAGTTCTGTGCGGTTTATCCCGTTTCCAACGAAATCCTCAGAGAGGTCCAAATATCTACTTGCAGTTTCTACAGAAAGACCGTTTCAAACCTGAACTATCAAAGAAAGGTTCAACACTGTGAGTTGAATGCAAACATCACGAAGAAGGTTCTGAGAATGCTTCTGTTTAGTTCTGTGCGGTTTATCCCGTTTCCAACGAAATCCTCAGAGAGGACCAAATATCCACTTGCAGTTTCTACAAAAAGAGTGTTTCAAAGCTGAACTATCAAAGAAAGGTTCAGCACCGTGAGTTGAATGCAAACATCACGAAGAGGGTTCTGAGAATGCTTCTGTCTTCTTTTTATAGGAAGTTATTTCCTTTACTACGGTAGGCCTCAAAGAAGTGCAATGATCCCCTTGCAGTTTCTACAAAAAGAGTGTTTCAAACCTGAACTATCAAAGAAAGGTTCCACACTGTGAGTTGAATGCAGACATCACGAAGAAGGTTCTGAGAATGCTTCTGTTTAGTCAGCTGAAATTATCCCGTTTCCAACGAATTCCTCAGAGAGGTCCACATATGCACTTGCAGATTCTGCAGAAAGGGTGTTTCTAAACTGCTACATCGCAAGGAGTGTTCAGCTCTGTTTGCTCAACTCAATCATCCCAAAGAATTTTCTGAGAAAGCTTCTGTCTAGATGTCATGTGAAGATATACCCGTTTCGAACGAAGGACACAGAGTGGTCCAAATATCCACTTGTAGATCCTGCAAAAAGAGTGTTTCAAACGTGAACTTTGAAAGGAAAGTTCAACTCTGGGATTTGAATGCAAACATCACAAAGAAGATTCTGAGACTGCTTCTGTATAGTTTGTATGTGAAGATGATTCCGTTTCCAACGAAATCTTCAGAGAGGTCTACATGTCCCCTTGCAGATGCCACAGAAAGAGAGTTTCAAAACTGCACTCTCAAAAGGAGTGTTCAACTCCGTGAGTTGAATGCAGTCATCACAGAGAAGCTTCTGAGAATGCTTCTATCTAGTATTTAGGTGAAGATATTTCCTTTTCCACCACAAACCACAAAGCCCTCCAAACGTCCACTTGCAGATTCTAGAAAAAGAGTGTTTCATAGCTGCTCTTTCCAAAGGAAAGTTCAACTCTGGGAGTTGAATACAAACATCACCAAAAAGTTCCTGAGAATGCATCTGTCTAGTTTTTCTATGAAGCTATTCCCTTTACTACCATAGGCCCCAAAGCGCTCCAAATCTCCACTTGCACATTCCACAAGAAGAGTGTTTCCAAACTGCTCTATCAATACGAATGTTCAACTCTGTGAGGTGAATGCAATCATCACAAAGCAGTTTCTGAGAATGCTTCCGTTTAGTTAGGTGCAGTTATCCCGTTTCCAACGAAATCCTCAGAGAGGTCCAAATATCCACTTGTAGATTCTACAAAAAGTGTGTCTCAAACCTGCTCCATCCAAAGGAATGGTCAGCTCTGTGATTTAAACTCAATCATCACAAAGTATTTTCTGAGAATGCTTCTCTCCAGTTTTTATGTGACCATAATTCGTTTTCCACCACAGGCCTGAAAGCGCTCCAAATGTCCACTTGCAGACACTACGAAAAGCATGTTTCAGAACTACTCTATGAAAAGCAACGTGAAACTCTGGGAGTTGAACACAAACATCACAGAGAAGTTTCTGAGAATGCTTCTGTTTTAGTTCTGTGCGTTTTATCCCGTTTCCAACGAAATCCTCAGAGAGGCCCAAATATCCACTTGCAGATTCCACAGAAAGAGTGATTGGAAACTGCTGTTTGAAAAGGAACCTTCAACTCTGTGAGTTGAATGCAATCATCACAAAGAAGTTTCTGACAATGCTTCTGTTTTAGTTCTGTGCGGTTTATCCCGTTTCCAACGAAATCCTCAGAGAGGACCAAACATCCACTTGCAGTTTCTACAAAAAGAGTGTTTCAAAGCTGCACTATCAAAGAAAGGTTCAGCACTGTGAGTTGAATGCAAACATCACGAAGAGGGCTCTGAGAATTCTTCTGTTTAGTTCTGTGCGGTTTATCCCGTTTCCAACGAAATCCTCAGAGAGGACCAAATATCCACTTGCAGTTTCTACAAGAAGAGTGTTTCAAAGCTGAACTATCAAAGAAAGGTTCAGCACTGTGAGTTGAATGCAAACATCACGAAGAGGGTTCTGAGAATGCTTCTGTCTTCTTTCTATAGGAAGTTATTTCCTTTACTACGGTAGGCCTCAAAGAAGTGCAATTATCCCCTTGCAGTTTCTACAAAAAGAGTGTTTCAAACCTGAACTATCAAAGAAAGGTTCCACACTGTGAGTTGAATGCAGACATCACGAAGAAGGTTCTGAGAATGCTTCTGTTTAGTCAGCTGAAATTATCCCGTTTCCAACGAATTCCTCAGAGAGGTCCAAATATGCACTTGCAGATTCTGCAGAAAGTGTGTTTCTAAACTGCTACATCGCAAGGAATGTTCAGCTCTGTGAGTTCCACTCAATCATCCCAAAGAATTTTCTGAGAAAGCTTCTGTCTAGATGTCGTGTGAAGATATACCCGTTTCGAACGAAGGACACAGAGTGGTCCAAATATCCACTTGTAGATCCTGCAAAAAGAGTGTTTCAAACGTGAACTTTGAAAGGAAAGTTCAACTCTGGGATTTGAATGCAAACATCACAAAGAAGATTCTGAGACTGCTTCTGTATAGTTTTTATGTGAAGATGATTCCGTTTCCAACGAAATCTTCAAAGAGGTCTACATGTCCCCTTGCAGATGCCACAGAAAGAGAGTTTCAAAACTGCGCTCTCAAAAGGAGTGTTCAACTCCGTGAGTTGAATGCAGTCATCACAGAGAAGCTTCTGAGAATGCTTCTATCTAGTATTTAGGTGAAGATATTTCCTTTTCCACCACAAACCACAAAGCCCTCCAAACGTCCACTTGCAGATTCTAGAAAAAGAGTGTTTCATAGCTGCTCTTTCCAAAGGAAAGTTCAACTCTTGGGAGTTGAATACAAACATCACCAAAAAGTTCCTGAGAATGCATCTGTCTAGTTTTTCTATGAAGCTATTCCCTTTACTACCATAGGCCTCAAAGCGCTCCAAATCTCCACTTGCACATTCCACAACAAGAGTGTTTCCAAACTGCTCTATCAATAGGAATGTTCAACTCTGTGAGGTGAATGCAACCATCACAAAGCAGTTTCTGAGAATGCTTCCGTTTAGTTAGGTGCAGTTATCCCGTTTCCAACGAAATCCTCAGAGAGGTCCAAATATCCACTTGTAGATTCTACAAAAAGTGTGTCTCAAACCTGCTCCATCCAAAGGAATGGTCAGCTCTGTGATTTAAACTCAATCATCACAAAGTATTTTCTGAGAATGCTTCTGTCTAGATTTTATGCGAAGATATACCCGTTTCGAACGAAGGCCACAGAGTGGTCCAAATAGCCACTTGCAGATCCTACAAAAAGAGTGTTTCAAACCTGAACTATCAAAGGAAGGTTCAACTCTGGGATTTGAATGCAAACATCACCAAGAAGTTTCTGAAAATGCTTCTGTTTAGTTTTTATGTGAAGATATTCCCGTTTCCAAAGACATCTTCGGAGAGGTCCACATATCCACTTGCAGATTCCACAAAAAGAGAGTTTCAACACTGCTCTATCCATAGGGAGGGTTCAACTCTGTGAGTTGAATGCAATCATCACAGAGAAGTTTCTGAGAAGGCTTCTCTCCAGTTTTTATGTGACCATAATTCGTTTTCCACCACAGGCCTGAAAGCGCTCCAAATGTCCACTTGTAGACACTACGAAAAGCATGTTTCAGAACTACTCTATGAAAAGCAATGTGAAACTCTGGGAGTTGAACACAAACATCACAGAGAAGTTTCTGAGAATGCTTCTGTTTTAGTTCTGTGCGTTTTATCCCGTTTCCAACGAAATCCTCAGAGAGGCCCAAATATCCACTTGCAGATTCCACAGAAAGAGTGATTGGAAACTGCTGTTTGAAAAGGAACCTTCAACTCTGTGAGTTGAATGCAATCATCACAAAGAAGTTTCTGACAATGCTTCTGTTTTAGTTCTGTGCGGTTTATCCCGTTTCCAACGAAATCCTCAGAGAGGACCAAACATCCACTTGCAGTTTCTACAAAAAGAGTGTTTCAAAGCTGCACTATCAAAGAAAGGTTCAGCACTTGTGAGTTGAATGCAAACATCACGAAGAGGGCTCTGAGAATTCTTCTGTTTAGTTCTGTGCGGTTTATCCCGTTTCCAACGAAATCCTCAGAGAGGACCAAATATCCACTTGCAGTTTCTACAAGAAGAGTGTTTCAAAGCTGAACTATCAAAGAAAGGTTCAGCACTGTGAGTTGAATGCAAACATCACGAAGAGGGTTCTGAGAATGCTTCTGTCTTCTTTCTATAGGAAGTTATTTCCTTTACTACGGTAGGCCTCAAAGAAGTGCAATTATCCCCTTGCAGTTTCTACAAAAAGAGTGTTTCAAACCTGAACTATCAAAGAAAGGTTCCACACTGTGAGTTGAATGCAGACATCACGAAGAAGGTTCTGAGAATGCTTCTGTTTAGTCAGCTGAAATTATCCCGTTTCCAACGAATTCCTCAGAGAGGTCCAAATATGCACTTGCAGATTCTGCAGAAAGTGTGTTTCTAAACTGCTACATCGCAAGGAATGTTCAGCTCTGTGAGTTCCACTCAATCATCCCAAAGAATTTTCTGAGAAAGCTTCTGTCTAGATGTCGTGTGAAGATATACCCGTTTCGTACGAAGGACACAGAGTGGTCCAAATATCCACTTGTAGATCCTGCAAAAAGAGTGTTTCAAACGTGAACTTCGAAAGGAAAGTTCAACTCTGGGATTTGAATGCAAACATCACAAAGAAGATTCTGAGACTGCTTCTGTATAGTTTTTATGTGAAGATGATTCCGTTTCCAACGAAATCTTCAAAGAGGTCTACATGTCCCCTTGCAGATGCCACAGAAAGAGAGTTTCAAAACTGCGCTCTCAAAAGGAGTGTTCAACTCCGTGAGTTGAATGCAGTCATCACAGAGAAGCTTCTGAGAATGCTTCTATCTAGTATTTAGGTGAAGATATTTCCTTTTCCACCACAAACCACAAAGCCCTCCAAACGTCCACTTGCAGATTCTAGAAAAAGAGTGTTTCATAGCTGCTCTTTCCAAAGGAAAGTTCAACTCTGGGAGTTGAATACAAACATCACCAAAAAGTTCCTGAGAATGCATCTGTCTAGTTTTTCTATGAAGCTATTCCCTTTACTACCATAGGCCTCAAAGCGCTCCAAATCTCCACTTGCACATTCCACAACAAGAGTGTTTCCAAACTGCTCTATCAATAGGAATGTTCAACTCTGTGAGGTGAATGCAATCATCACAAAGCAGTTTCTGAGAATGCTTCCGTTTAGTTAGGTGCAGTTATCCCGTTTCCAACGAAATCCTCAGAGAGGTCCAAATATCCACTTGTAGATTCTACAAAAAGTGTGTCTCAAACCTGCTCCATCCAAAGGAATGTTCAGCTCTGTGATTTAAACTCAATCATCACAAAGTATTTTCTGAGAATGCTTCTGTCTAGATTTTATGCGAAGATATACCCGTTTCGAACGAAGGCCACAGAGTGGTCCAAATAGCCACTTGCAGATCCTACAAAAAGAGTGTTTCAAACCTGAACTATCAAAGGAAGGTTCAACTCTGGGATTTGAATGCAAACATCACCAAGAAGTTTCTGAGAATGCTTCTGTTTAGTTTTTATGTGAAGATATTCCCGTTTCCAAAGACATGTTCGGAGAGGTCCACATATCCACTTGCAGATTCCACAAAAAGAGAGTTTCAACACTGCTCTATCCATAGGAGGGTTCAACTCTGTGAGTTGAATGCAATCATCACAGAGAAGTTTCTGAGAAGGCTTCTCTCCAGTTTTTATGTGACCATAATTCGTTTTCCACCACAGGCCTGAAAGCGCTCCAAATGTCCACTTGCAGACACTACGAAAAGCATGTTTCAGAACTACTCTATGAAAAGCAACGTGAAACTCTGGGAGTTGAACACAAACATCACAGAGAAGTTTCTGAGAATGCTTCTGTTTAGCTTTTCTGTGAAGATTATCCCGTTTCCAACGAAATCTTCAAAATAGGTCCAAATATCCACTTGCAGATTCCACAGAAAGAGTGATTGGAAACTGCTGTTTGAAAAGGAACCTTCAACTCTGTGAGTTGAATGCAATCATCACAAAGAAGTTTCTGACAGTGCTTCTATCTAGCTTTTACGGGAAGATAATTCCTTTTCCACCACAGGCCTCAAAGCCCTCCAAATGTCCACTTGCAGATTCTGGAAAAAGAGTGTTTCAAAGCTTCTCTCTCGAAAGGAAAGTTCAACTCTGTGAGTTGAATGCAAGCATCACAAAGAAGTTTCTGAGAATGCTACTGTCTAGCTTTTATATGAAGCTATTTCCTTTACTACCATAGGCCTCAAAGCGGTCCATATCTCCACTTGCAGATTCTACACAAAGAGAGTTTCCAAACTGCTCTGTCAAAGGGAATGTTCAACTCTGTGACTTGAATGCAATCATCACAAAGTAGTTTCTGAGAATGCTTCTGTTTAGTTCTGTGCGGTTTATCCCGTTTCCAACGAAATCCTCAGAGAGGCCCAAATATCCACTTGCACATTCTACAAATAGTGTGTTTCGAAACTGCTCCATCCAAAGGAATGTTCAGCTCTGTGAGTTAAACTCAGTCGTCACCAAGAGTTTTCTGTGAATGCTTCTGTTTTAGTTCTGTGCGGGTTATCCCGTTTCCAACGAAATCCTCAGAGAGGTCCAAATATCTACTTGCAGTTTCTACAGAAAGACCGTTTCAAACCTGAGCTATCAAAGAAAGGTTCAACACTGTGAGTTGAATGCAAACATCACGAAGAAGGTTCTGAGAATGCTTCTGTTTAGTTCTGTGCAGTTTATCCCGTTTCCAACGAAATCCTCAGAGAGGACCAAATATCCACTTGCAGTTTCTACAAAAAGAGTGTTTCAAAGCTGAACTATCAAAGAAAGGTTCAGCACTGTGAGTTGAATGCAAACATCACGAAGAGGGTTCTGAGAATGCTTCTGTCTTCTTTTTATAGGAAGTTATTTCCTTTACTACGGTACTCCTCAAAGAGTGCAATTATCCCCTTGCAGTTTCTACAGAAAGAGTGTTTCAAACCTGAACTATCAAAGAAAGGTTCCACACTGTGAGTTGAATGCAGACATCACGAAGAAGGTTCTGAGAATGCTTCTGTTTAGTCAGCTGAAATTATCCCGTTTCCAACGAATTCCTCACAGTAGGTCCAAATATGCACTTGCAGATTCTGCAGAAAGTGTGTTTCTAAACTGCTACATCGCAAGGAATGCTCAGCTCTGTGAGTTCTACTCAATCATCCCAAAGAATTTTCTGAGAAAGCTTCTGTCTAGATGTCATGTGAAGATATACCCGTTTCGAACGAAGGACACAGAGTGGTCCAAATATCCACTTGTAGATCCTGCAAAAAGAGTGTTTCAAACGTGAACTTTGAAAGGAAAGTTCAACTCGGGGATTTGAATGCAAACATCACAAAGAAGATTCTGAGACTGCTTCTGTATAGTTTTTATGTGAAGATGATTCCGTTTCCAACGAAATCTTCAAAGAGGTCTACATGTCCCCTTGCAGATGCCACAGAAAGAGAGTTTCAAAACTGCGCTCTCAAAAGGAGTGTTCAACTCCGTGAGTTGAATGCAGTCATCTCAGAGAAGCTTCTGAGAATGCTTCTATCTAGTATTTAGGTGAAGATATTTCCTTTTCCACCACAAACCACAAAGCCCTCCAAACGTCCACTTGCAGATTCTAGAAAAAGAGTGTTTCATAGCTGCTCTTTCCAAAGGAAAGTTCAACTCTGGGAGTTGAATACAAACATCACCAAAAAGTTCCTGAGAATGCATCTGTCTAGTTTTTCTATGAAGCTATTCCCTTTACTACCATAGGCCTCAAAGCGCTCCAAATCTCCACTTGCACATTCCACAACAAGAGTGTTTCCAAACTGCTCTATCAATAGGAATGTTCAACTCTGTGAGGTGAATGCAATCATCACAAAGCAGTTTCTGAGAATGCTTCCGTTTAGTTAGGTGCAGTTATCCCGTTTCCAACGAAATCCTCAGAGAGGTCCAAATATCCACTTGTAGATTCTACAAAAAGTGTGTCTCAAACCTGCTCCATCCAAAGGAATGGTCAGCTCTGTGATTTAAACTCAATCATCACAAAGTATTTTCTGAGAATGCTTCTGTCTAGATTTTATGCGAAGATATACCCGTTTCGAACGAAGGCCACAGAGTGGTCCAAATAGCCACTTGCAGATCCTACAAAAAGAGTGTTTCAAACCTGAACTATCAAAGGAAGGTTCAACTCTGGGATTTGAATGCAAACATCACCAAGAAGTTTCTGAGAATGCTTCTGTTTAGTTATTATGTGAAGATATTACCGTTTCCAAAGACATCTTCGGAGAGGTCCACATATCCACTTGCAGATTCCACAAAAAGAGAGTTTCAACACTGCTCTATCCATAGGAGCGTTCAACTCTGTGAGTTGAATGCAATCATCACAGAGAAGTTTCTGAGAAGGCTTCTCTCCAGTTTTTATGAGACCATAATTCGTTTTCCACCACAGGCCTGAAAGCGCTCCAAATGTCCACTTGCAGACACTACGAAAAGCATGTTTCAGAACTACTCTATGAAAAGCAATGTGAAACTCTGGGAGTTGAACACAAACATCACAGAGAAGTTTCTGAGAATGCTTCTGTTTAGCTTTTCTGTGAAGATTCTCCCGTTTCCAACGAAATCTTCAAAGAGGTCGAAATATCCACTTGCAGATTCCACAGAAAGAGTGATTGGAAACTGCTGTTTGAAAAGGAACCTTCAACTCTGTGAGTTGAATGCAATCATCACAAAGAAGTTTCTGACAATGCTTCTATCTAGCTTTTACGGGAAGATAATTCCTTTTCCAGCACAGGCCTCAAAGCTCCCCAAATGTCCACTTGCACATTCTGGAAAAAGAGTGTTTCAAAGCTTCTCTCTCGAAAGGAAAGTTCAACTCTGTGAGTTGAATGCAAGCATCACAAAGAAGTTTCTGAGAATGCTACTGTCTAGCTTTTATATGAAGCTCTTTCCTTTACTACCATAGACCTCAAAGCGGTCCATATCTCCACTTGCAGATTCTACACAAAGAGAGTTTCCAAACTGCTCTGTCAAAGGGAATGTTCAACTCTGTGACTTGAATGCAATCATCACAAAGTAGTTTCTGAGAATTCTTCTGTTTTAGTTCTGTGCGTTTTATCCCGTTTCCAACGAAATCCTCAGAGAGGCCCAAATATCCACTTGCAGATTCTACAAATAGTGTGTTTCGAAACTGCTCCATCCAAAGGAATGTTCAGCTCTGTGAGTTAAACTCAGTCGTCACCAAGAGTTTTCTGTGATTGCTTCTGTTTTAGTTCTGTGCGGGTTATCCCGTTTCCAACGAAATCCTCAGAGAGGTCCAAATATCTACTTGCAGTTTCTACAGAAAGACCGTTTCAAACCTGAACTATCAAAGAAAGGTTCAACACTGTGAGTTGAATGCAAACATCACGAAGAAGGTTCTGAGAATGCTTCTGTTTAGTTCTGTGCGGTTTATCCCGTTTCCAACGAAATCCTCAGAGAGGACCAAATATCCACTTGCAGTTTCTACAAAAAGTGTGTTTCAAAGCTGAACTATCAAAGAAAGTTTCAGCACCGTGAGTTGAATGCAAACATCACGAAGAGGGTTCTGAGAATGCTTCTGTCTTCTTTTTATAGGAAGTTATCTCCTTTACTACGGTAGGCCTCAAAGAAGTGCAATGATCCCCTTGCAGTTTCTACAAAAAGAGTGTTTCAAACCTGAACTATCAAAGAAAGGTTCCACACTGTGAGTTGAATGCAGACATCACGAAGAAGGTTCTGAGAATGCTACTGTTTAGTCAGCTGAAATTATCCCGTTTCCAACGAATTCCTCAGAGAGGTCCACATATGCACTTGCAGATTCTGCAGAAAGTGTGTTTCTAAACTGCTACATCGCAAGGAGTGTTCAGCTCTGTTTGCTCAACTCAATCATCCCAAAGAATTTTCTGAGAAAGCTTCTGTCTAGATGTCATGTGAAGATATACCCGTTTCGAACGAAGGACACAGAGTGGTCCAAATATCCACTTGTAGATCCTGCAAAAAGAGTGTTTCAAACGTGAACTTTGAAAGGAAAGTTCAACTCTGGGATTTGAATGCAAACATCACAAAGAAGATTCTGAGACTGCTTCTGTATAGTTTTGATGTGAAGATGATTCCGTTTCCAACGAAATCTTCAAAGAGGTCTACATGTCCCCTTGCAGATGCCACAGAAAGAGAGTTTCAAAACTGTGCTCTCAAAAGGAGTGTTCAACTCCGTGAGTTGAATGCAGTCATCACAGAGAAGCTTCTGAGAATGCTTCTATCTAGTATTTAGGTGAAGATATTTCCTTTTCCACCACAAACCACAAAGCCCTCCAAACGTCCACTTGCAGATTCTAGAAAAAGAGTGTTTCATAGCTGCTCTTTCCAAAGGAAAGTTCAACTCTGGGAGTTGAATACAAACATCACCAAAAAGTTCCTGAGAATGCATCTGTCTAGTTTTTCTATGAAGCTATTCCCTTTACTACCATAGGCCTCAAAGCGCTCCAAATCTCCACTTGCACATTCCACAACAAGAGTGTTTCCAAACTGCTCTATCAATAGGAATGTTCAACTCTGTGAGGTGAATGCAATCATCACAAAGCAGTTTCTGAGAATGCTTCCGTTTAGTTAGGTGCAGTTATCCCGTTTCCAACGAAATCCTCAGAGAGGTCCAAATATCCACTTGTAGATTCTACAAAAGGTGTGTCTCAAACCTGCTCCATCCAAAGGAATGTTCAGCTCTGTGAGTTAAACTCAATCATCACAAAGTATTTTCTGAGAATGCTTCTGTCTAGATTTTATGCGAAGATATACCCGTTTCGAACGAAGGCCACAGAGTGGTCCAAATAGCCACTTGCAGATCCTACAAAAAGAGTGTTTCAAACCTGAACTATCAAAGGAAGGTTCAACTCTGGGATTTGAATGCAAACATCACCAAGAAGTTTCTGAGAATGCTTCTGTTTAGTTTTTATGTGAAGATATTCCCGTTTCCAAAGACATCTTCGGAGAGGTCCACATATCCACTTGCAGATTCCACAAAAAGAGAGTTTCAACACTGCTCTATCCATAGGAGGGTTCAACTCTGTGAGTTGAATGCAATCATCACAGAGAAGTTTCTGAGAAGGCTTCTCTCCAGTTTTTATGTGACCATAATTCGTTTTCCACCACAGGCCTGAAAGCGCTCCAAATGTCCACTTGCAGACACTACGAAAAGCATGTTTCAGAACTACTCTATGAAAAGCAACGTGAAACTCTGGGAGTTGAACACAAACATCACAGAGAAGTTTCTGAGAATGCTTCTGTTTTAGTTCTGTGCGTTTTATCCCGTTTCCAACGAAATCCTCAGAGAGGCCCAAATATCCACTTGCAGATTCCACAGAAAGAGTGATTGGAAACTGCTGTTTGAAAAGGAACCTTCAACTCTGTGAGTTGAATGCAATCATCACAAAGAAGTTTCTGACAATGCTTCTATCTAGCTTTTACGGGAAGTTAATTCCTTTTCTACCACAGGCCTCAAAGCCCTCCAAATGTCCACTTGCAGATTCTGGAAAAAGAGTGTTTCAAAGCTTCTCTCTCGAAAGGAAAGTTCAACTCTGTGAGTTGAATGCAAGCATCACAAAGAAGTTTCTGAGAATGCTACTGTCTAGCTTTTATATGAAGCTATTTCCTTTACTACCATAGGCCTCAAAGCGGTCCATATCTCCACTTGCAGATTCTACAGAAAGAGAGTTTCCAAACTGCTCTGTCAAAGGGAATGTTCAACTCTGTGACTTGAATGCAATCATCACAAAGTAGTTTCTGAGAATGCTTCTGTTTAGTTCTGTGCGGTTTATCCCGTTTCCAACGAAATCCTCAGAGAGGCCCAAATATCCACTTGCACATTCTACAAATAGTGTGTTTCGAAACTGCTCCATCCAAAGGAATGTTCAGCTCTGTGAGTTAAACTCAGTCGTCACCAAGAGTTTTCTGTGAATGCTTCTGTTTTAGTTCTGTGCGGTTTATCCCGTTTCCAACGAAATCCTCAGAGAGGTCCAAATATCTACTTGCAGTTTCTACAGAAAGACCGTTTCAAACCTGAACTATCAAAGAAAGGTTCAACACTGTGAGTTGAATGCAAACATCACGAAGAAGGTTCTGAGAATGCTTCTGTTTAGTTCTGTGCGGTTTATCCCGTTTCCAACGAAATCCTCATAGAGGACCAAATATCCACTTGCAGTTTCTACAAAAAGAGTGTTTCAAAGCTGAACTATCAAAGAAAGGTTCAGCACCGTGGGTTGAATGCAAACATCACGAAGAGGGTTCTGAGAATGCTTCTGTCTTCTTTCTATAGGAAGTTATTTCCTTTACTACGGTAGGCCTCAAAGAAGTGCAATTATCCCCTTGCAGTTTCTACAAAAAGAGTGTTTCAAACCTGAACTATCAAAGAAAGGTTCCACACTGTGAGTTGAATGCAGACATCACGAAGAAGGTTCTGAGAATGCTTCTGTTTAGTCAGCTGAAATTATCCCGTTTCCAACGAATTCCTCAGAGAGGTCCAAATATGCACTTGCAGATTCTGCAGAAAGTGTGTTTCTAAACTGCTACATCGCAAGGAATGTTCAGCTCTGTGAGTTCCACTCAATCATCCCCAAGAATTTTCTGAGAAAGCTTCTGTCTAGATGTCATGTGAAGATATACCCGTTTCGAACGAAGGACACAGAGTGGTCCAAATATCCACTTGTAGATCCTGCAAAAAGAGTGTTTCAAACGTGAACTTTGAAAGGAAAGTTCAACTCTGGGATTTGAATGCAAACATCACAAAGAAGATTCTGAGACTGCTTCTGTATAGTTTTTATGTGAAGATGATTCCGTTTCCAACGAAATCTTCAAAGAGGTCTACATGTCCCCTTGCAGATGCCACAGAAAGAGAGTTTCAAAACTGCGCTCTCAAAAGGAGTGTTCAACTCCGTGAGTTGAATGCAGTCATCACAGAGAAGCTTCTGAGAATGCTTCTGTCTAGTATTTAGGTGAAGATATTTCCTTTTCCACCACAAACCACAAAGCCCTCCAAACGTCCACTTGCAGATTCTAGAAAAAGAGTGTTTCATAGCTGCTCTTTCCAAAGGAAAGTTCAACTCTGGGAGTTGAATACAAACATCACCAAAAGGTTCCTGAGAATGCATCTGTCTAGTTTTTCTATGAAGCTATTCCCTTTACTACCATAGGCCTCAAAGCGCTCCAAATCTCCACTTGCACATTCCACAACAAGAGTGTTTCCAAACTGCTCTATCAATAGGAATGTTCAACTCTGTGAGGTGAATGCAATCATCACAAAGCAGTTTCTGAGAATGCTTCCGTTTAGTTAGGTGCAGTTATCCCGTTTCCAACGAAATCCTCAGAGAGGTCCAAATATCCACTTGTAGATTCTACAAAAAGTGTGTCTCAAACCTGCTCCATCCAAAGGAATGGTCAGCTCTGTGATTTAAACTCAATCATCACAAAGTATTTTCTGAGAATGCTTCTGTCTAGATTTTATGCGAAGATATACCCGTTTCGAACGAAGGCCACAGAGTGGTCCAAATAGCCACTTGCAGATCCTACAGAAAGAGTGTTTCAAACCTGAACTATCAAAGGAAGGTTCAACTCTGGGATTTGAATGCAAACATCACCAAGAAGTTTCTGAGAATGCTTCTGTTTAGTTTTTATGTGAAGATATTCCCGTTTCCAAAGACATCTTCGGAGAGGTCCACATATCCACTTGCAGATTCCACAAAAAGAGAGTTTCAACACTGCTCTATCCATAGGAGGGTTCAACTCTGTGAGTTGAATGCAATCATCACAGAGAAGTTTCTGAGAAGGCTTCTCTCCAGTTTTTATGTGACCATAATTCGTTTTCCACCACAGGCCTGAAAGCGCTCCAAATGTCCACTTGCAGACACTACGAAAAGCATGTTTCAGAACTACTCTATGAAAAGCAACGTGAAACTCTGGGAGTTGAACACAAACATCACAGAGAAGTTTCTGAGAATGCTTCTGTTTAGCTTTTCTGTGAAGATTATCCCGTTTCCAAGGAAATCTTCAAAATAGGTCCAAATATCCACTTGCAGATTCCACAGAAAGAGTGATTGGAAACTGCTGTTTGAAAAGGAACCTTCAACTCTGTGAGTTGAATGCAATCATCACAAAGAAGTTTCTGACAATGCTTCTATCTAGCTTTTACGGGAAGATAATTCCTTTTCCACCACAGGCCTCAAAGCCCTCCAAATGTCCACTTGCAGATTCTGGAAAAAGAGTGTTTCAAAGCTTCTCTCTCGAAAGGAAAGTTCAACTCTGTGAGTTGAATGCAAGCATCACAAAGAAGTTTCTGAGAATGCTACTGTCTAGCTTTTATATGAAGCTATTTCCTTTACTACCATAGGCCTCAAAGCGGTCCATATCTCCACTTGCAGATTCTACACAAAGAGAGTTTCCAAACTGCTCTGTCAAAGGGAATGTTCAACTCTGTGACTTGAATGCAATCATCACAAAGTAGTTTCTGAGAATGCTTCTGTTTAGTTCTGTGCGGTTTATCCCGTTTCCAACGAAATCCTCAGAGAGGCCTAAATATCCACTTGCACATTCTACAAATAGTGTGTTTCGAAACTGCTCCATCCAAAGGAATGTTCAGCTCTGTGAGTTAAACTCAGTCGTCACCAAGAGTTTTCTGTGAATGCTTCTGTTTTAGTTCTGTGCGGGTTATCCCGTTTCCAACGAAATCCTCAGAGAGGTCCAAATATCTACTTGCAGTTTCTACAGAAAGACCGTTTCAAACCTGAACTATCAAAGAAAGGTTCAACACTGTGAGTTGAATGCAAACATCACGAAGAAGGTTCTGAGAATGCTTCTGTTTAGTTCTGTGCGGTTTATCCCGTTTCCAACGAAATCCTCAGAGAGGACCAAATATCCACTTGCAGTTTCTACAAGAAGAGTGTTTCAAAGCTGAACTATCAAAGAAAGGTTCAGCACTGTGAGTTGAATGCAAACATCACGAAGAAGATTCTGAGAATGCTTCTGTCTTCTTTCTATAGGAAGTTATTTCCTTTACTACGGTAGGCCTCAAAGAAGTGCAATTATCCCCTTGCAGTTTCTACAAAAAGAGTGTTTCAAACCTGAACTATCAAAGAAAGGTTCCACACTGTGAGTTGAATGCAGACATCACGAAGAAGGTTCTGAGAATGCTTCTGTTTAGTCAGCTGAAATTATCCCGTTTCCAACGAATTCCTCAGAGAGGTCCAAATATGCACTTGCAGATTCTGCAGAAAGTGTGTTTCTAAACTGCTACATCGCAAGGAATGTTCAGCTCTGTGAGTTCCACTCAATCATCCCAAAGGATTTTCTGAGAAAGCTTCTGTCTAGATGTCATGTGAAGATATACCCGTTTCGAACGAAGGACACAGAGTGGTCCAAATATCCACTTGTAGATCCTGCAAAAAGAGTGTTTCAAACGTGAACTTTGAAAGGGAAGTTCAACTCTGGGATTTGAATGCAAACATCACAAAGAAGATTCTGAGACTGCTTCTGTATAGTTTTTATGTGAAGATGATTCCGTTTCCAACGAAATCTTCAAAGAGGTCTACATGTCCCCTTGCAGATGCCACAGAAAGAGAGTTTCAAAACTGCGCTCTCAAAAGGAGTGTTCAACTCCGTGAGTTGAATGCAGTCATCACAGAGAAGCTTCTGAGAATGCTTCTATCTAGTATTTAGGTGAAGATATTTCCTTTTCCACCACAAACCACAAAGCCCTCCAAACGTCCACTTGCAGATTCTAGAAAAAGAGTGTTTCATAGCTGCTCTTTCCAAAGGAAAGTTCAACTTTGGGAGTTGAATACAAACATCACCAAAAAGTTCCTGAGAATGCATCTGTCTAGTTTTTCTATGAAGCTATTCCCTTTACTACCATAGGCCTCAAAGCGCTCCAAATCTCCACTTGCACATTCCACAACAAGAGTGTTTCCAAACTGCTCTATCAATAGGAATGGTCAACTCTGTGAGGTGAATGCAATCATCACAAAGCAGTTTCTGAGAATGCTTCCGTTTAGTTAGGTGCAGTTATCCCGTTTCCAACGAAATCCTCAGAGAGGTCCAAATATCCACTTGTAGATTCTACAAAAAGTGTGTCTCAAACCTGCTCCATCCAAAGGAATGTTCAGCTCTGTGAGTTAAACTCAATCATCACAAAGTATTTTCTGAGAATGCTTCTGTCTAGATTTTATGCGAAGATATACCCGTTTCGAACGAAGGCCACAGAGTGGTCCAAATATCCACTTGCAGATCCTACAAAAAGAGTGTTTCAAACCTGAACTATCAAAGGAAGGTTCTACTCTGGGATTTGAATGCAAACATCACCAAGAAGTTTCTGAGAATGCTTCTGTTTAGCTTTCCTGTGAAGATTCTCCCGTTTCCAACGAAATCTTCAAAATAGGTCCAAATATCCACTTGCAGACTCCACAGAAAGAGTGATTGGAAACTGCTCTTTGAAAAGGAACCTTCAACTCTGTGAGTTGAATGCAATCATCACAGAGAAGTTTCTGAGAAGGCTTCTATCTAGCTTTTACGGGAAGATAATTCCTTTTCCACCACAGGCCTCAAAGCCCTCCAAATGTCCACTTGCAGATTCTGGAAAAAGAGTGTTTCAAAGCTTCTCTCTCGAAAGGAAAGTTCAACTCTGTGAGTTGAATGCAAGCATCACAAAGAAGTTTCTGAGAATGCTACTGTCTAGCTTTTATATGAAGCTATTTCCTTTACTACCATAGGCCTCAAAGCGGTCCATATCTCCACTTGCAGATTCTACACAAAGAGAGTTTCCAAACTGCTCTGTCAAAGGGAATGTTCAACTCTGTGACTTGAATGCAATCATCACAAAGTAGTTTCTGAGAATGCTTCTGTTTAGTTCTGTGCGGTTTATCCCGTTTCCAACGAAATCCTCAGAGAGGCCCACATATCCACTTGCACATTCTACAAATAGTGTGTTTCGAAACTGCTCCATCCAAAGGAATGTTCAGCTCTGTGAGTTAAACTCAGTCGTCACCAAGAGTTTTCTGTGAATGCTTCTGTTTTAGTTCTGTGCGGTTTATCCCGTTTCCAACGAAATCCTCAGAGAGGTCCAAATATCTACTTGCAGTTTCTACAGAAAGACCGTTTCAAACCTGAACTATCAAAGAAAGGTTCAACACTGTGAGTTGAATGCAAACATCACGAAGAAGGTTCTGAGAATGCTTCTGTTTAGTTCTGTGCGGTTTATCCCGTTTCCAACGAAATCCTCAGAGAGGACCAAATATCCACTTGCAGTTTCTACAAAAAGTGTGTTTCAAAGCTGAACTATCAAAGAAAGGTTCAGCACCGTGAGTTGAATGCAAACATCACGAAGAGGGTTCTGAGAATGCTTCTGTTTTAGTTCTGTGCGGTTTATCCCGTTTCCAACGAAATCCTCAGAGAGGTCCAAATATCTACTTGCAGTTTCTACAGAAAGACCGTTTCAAACCTGAACTATCAAAGAAAGGTTCAACACTGTGAGTTGAATGCAAACATCACGAAGAAGGTTCTGAGAATGCTTCTGTTTCGTTCTGTGCGTTTTATCCCGTTTCCAACGAAATCCTCAGAGAGGACCAAATATCCACTTGCAGTTTCTACAAAAAGAGTGTTTCAAAGCTGAACTATCAAAGAAAGGTTCAGCACTGTGAGTTGAATGCAAACATCACGAAGAGGGTTCTGAGAATGCTTCTGTCTTCTTTTTATAGGAAGTTATTTCCTTTACTACGGTACTCCTCAAAGAGTGCAATTATCCCCTTGCAGTTTCTATAAAAAGAGTTTTTAAAACCTGAACTATCAAAGAAAGGTTCCACACTTTGAGTTGAATGCAGACATCACGAAGAAGGTTCTGAGAATGCTTCTGTTTAGTCAGCTGAAATTATCCTGTTTCCAACGAATTCCTCAGAGAGGTCCAAATATGCACTTGCAGATTCTGCAGAAAGTGTGTTTCTAAACTGCTACATCGCAAGGAATACTCAGCTCTGTGAGTTCAACTCAATCATCCCAAAGAATTTTCTGAGAAAGCTTCTGTCTAGATGTCATGTGAAGATATAGCCGTTTCGAACGAAGGACACAGAGTGGTCCAAATATAAAATTGTAGATCCTGCAAAAAGAGTGTTTCAAACGTGAACTTTGAAAGGAAAGTTCAACTCTGGGATTTGAATGCAAACATCACAAAGAAGATTCTGAGACTGCTTCTGTATAGTTTTTATGTGAAGATGATTCCGTTTCCAACGAAATCTTCAAAGAGGTCTACATGTCCCCTTGCAGATGCCACAGAAAGAGAGTTTCAAAACTGCGCTCTCAAAAGGAGTGTTCAACTCCGTGAGTTGAATGCAGTCATCACAGAGAAGCTTCTGAGAATGCTTCTATCTAGTATTTAGGTGAAGATATTTCCTTTTCCACCACAAACCACAAAGCCCTCCAAACGTCCACTTGCAGATTCTAGAAAAACAGTGTTTCATAGCTGCTCTTTCCAAAGGAAAGTTCAACTCTGGGAGTTGAATACAAACATCACCAAAAAGTTCCTGAGAATGCATCTGTCTAGTTTTTCTATGAAGCTATTCCCTTTACTACCATAGGCCTCAAAGCGCTCCAAATCTCCACTTGCACATTCCACAACAAGAGTGTTTCCAAACTGCTCTATCAATAGGAATGTTCAACTCTGTGAGGTGAATGCAATCATCACAAAGCAGTTTCTGAGAATGCTTCCGTTCAGTTAGGTGCAGTTATCCCGTTTCCAACGAAATCCTCAGAGAGGTCCAAATATCCACTTGTAGATTCTACAAAAAGTGTGTCTCAAACCTGCTCCATCCAAAGGAATGTTCAGCTCTGTGAGTTCAACTCAATCATCACAAAGTATTTTCTGAGAATGCTTCTGTCTAGATTTTATGCGAAGATATACCCGTTTCGAACGAAGGCCACAGAGTGGTCCAAATATCCACTTGCAGATCCTACAAAAAGAGTGTTTCAAACCTGAACTATCAAAGGAAGGTTCAACTCTGGGATTTGAATGCAAACATCACCAAGAAGTTTCTGAGAATGCTTCTGTTTAGTTTTTATGTGAAGATATTCCCGTTTCCAAAGACATCTTCGGAGAGGTCCACGTATCCACTTGCAGATTCCACAAAAAGAGAGTTTCAACACTGCTCTATCCATAGGAGGGTTCAACTCTGTGAGTTGAATGCAATCATCACAGAGAAGTTTCTTGAGAAGGCTTCTCTCCAGTTTTTATGTGACCATAATTCGTTTTCCACCACAGGCCTGAAAGCGCTCCAAATGTCCACTTGTAGACACTACGAAAAGCATGTTTCAGAACTACTCTATGAAAAGCAATGTGAAACTCTGGGAGTTGAACACAAACATCACAGAGAAGTTTCTGAGAATGCTTCTGTTTAGCTTTCCTGTGAAGATTCTCCCATTTCCAACGAAATCTTCAAAATAGGTCCAAATATCCACTTGCAGATTCCACACAAAGAGTGATTGGAAACTGCTCTTTGAAAAGGAACCTTCAACTCTGTGAGTTGAATGCAATCATCACAAAGAAGTTTCTGACAATGCTTCTATCTAGCTTTTACGGGAAGATAATTCCTTTTCCACCACAGGCCTCAAAGCCCTCCAAATGTCCACTTGGAGATTCTGGAAAAAGAGTGTTTCAAAGCTTCTCTCTCGAAAGGAAAGTTCAACTCTGTGAGTTGAATGCAAGCATCACAAAGAAGTTTCTGAGAATGCTACTGTCTAGCTTTTATATGAAGCTATTTCCTTTACTACCATAGGCCTCAAAGCGGTCCATATCTCCACTTGCAGATTCTACACAAAGAGAGTTTCCAAACTGCTCTGTCAAAGGGAATGTTCAACTCTGTGACTTGAATGCAATCATCACAAAGTAGTTTCTGAGAATGCTTCTGTTTAGTTCTGTGCGGTTTATCCCGTTTCCAACGAAATCCTCAGAGAGGCCCACATATCCACTTGCACATTCTACAAATAGTGTGTTTCGAAACTGCTCCATCCAAAGGAATGTTCAGCTCTGTGAGTTAAACTCAGTCGTCACCAAGAGTTTTCTGTGAAAGCTTCTGTTTTAGTTCTGTGCGGTTTATCCCGTTTCCAACGAAATCCTCAGAGAGGTCCAAATATCTACTTGCAGTTTCTACAGAAAGACCGTTTCAAACCTGAACTATCAAAGAAAGGTTCAACACTGTGAGTTGAATGCAAACATCACGAAGAAGGTTCTGAGAATGCTTCTGTTTAGTTCTGTGCGGTTTATCCCGTTTCCAACGAAATCCTCAGAGTGGACCAAATATCCACTTGCAGTTTCTACAAAAAGAGTGTTTCAAAGCTGAACTATCCAAGAAAGGTTCAGCACCGTGAGTTGAATGCAAACGTCACGAAGAGGGTTCTGAGAATGCTTCTGTCTTCTTTTTATAGGAAGTTATCTCCTTTACTACGGTAGGCCTCAAAGAAGTGCAATGATCCCCTTGCAGTTTCTACAAAAAGAGTGTTTCAAACCTGAACTATCAAAGAAAGGTTCCACACTGTGAGTTGAATGCAGACATCACGAATAAGGTTCTGAGAATGCTTCTGTTTAGTCAGCTGAAATTATCCCGTTTCCAACGAATTCCTCAGAGAGGTCCACATATGCACTTGCAGATTCTGCAGAAAGTGTGTTTCTAAACTGCTACATCGCAAGGAGTGTTCAGCTCTGTTTGCTCAACTCAATCATCCCAAAGAATTTTCTGAGAAAGCTTCTGTCTAGATGTCATGTGAAGATATACCCGTTTCGAACGAAGGACACAGAGTGGTCCAAATATCCACTTGTAGATCCTGCAAAAAGAGTGTTTCAAACGTGAACTTGGAAAGGAAAGTTCAACTCAGGGATTTGAATGCAAACATCACAAAGAAGATTCTGAGACTGCTTCTGTATAGTTTTTATGTGAAGATGATTCCGTTTCCAACGAAATCTTCAAAGAGGTCTACATGTCCCCTTGCAGATGCCACAGAAAGAGAGTTTCAAAACTGCGCTCTCAAAAGGAGTGTTCAACTCCGTGAGTTGAATGCAGTCATCACAGAGAAGCTTCTGAGAATGCTTCTATCTAGTATTTAGGTGAAGATATTTCCTTTTCCACCACAAACCACAAAGCCCTCCAAACGTCCACTTGCAGATTCTAGAAAAAGAGTGTTTCATAGCTGCTCTTTCCAAAGGAAAGTTCAACTCTGGGAGTTGAATACAAACATCACCAAAAAGTTCCTGAGAATGCATCTGTCTAGTTTTTCTATGAAGCTATTCCCTTTACTACCATAGGCCTCAAAGCGCTCCAAATCTCCACTTGCACATTCCACAACAAGAGTGTTTCCAAACTGCTCTATCAATAGGAATGTTCAACTCTGTGAGGTGAATGCAATCATCACAAAGCAGTTTCTGAGAATGCTTCCGTTTAGTTAGGTGCAGTTATCCCGTTTCCAACGAAATCCTCAGAGAGGTCCAAATATCCACTTGTAGATTCTACAAAAAGTGTGTCTCAAACCTGCTCCATCCAAAGGAATGGTCAGCTCTGTGATTTAAACTCAATCATCACAAAGTATTTTCTGAGAATGCTTCTGTCTAGATTTTATGCGAAGATATACCCGTTTCGAACGAAGGCCACAGAGTGGTCCAAATAGCCACTTGCAGATCCTACAGAAAGAGTGTTTCAAACCTGAACTATCAAAGGAAGGTTCAACTCTGGGATTTGAATGCAAACATCACCAAGAAGTTTCTGAGAATGCTTCTGTTTAGTTTTTATGTGAAGATATTCCCGTTTCCAAAGACATCTTCGGAGAGGTCCACATATCCACTTGCAGATTCCACAAAAAGAGAGTTTCAACACTGCTCTATCCATAGGAGGGTTCAACTCTGTGAGTTGAATGCAATCATCACAGAGAAGTTTCTGAGAAGGCTTCTCTCCAGTTTTTATGTGACCATAATTCGTTTTCCACCACAGGCCTGAAAGCGCTCCAAATGTCCACTTGCAGACACTACGAAAAGCATGTTTCAGAACTACTCTATGAAAAGCAACGTGAAACTCTGGGAGTTGAACACAAACATCACAGAGAAGTTTCTGAGAATGCTTCTGTTTTAGTTCTGTGCGTTTTATCCCGTTTCCAACGAAATCCTCAGAGAGGCCCAAATATCCACTTGCAGATTCCACAGAAAGAGTGATTGGAAACTGCTGTTTGAAAAGGAACCTTCAACTCTGTGAGTTGAATGCAATCATCACAAAGAAGTTTCTGACAATGCTTCTGTTTTAGTTCTGTGCGGTTTATCCCGTTTCCAACGAAATCCTCAGAGAGGACCAAACATCCACTTGCAGTTTCTACAAAAAGAGTGTTTCAAAGCTGCACTATCAAAGAAAGGTTCAGCACTGTGAGTTGAATGCAAACATCACGAAGAAGGCTCTGAGAATTCTTCTGTTTAGTTCTGTGCGGTTTATCCCGTTTCCAACGAAATCCTCAGAGAGGACCAAATATCCACTTGCAGTTTCTACAAGAAGAGTGTTTCAAAGCTGAACTATCAAAGAAAGGTTCAGCACTGTGAGTTGAATGCAAACATCACGAAGAGGGTTCTGAGAATGCTTCTGTCTTCTTTCTATAGGAAGTTATTTCCTTTACTACGGTAGGCCTCAAAGAAGTGCAATTATCCCCTTGCAGTTTCTACAAAAAGAGTGTTTCAAACCTGAACTATCAAAGAAAGGTTCCACACTGTGAGTTGAATGCAGACATCACGAAGAAGGTTCTGAGAATGCTTCTGTTTAGTCAGCTGAAATTATCCCGTTTCCAACGAATTCCTCAGAGAGGTCCAAATATGCACTTGCAGATTCTGCAGAAAGTGTGTTTCTAAACTGCTACATTGCAAGGAATGTTCAGCTCTGTGAGTTCCACTCAATCATCCCAAAGAATTTTCTGAGAAAGCTTCTGTCTAGATGTCATGTGAAGATATACCCGTTTCGAACGAAGGACACAGAGTGGTCCAAATATCCACTTGTAGATCCTGCAAAAAGAGTGTTTCAAACGTGAACTTTGAAAGGAAAGTTCAACTCTGGGATTTGAATGCAAACATCACAAAGAAGATTCTGAGACTGCTTCTGTATAGTTTTGATGTGAAGATGATTCCGTTTCCAACGAAATCTTCAAAGAGGTCCACATGTCCCCTTGCGGATGCCACAGAAAGAGAGTTTCAAAACTGCACTCTCAAAAGGAGTGTTCAACTCCGTGAGTTGAATGCAGTCATCACAGAGAAGCTTCTGAGAATGCTTCTATCTAGTATTTAGGTGAAGATATTTCCTTTTCCACCACAAACCACAAAGCCCTCCAAACGTCCACTTGCAGATTCTAGAAAAAGAGTGTTTCATAGCTGCTCTTTCCAAAGGAAAGTTCAACTCTGGGAGTTGAATACAAACATCACCAAAAAGTTCCTGAGAATGCATCTGTCTAGTTTTTCTATGAAGCTATTCCCTTTACTACCACAGGCCTCAAAGCGCTCCAAATCTCCACTTGCACATTCCACAACAAGAGTGTTTCCAAACTGCTCTATCAATAGGAATGTTCAACTCTGTGAGGTGAATGCAATCATCACAAAGCAGTTTCTGAGAATGCTTCCGTTTAGTTAGGTGCAGTTATCCCGTTTCCAACGAAATCCTCAGAGAGGTCCAAATATCCACTTGTAGATTCTACAAAAAGTGTGTCTCAAACCTGCTCCATCCAAAGGAATGGTCAGCTCTGTGATTTAAACTCAATCATCACAAAGTATTTTCTGAGAATGCTTCTGTCTAGATTTTATGCGAAGATATACCCGTTTCGAACGAAGGCCACAGAGTGGTCCAAATAGCCACTTGCAGATCCTACAGAAAGAGTGTTTCAAACCTGAACTATCAAAGGAAGGTTCAACTCTGGGATTTGAATGCAAACATCACCAAGAAGTTTCTGAGAATGCTTCTGTTTAGTTTTTATGTGAAGATATTCCCGTTTCCAAAGACATCTTCGGAGAGGTCCACATATCCACTTGCAGATTCCACAAAAAGAGAGTTTCAACACTGCTCTATCCATAGGAGGGTTCAACTCTGTGAGTTGAATGCAATCATCACAGAGAAGTTTCTGAGAAGGCTTCTCTCCAGTTTTTATGTGACCATAATTCGTTTTCCACCACAGGCCTGAAAGCGCTCCAAATGTCCACTTGCAGACACTACGAAAAGCATGTTTCAGAACTACTCTATGAAAAGCAACGTGAAACTCTGGGAGTTGAACACAAACATCACAGAGAAGTTTCTGAGAATGCTTCTGTTTTAGTTCTGTGCGTTTTATCCCGTTTCCAACGAAATCCTCAGAGAGGCCCAAATATCCACTTGCAGATTCCACAGAAAGAGTGATTGGAAACTGCTGTTTGAAAAGGAACCTTCAACTCTGTGAGTTGAATGCAATCATCACAAAGAAGTTTCTGACAATGCTTCTGTTTTAGTTCTGTGCGGTTTATCCCGTTTCCAACGAAATCCTCAGAGAGGACCAAACATCCACTTGCAGTTTCTACAAAAAGAGTGTTTCAAAGCTGCACTATCAAAGAAAGGTTCAGCACTGTGAGTTGAATGCAAACATCACGAAGAGGGCTCTGAGAATTCTTCTGTTTAGTTCTGTGCGGTTTATCCCGTTTCCAACGAAATCCTCAGAGAGGACCAAATATCCACTTGCAGTTTCTACAAGAAGAGTGTTTCAAAGCTGAACTATCAAAGAAAGGTTCAGCACTGTGAGTTGAATGCAAACATCACGAAGAGGGTTCTGAGAATGCTTCTGTCTTCTTTCTATAGGAAGTTATTTCCTTTACTACGGTAGGCCTCAAAGAAGTGCAATTATCCCCTTGCAGTTTCTACAAAAAGAGTGTTTCAAACCTGAACTATCAAAGAAAGGTTCCACACTGTGAGTTGAATGCAGACATCACGAAGAAGGTTCTGAGAATGCTTCTGTTTAGTCAGCTGAAATTATCCCGTTTCCAACGAATTCCTCAGAGAGGTCCAAATATGCACTTGCAGATTCTGCAGAAAGTGTGTTTCTAAACTGCTCCATCGCAAGGAATGTTCAGCTCTGTGAGTTCCACTCAATCATCCCAAAGAATTTTCTGAGAAAGCTTCTGTCTAGATGTCGTGTGAAGATATACCCGTTTCGAACGAAGGACACAGAGTGGTCCAAATATCCACTTGTAGATCCTGCAAAAAGAGTGTTTCAAACGTGAACTTTGAAAGGAAAGTTCAACTCTGGGATTTGAATGCAAACATCACAAAGAAGATTCTGAGACTGCTTCTGTATAGTTTTTATGTGAAGATGATTCCGTTTCCAACGAAATCTTCAAAGAGGTCTACATGTCCCCTTGCAGATGCCACAGAAAGAGAGTTTCAAAACTGCGCTCTCAAAAGGAGTGTTCAACTCCGTGAGTTGAATGCAGTCATCACAGAGAAGCTTCTGAGAATGCTTCTATCTAGTATTTAGGTGAAGATATTTCCTTTTCCACCACAAACCACAAAGCCCTCCAAACGTCCACTTGCAGATTCTAGAAAAAGAGTGTTTCATAGCTGCTCTTTCCAAAGGAAAGTTCAACTCTGGGAGTTGAATACAAACATCACCAAAAAGTTCCTGAGAATGCATCTGTCTAGTTTTTCTATGAAGCTATTCCCTTTACTACCATAGGCCTCAAAGCGCTCCAAATCTCCACTTGCACATTCCACAACAAGAGTGTTTCCAAACTGCTCTATCAATAGGAATGTTCAACTCTGTGAGGTGAATGCAATCATCACAAAGCAGTTTCTGAGAATGCTTCCGTTTAGTTAGGTGCAGTTATCCCGTTTCCAACGAAATCCTCAGAGAGGTCCAAATATCCACTTGTAGATTCTACAAAAAGTGTGTCTCAAACCTGCTCCATCCAAAGGAATGGTCAGCTCTGTGATTTAAACTCAATCATCACAAAGTATTTTCTGAGAATGCTTCTGTCTAGATTTTATGCGAAGATATACCCGTTTCGAACGAAGGCCACAGAGTGGTCCAAATAGCCACTTGCAGATCCTACAGAAAGAGTGTTTCAAACCTGAACTATCAAAGGAAGGTTCAACTCTGGGATTTGAATGCAAACATCACCAAGAAGTTTCTGAGAATGCTTCTGTTTAGTTTTTATGTGAAGATATTCCCGTTTCCAAAGACATCTTCGGAGAGGTCCACATATCCACTTGCAGATTCCACAAAAAGAGAGTTTCAACACTGCTCTATCCATAGGAGGGTTCAACTCTGTGAGTTGAATGCAATCATCACAGAGAAGTTTCTGAGAAGGCTTCTCTCCAGTTTTTATGTGACCATAATTCGTTTTCCACCACAGGCCTGAAAGCGCTCCAAATGTCCACTTGCAGACACTACGAAAAGCATGTTTCAGAACTACTCTATGAAAAGCAACGTGAAACTCTGGGAGTTGAACACAAACATCACAGAGAAGTTTCTGAGAATGCTTCTGTTTTAGTTCTGTGCGTTTTATCCCGTTTCCAACGAAATCCTCAGAGAGGCCCAAATATCCACTTGCAGATTCCACAGAAAGAGTGATTGGAAACTGCTGTTTGAAAAGGAACCTTCAACTCTGTGAGTTGAATGCAATCATCACAAAGAAGTTTCTGACAATGCTTCTGTTTTAGTTCTGTGCGGTTTATCCCGTTTCCAACGAAATCCTCAGAGAGGACCAAACATCCACTTGCAGTTTCTACAAAAAGAGTGTTTCAAAGCTGCACTATCAAAGAAAGGTTCAGCACTGTGAGTTGAATGCAAACATCACGAAGAGGGCTCTGAGAATTCTTCTGTTTAGTTCTGTGCGGTTTATCCCGTTTCCAACGAAATCCTCAGAGAGGACCAAATATCCACTTGCAGTTTCTACAAGAAGAGTGTTTCAAAGCTGAACTATCAAAGAAAGGTTCAGCACTGTGAGTTGAATGCAAACATCACGAAGAGGGTTCTGAGAATGCTTCTGTCTTCTTTCTATAGGAAGTTATTTCCTTTACTACGGTAGGCCTCAAAGAAGTGCAATTATCCCCTTGCAGTTTCTACAAAAAGAGTGTTTCAAACCTGAACTATCAAAGAAAGGTTCCACACTGTGAGTTGAATGCAGACATCACGAAGAAGGTTCTGAGAATGCTTCTGTTTAGTCAGCTGAAATTATCCCGTTTCCAACGAATTCCTCAGAGAGGTCCAAATATGCACTTGCAGATTCTGCAGAAAGTGTGTTTCTAAACTGCTACATCGCAAGGAATGTTCAGCTCTGTGAGTTCCACTCAATCATCCCAAAGAATTTTCTGAGAAAGCTTCTGTCTAGATGTCGTGTGAAGATATACCCGTTTCGAACGAAGGACACAGAGTGGTCCAAATATCCACTTGTAGATCCTGCAAAAAGAGTGTTTCAAACGTGAACTTTGAAAGGAAAGTTCAACTCTGGGATTTGAATGCAAACATCACAAAGAAGATTCTGAGACTGCTTCTGTGTAGTTTTTATGTGAAGATGATTCCGTTTCCAACGAAATCTTCAAAGAGGTCTACATGTCCCCTTGCAGATGCCACAGAAAGAGAGTTTCAAAACTGCGCTCTCAAAAGGAGTGTTCAACTCCGTGAGTTGAATGCAGTAATCACAGAGAAGCTTCTGAGGATGCTTCTATCTAGTATTTAGGTGAAGATATTTCCTTTTCCACCACAAACCACAAAGCCCTCCAAACGTCCACTTGCAGATTCTAGAAAAACAGTGTTTCATAGCTGCTCTTTCCAAAGGAAAGTTCAACTCTGGGAGTTGAATACAAACATCACCAAAAAGTTCCTGAGAATGCATCTGTCTAGTTTTTCTATGAAGCTATTCCCTTTACTACCATAGGCCTCAAAGCGCTCCAAATCTCCACTTGCACATTCCACAACAAGAGTGTTTCCAAACTGCTCTATCAATAGGAATGTTCAACTCTGTGAGGTGAATGCAATCATCACAAAGCAGTTTCTGAGAATGCTTCCGTTTAGTTAGGTGCAGTTATCCCGTTTCCAACGAAATCCTCAGAGAGGTCCAAATATCCACTTGTAGATTCTACAAAAGGTGTGTCTCAAACCTGCTCCATCCAAAGGAATGTTCAGCTCTGTGAGTTAAACTCAATCATCACAAAGTATTTTCTGAGAATGCTTCTGTCTAGATATTATGCGAAGATGTACCCGTTTTGAACGAAGGCCACAGAGTGGTCCAAATATCCACTTGCAGATCCTACAAAAAGATTGTTTCAAACCTGAACTATCAAAGGAAGGTTCAACTCTGGGATTTGAATGCAAACATCACCAAGAAGTTTCTGAGAATGCTTCTGTTTAGTTTTTATGTGAAGATATTCCCGTTTCCAAAGACATCTTTGGCGAGGTCCACATATCCACTTGCAGATTCCACAAAAACAGAGTTTCAACACTGCTCTATCCATAGGAGGGTTCAACTCTTTGAGATGAATGCAATCATCACAGAGAAGTTTCTGAGAAGGCTTCTCTCCAGTTTTTATGTGACCATAATTCGTTTTCCACCACAGGCCTGAAAGCGCTCCAAATGTCCACTTGCAGACACTACGAAAAGCATGTTTCAGAACTACTCTATGAAAAGCAACGTGAAACTATGGGAGTTGAACACAAACATCACAGAGAAGTTTCTGAGAATGCTTCTGTTTAGCTTTTCTGTGAATGTTCTCCCGTTTCCAACGAAATCTTCAAAGAGGTCGAAATATCCACTTGCAGATTCCACAGAAAGAGTGATTGGAAACTGCTCTTTGAAAAGGAACCTTCAACTCTGTGAGTTGAATGCAATCATCACAAAGAACTTTCTGACAATGCTTCTATCTAGCTTTTACGGGAAGATAATTCCTTTTCCACCACAGGCCTCAAAGCCCTCCAAATGTCCACTTGCAGATTCTGGAAAAAGAGTGTTTCAAAGCTTCTCTCTCGAAAGGAAAGTTCAACTCTGTGAGTTGAATGCAAGCATCACAAAGAAGTTTCTGAGAATGCTACTGTCTAGCTTTTATATGAAGCTATTTCCTTTACTACCATAGGCCTCAAAGCGGTCCATATCTCCACTTGCAGATTCTACACAAAGAGAGTTTCCAAACTGCTCTGTCAAAGGGAATGTTCAACTCTGTGACTTGAATGCAATCATCACAAAGTAGTTTCTGAGAATGCTTCTGTTTAGTTCTGTGCGGTTTATCCCGTTTCCAACGAAATCCTCAGAGAGGCCTAAATATCCACTTGCACATTCTACAAATAGTGTGTTTCGAAACTGCTCCATCCAAAGGAATGTTCAGCTCTGTGAGTTAAACTCAGTCGTCACCAAGAGTTTTCTGTGAATGCTTCTGTTTTAGTTCTGTGCGGGTTATCCCGTTTCCAACGAAATCCTCAGAGAGGTCCAAATATCTACTTGCAGTTTCTACAGAA